>NC_000011.10:3696363-3999393 GCF_000001405.40 Homo sapiens | reverse complement strand
CCAGATATTGGGTCAGAAAACTATGGCCATAAGCCAAATCCAGTTTGCTGTTTGTTGGTTTTGAGACTGAGTCTCCCTCTATTGCCCATGCTGAAATGCAGTGGCGTGAAGATGGCTCACTGCAGCCTCCTGGGCTTAAGCAGTCCTCCTGCCTCAGCCTCCCGAGTAGCTTGGACTACAGGCACAGGGGCTAATTTTTTCTTCATTTTTTGTAGAGACAGGGTCTTACCATATTGTCCAGGCTAGTCTCAAACTCATAGACTCAAGCAATCCTCCTGCCTTGGCTTCCCAAAGTGATGGGATTGCAGGCATAAGCCACCATGCCCAGCCAGTTTTCATAAAGTTTTACTGAAACATAGCCAGGCTCATGCATTGATGTATATTTTCTGTGGCTGCTTTCATGCTACAAAGACAGAGTTGAGTATTTGTAACAGAGACTCTATGGCTATCAAAGTCTAAAATAATTACTATCTAATCCTTTACAGAAAAAGTTGCCTGCTCTAGACACATCAAGCCATTTCATGCTCCTTGACCAAACCATGATCTTTTATACCCCCAAGATTTTGCACAAGGTGCTCCATTTAAAATGCTTTCTCCCACTCTTTGTCTATTAAATAAAAAGTCACTGCCTTCTGTGAAGTTTTCTAGATCTCTCCCAGGTGAGTTCATTGCCCTATCCTATTTGTTCCCTTAGTTCTCAGGGTATACATTATCCCCCTCTTACTCTCCCTAAGCAACTCAAAAATAGAGACTATATTTTATTTATCATTTATTCTTCACCAGCATCTTGTAAATTTTCTGGAATACATAAATGAATAATTAATTTAGCTCCATAAATCCATCTCCAAGCCGAGGGCCCGGCACAGAGCAGAGTGTGTGGTTATTAAATAACTGAAGGAGTGTCTCTCGAGTTTGTCCTATAACATGTAGCAGAGAGCTTAGCTTACAATAGCTAGTCAAGACATAATTGTCTATTGAATAGAAGAAAGAAAAAGGTCCCCAAATTGTCAGCCTATCTAAAAGAAAGATATTTAGCCAGGAGCCAGAGAGTTACACTAGCTTGGATTCAATGTAACATGATACTTTAGAGTTTGATTCTAGACCTGGCTGCCTGGGTTTGAATCCTCGTTCCACCACTTAGTTTCAGTGTATAACTTGCATCATTTGTAAAATGAAGATAGTAGCACAAAACCTAACAACCCTCATGTTGAGGGAAGCATAAATGAGTAAATTCAACTAAATACCTTAGAATAGTGCCTGGCACAAAATAAGCTCTCCTGTCTGTGTGTGTGTGTAATATGTTTTAAGAAGGATTAAAGATACTAAAAGAACGTACAATCCTAGGGCCCACTATTACAGTGATGCTGATCCCTCATATGTAAGGAAGACCTATAGAGGAGGTAGAAAACGGATATTTTCTAAGTGCTTGCTATATAAAGTCCATGTGTCAAGAGGTTAGGAATGGAGATAGTTAAGACAAGACATTGTAGTCTACTAACCTCTAAGGTCCTTTTTGTTCTACTCTATGATTCTTTGAAAGCTTTTAAAGCTTTAACTCCATTTAAAATCAAAACTTTACAACTTTATGCAAGACCCTCCCTCCTCTATGGGCTGGCCTTCCTCAGTGCATCAGTTGCCACTTCCTCTCATTCCCAATGATAATGAATTCCCAATTCCCAATGATAATGAATTACTTAAAACTCTCTGACAGTACCAGGCTTTTCACCTGTACAATATCTTTGTACATGCTATTCCCTCACTTAAAACATTCTCCTTATCACTCCTAGTCATCTGTTGAGATCCGGATTATGTGTCAGTGACTATAACATGGGAAAGGCTGACTTAGGGCGTCCTCTTCTGCAACTCTATCACAGTGTTCACTCTTAAAATTTTATTTTTTTTTTAGAGACAGGGTTTCGATATATTGCTAAGGCTGGTCTTGAACTCTGGGCTCAAGCAATTCTCCCACCTCAGCCTCCCAAGTAGCTGGTACTACAGGTGCACGCCATTGTGCCTCACAGTATCCACTTAATAAATTATAGTGTCCTTATCTGTTTTATGGCTATCTCCACCACTAGGGGAACTTCTTCAAAGGCAGCAACATTGCCTTTCCTTTTACTCCTTTTTTTCCAGCACCTAGCACATACATAGATACAGAGAATCCCTCTGAGGTCAATGAGAACGCTCAGTGCTTGTCATGGAATCATTGTTGATGCCCCACCAAAACACTGGGCACATGACACAGGTCAAATCCTAGAGGCAGCATTAAAAGTTTCAGCTTGCCAGGTACCTGGCCAGAATGGCAAAGACAGAGAAACTCTAACATCTCCAGTCTTACAAACTGTCAGAACCAAAGTATCCAAGCTAGCCAAAGAATACTGTCTGGGGAACCTTTGTTTTATGAAAGGAGGACAGAAATAGATCACTAATTAGAAAATATTTCCCCAGAGGAAAGAGATTATCTTCTTAATTGGGGTAAATACTGCCACATTTATATAGGCTGAATGCATAGCACTGGAGAAAATGCACTATGAGAAAGAACAGTTACAAAATTGATGGGTTAGAAGGGACTTCTAGTTTGACAGCATGAGAAGCTCCACAGACCCACTCTCCAGTAAAACTAGTGAAACTTATTTTTCAAAAGCAACCATTTAAAGTTTCTGGAAATGGTCTTAAAGGCACACAGCCAATGAAGAAACATATGCTCAAGAAAATCTAAGAACAGCGAGAGTCCACAATATTTAAACCAAGACCTGTTCTCCACCTTGCCTCTCCCAACTCAATGACACAGAAACTCCACTGCACACTGATGCAGCTAAACACAGACCTTCTCTCTCAAGCTCCCTGTTAAAGGGTTAGCTGCCTGGAATGTCCTGAGCAGGATATTAGCATTTCTGATCCTTCCCCCAGCTACCTGTTACTGAGGCTAAGTTCTAAGTGAGTGCAGCTAAAAGGTGGGCCTCTTTTGTCCCGTTTAAACCCCACTCATAGGACGAGAGCTTTACCTTGGATGCAGTGCCACTAAGAATACTGGAGCCACAACTGGCATTGCCCTGGCTCATAAGATGGTGATTACACTCTGGGAGAAGAAAACCAAAAAGACCTGAGGCTACTGCCACCCCTCCACCAAGTCCTCAGCTCCTAAAGTGGTGGTGTCACTCAGAAGCATGTCATTGTCCCCCACCCTAGCTCCAGAACCGTGACTCAAAGATTTTGCCTGGCCGAGGAAGCAGGCTATAAAACAAAGAGATCTGAATCTCTTCCCAGGGGAAATGACCTCATCTGTGACAGAGTGTAGAGAATTTCAAGACTAAGGGTAGGGTACTCTCAAAAGAGTAGAAGTTGTGGTGAAAGGAAAAGATTAGCAGATTCATTGGAGATATAGGCTAAACTGTAGACTAGAGAATTTGCTGGAGATAACTAGGGAAAGAGACAGCTGGGAGGAGTCTCTCAGGGTAAGAACAAATTTCACCAGCCTGGGCAACATAGGGAGACCCCATCTTCACAAAAAATTTAAAAATTAGCCAGGCCACCTGCACATCCTGCACATATATCCCAGAACTTAAAAAAAAAAAAAAAAAAGAAGCCAGGTGTAGTAGCACACACCTGTGGTCCCAATTACTCAGGAGGCTGAGGTAGGAGGATCACTGGAGTCCAGGAGGTTGAGGCTGCAGTGGGCCATGATCACGCCACTGCACTCTAGCCTGGGTGAAACAGTGGGACTCTATCTCCAAAAACAAACCAAAAAAGAACAAATCTCAAACACTGACCTCAGGAACTATCCCTTCAAAGGAACCCTAATATAGTTGGATTAGTCTGGGAAGCAATTTATGCCTCAGGGCATTGCTGAAAAGAGCAGAGCAACCAGATGGCAATTAGTGAACCTAAAAAGCTGGGTGTGGCCAGGGAAAGAGACAGTCAAAGTTCTGCCCAAACCATTATCATCCAAATATGACTGTGGGCATACCAAAGTCCTCTGAGGAGCAACATCAGAGGATTCACACTGTGGGAGGAGGGGGATCAACCACTTAAACAATCTAGCCAGTCATTAAATAAATAAACAAGCAAATAATAATAAGCCCCAGAGGAATCAGACAAGTACCCAAAGTTGCTACAATATATTATCAAAAATGTTCAGCTTCAAACAAACAAACAAACAAAAAACAAAGAAACACGAAAGTGTGACCCATATACCAGAAAAAAAGTAGGCAACAGAAACTCTCAGTAAGAGGGACCAGATGTCAGATTTAACAGAAAAAGACTACAAATTAGCCATTATAAATATGTCCAAAGATTAAAAAAAAAAAAATCATGATTTTTAAAGAGGTAAAGGAATGCATGATGTCAATGATGCATCAAATAAAGAATGTCAATAAAGAGACAAATTATTGTTTTAAAAAAAGAACCAAATGGATGTTCTGGAGTTGAAAAGTACAATAACTGAAGTGGAAAATTAGGACAGGGGCTAAATAGTAGATCTGAACTGGCAGCAGGAAGAATTAGCAAACTTCAAGAGAGACTGATAGAGATTATACAATCCTAAAAACATAGAGAAAAAGGAATGAAGAAAAATGAACAGAGCCTCAGAGAAATGTAGAACACCATTAATCACACCAATATATGAATACCAGAAGGGGAAGATAAAGAAAAAGGAGCAGAAAGACTCACACCTGTGAGAGGCCAAAGTGGGTGGATTGCTTGGGGCCAGGAGTTAAAGACCAGCCTGGACAACATGGCGAAACCACATCTCTACTAAAAATACAAAAATTAGCCGGGTGTGGTGGTGTACGCCTGCGATCCCAGCTACTTGGGGAGGCTGAGACATGAGAATCGCTTGAACCCAGGAGTCAGATTGGAGTGAGCTGAGATTGTGCCACTGTACTCCAGCCTGGGTGACAGAGTGAGACTATGTCTCAAAAAAAAAAAAAAAGAAAGAAAAAGGAGAAGGAAAAATATTCAAAGAAATAATGGCTGAAAAACCTCCCAAGTTTTGAAAAACATTAATCTACCCATAAAGAAAATCTAATAAACTCCAAATAGGATAAATGCAAAGAGATCCACAAATAGACACATTAAGTAAAACGCTAAAAGTCAAAGGCAATGAGAAAGTTTGAAAGCAGCAAGAGAAAAATGACTCATCACACACATGTGAACCCAGTAAGATTAACAGTTAACTTCTCACCAAAAATAATGGATGCCAGAAGACAATGGGATAACATGATCAAAGGGCTCACTGAAGTGAGAGGATGTCAACCAAGAATTGTACATCCGGCAAAACTCTTGTGAAAATAAAGACATTTCCAGATAAACAAACACTGAGAAAATTCATTGCTAACTGACACACCTTACAAAAAAATACTAAAGGAAGCTCTTTAAGTGACCCCCCCAGATAGTACTTTGAATCCATACAAAAAAGTACCAACAGTGAGCCAGGTACTGTTCTAGGTACTGGAGACATAGCAGTGAACAAAACAGATCCCTTTCCCTTATGAACTTTATATTCTAGGCAATAAATAATAAAACAATAAGTGATTAAATAATAAAATCCAGATGATGATAAGTTCTTAAAAATTATTTTAAAAAGTGATTCATAATGAAGATCTGGGTGCCAGGAATGGAGTAGAGGTGCAGATTTCATTATTAAATAGGGTGGTCTGGGAAAGGTCTCTTTGATAACATGAAGTATGACAAATGACAAAGAATATTTTTGGGGTTTTTGTTTCGTTTTTTGTTTTTTTGAGACAGAGTCTCCCTCTGTCGCCCAGGCTGGAGTGCAGTGGCACAATCTCTGCTCACCACAACCTCCACCTCCTGGGTTCAAGCATTTCTCCTGCCTGAGCCTCTCGAGTAGCTGAGATTACAGGCATATGCCACCACGCCCGGCTAATTTTGTATTTTTAGTAGAGACAGGGTTTTACTATGTTGGCCAGGCTGGTCTCAAACTCCTGACCTCAAGTGATCTGCCCACCTTGGCCTCCCAAAGTTCTGGGATTACAGGCTTGAGCCATCACGCCCAGCCACAAAGTATATTTTATATGGAAATATGAGGGCATAAACTAAATACCTAAGGAAACAATAGTCCAGGCAGCGGCAAAAGCTAGAACCAAGGCCCTAAAGCAGGAATATAAAAGAGTATGAAGGAACACCAAAGAGTGTGGCTACAGTGAGTGACAAGGGGAATATAAGTCAGAGAGGAGATCAGAATAAGTGGGGACCAGATCACAGAGGGCCTTGCTAACTTTTGTGGAGACTGTGGCTTTCACACCAAACAAAAAAATGAAGTTTTGAGGAGAGTGAAATGATCTGGTTTACATTTTTTTTTTTTTTTCAAAAAAGCTCTCTAGCTGCTACATTGAGAATAAATGTAGACATGATTATCTGCTAGGAGACTATTGAGACTTGGTGCCTGCAGTGGAATGATAGTGAGAAATGATTCTATTTTGGATATGTTTTAAAAGGAGAACCCACAGGATTTACCAATAGATGTGGAGTTGAGGAAAAATTATGAATTATTTAGAATATTTTTTGCCCAGGCAATTGAAACAATGGACTTGCCTTCAACTGAGATGAGGAAGGTAGTATATATAGCAGGTTTTGGATGAGATGATATTTAGAATCCATCTAGTGCACATTAAGCTTCAGATGCCTTTAAAACTCTTAGAAGAAAACACAGGGGTAAGTCATCACGACCTTGGATTTGACAATGGTTTCTCAGACATGACCTCAAAAGTATGAGCAGAAACAACAGCAAAAAAATAAATAAACTGGACTTCATCAAAATTTAAAACTTCTGTGCTTCAAAGGATACAACCAAGAAAGTGAAAAAGCAACCCACAGAATGGGAGAAAATATTTTCAAATCACGTATCTCATAAGGGATTTGTACCTAAAATATATAAAGAACTTTAACAACTCAATACCAAAAAGACAACCCAATTTAAAAATAAGTAAAGGTTTTTTATTTTATTTAAATTTTTTTTTGAGACAGAGTCTCACTCTGTCACCCAGGCTAAAGTGCAGTGGCCCAATCTCGGCTCACTACAACCTCTGCCTACTGGGTTCAAGCCATTCTCATGTCTCAGCCTTCTGAGTAGCTGGAATTATAGGCACACATCACCATGCCTAGCTAATTTTTGTGTTTTTTTTTTTGTAGAGACCAAGTTCTGCCACATTGCCCTGGCTGGTCTCGAACTCCTGGCTTCAGGCAATCCACCCGCCACCCAAAGCGCTGGGATTACAGGCATGAGCCACCATACCAGGACGCAAAGTTATTATTAAAAACTAAAAAAAAAAAAAAAAAAAAAACAAAAAAACAGATGTTGGCAAGGCTGCAGAGAAAAGAAAACACTTATACACAGTTGATGGGAATGCAAATTAGTCCAGCCACTGTGGAAAGCAGTTTGGAGATTTTTTTTTTTTTTCTTTTTTTTTTTTTTTTTTTTTTGAGATGGAGTTTCACTCTTGTTGCCCAGGCTGGAGTGCAATGGCACGATCTCGGCTCACCGCAACCTCCGCCTCCCAGGTTCACACGATTCTCCTGCCTCAGCCTTCCAAGTAGCTGGGATTACAGGCATGCGCCACCATGACCGGCTAATTTTTTTGTATTTTTAGTAGAGATGGGGTTTCTCCATGTTGGTCAGGCTGGTCTTGAACCCCGACCTCAGGTGATCCACCCGCCTCAGCCTCCCAAAGTGCTGGTATTACAGGCGTGAGCCACCGCGCCCGGCCACAGCAGTTTGGAGATTTCTAAGAGTACTAAAAATAGAACTACCATTCGATCCAGCAATTCCATTACTGTATACATACCCAAAGGAAAATAAATTATTCTACTAAAAAGACATGTGCACTCATATGTTCACTGCAGCACTATTCACAATAGCAAAGGCATGAAATCAACCTAGATGCCATTAATTAATGTGATACAGGCCAGGCACGGTGATTCACGCCTGTAATACCAGCACTTTGGGAGGCCAAGGCGGGAGGAGAGCTTGAGCCCAGGAGTTCAAGACCAGCCCAGGCAACATGGCAAAACCCCGTATCTACAAAACAATACAAAGAAATTAGCCAGGCAGTGGTGCATGCCTGTAGTTCCAGCTACTCAGAAGCTGAGGTGGGAGGAATGCTTGAGCCCAGGAGATTGAGGCTGCAGTGAGCTGGAATCATGCCACTGCACTCCAGTTTGGGTGACAGAGAAAGACCCTGACTCAAAAAAAAAAAAAAAAAAAGAAAGGAAAGAAAATGTGGTACATATTGACCATGAAAATATTTTGCAGCAACATGAATGCAGCTGGATGCCATTATCCTAAGTGAATTAATGCAGACACAGAAAACCAGATATTGCATGTTCTCACTTGTAAGTGGGAGCTAAATCTTGGGTACACACAAACACAAAGATGTGAACAATAGATACTGGGATCTCCAAAAGGAGTGGGGATAGGGAGAAGGACTGAAAAAATTCCCATTGGATGCTACGGTCACTATCTGCATAAGAAAATCAATAGAATCCCAAACCTCAGCATCACGCAATATACTCTTGTAACAAACCTGCACATGTACCCCGTGAATATAAAATGAAGATGGAAATTTTTTTAAATAATAAAAAATAAAATAAATGAGCAAAGGATCTGAGAAAATATTTCTCTAAAGAAGATATACAAATAACCATTAAGCACATGAAAAGATGTTCAATACCATTAGTCATCAGAGAAATGTAAATCAAAATCATAATGAGATATTGCTTTATACCAACTAGGATGACTGTAATCAAAAAGTCAGACAATAACAAGTGTTGATGAGCATGTGGAGAGAACAGATCCCTTATACACTGCTGGCAGGAATGTAAAAATGGTTTAGCCACTTGAACCATTTTTATATGGAAAATACTCTGGCAGTTCCTAAAACAGGTAAACACAGTTACCATATGACCCAGCAATTCTATTCATATGTATGTACCCAAGAGAAATAAAAGTATACATCCAAACAAAACATAAAACACACGTCCACACAAAAACTTATACATGTCTATAGCAGCAGTTTTCATTATAGCCAAAAAGTGAAACAAACCAGATGTCTATAAATTGATGAATGCTAAACAAAACTGGTATGTCCATGCAATAGAATATTATTTGCCCATGAAAAGAAATAAAGTACAGATATATATACATGAACATGTACAGGCAGTACTGATACAACATGAATGCACCTTGAAAACATGCTAAGTGAAAAAAGCTAGTTACAACAGACCACATATTATATGATTGAATTTACATGAAATGTCCGTAATAGGCAAAACTACAGAAAGAGAAAGTAGATTCGTGGTTGCTTAGGGCTGGGGGAAATGTGGAGAGAGAACAATAGCTAATGCGTATGTGGTTTCTTTTTGAGGTGACAAAAATGTTTTTAATTGACTGAGGTGATGGTTGCACATATCTGTGAATATACTAAAACCCATTGAATTGTATATAAATGGGTGAATTGCACGGTATGTGAATTCTTTCTCCAAAAAGCTGTTTTTTTAAAATTGATAGGTTAGACTAGAGGCCAGATAAACTTTTTCTGTAAAGAGTCAGACAGTAAATATTTTAGGCCTGGTGGTCCATATGGTCTCTGTCGCAACTACACAACTCTGCTGTTCTTGTGTAAAAGCAGCAATAGACAATATGTAAATGAACGAGAGTGGCTGTATGCCAATAAAACTTTACAGACACTGAAATTTCAATTTCATATAAATTTCACATCTTGAAATTCTTCTTTAGCTTTCCCCCTAAACTATTTTAAAATGTAAAAATCAGGGTTCTCCCACCGCCCCTTCTGGGGATCTCAGCAGCTCGGGCGGCGGGAGGAGCGGCAGCGACCAGGCAGCCCAGCTTCGCGAAGGCTCTCGGTGCGCCGCGGCTCACAGACATCCCGCACGCACCCTCCACGCCGCCAGGATGCCTAAGAGCAAGGTCAGCTCCGCGGAAGGGGCCGCCAAGGAAGAGCCCAAGAGGAGATCGGCGCGGTTGTCTGCTAAACCTGCTCCTGCAAAAGTGGAAGCGAAGCCGAAAAAGGCAGCAGCAAAGGATAAATCTTCAGACAAACAAGTGCAAACAAAAGGGAAAAGGGGAGCAAAGGGAAAACAGGCCGAAGTGGCTAACCAAGAAACTAAAGAACATTTACCTGCAGTAAACAGGGAAAAGAAAACTGAGGAGAGTCCAGCCTCTGATGAGGCAGGAGAGAAGGAAGCCAAGTCTGAATAATACCACACATCATACATTATCAGTGGTCCCTGTCTCCCTTCTTGTACAATCCAGAGGAATATTTTTATCAACTATTTTGTAAATGCAAGTTTTTTAGTAGCTCTAGAAACATTTTTAAGAAGGAGGGAATCCCACCTCATCCCATCTTTTAAGTGTAAATGCTTTATTTAAGAGGTGAAATCATTCGCTGGTTGTTTATTTTTTGGTACAACCAGAAAACAGTGTGGGTTATTGAATTATGGGAGGTTTTGACTGTCTTTGCTGTCAGCTTAACACTCCATAGATGGGGGTTAGTTTTTATATCCTATAATACAATGCATATTAAATGACAATATGGAGTCAGCAGCCCTGCATTTAATGTCTTGAACATTTTAAATTACTTCTATTCCCATGTTATTTTTTAGTAGAATTGTTTCCTAAAGAAAACCAGTCCTTGATCATGGCTCTCCCTGTCAGAATTGTGTGTACTCTGTAACATCTTTGGTTGTGGTAGTCCTGTTTTCCTAATCACTTGGTTACTGTGCTGTGAAAGATTAAAAATTTGAATATGTAGTATACATGCTATTCAGTTGTGAATTGGTGGGACATATGTAACAGCTTATCAACATGTGAACATACCGGTACTTGATAGCCTCTTAAGGACAATTTGCTTCCAAATTTTAAGCTGGAAAGTCACTGGAATAACTTTAAAAAAAAAGAATTACAATACATGGCTTTTTAGATTTTCGGTACGTATGTTAAGAATTGTGTACAAATTGAAATGTTTGTACTGATCCTCAACCAATAAAATCTCAATTATGAAAGAAAAAAATGTAAAAATCATTTTTAGTTTGCAGGCTACACGAAAAAAACAGTTTGCTGATCCCTGGACTAGATATAATAAATCCACCCTCTGCTCTGGCTTCAGGTGCTGAGGAAATCTCTCTCCCTGACAATCCCCATGAACAAACGGCAACTTCGATTCACTGCTCAGTTTTCCCTCATGCTACCATCCCTATACATGGCTTTCAAACACCCTGAGAGGATCACAAACCCAGCCAAACACTCAACAGCAGGAAAACCTCTAGGACTCCATTTCCAAAATAGAACACCCACTTCAATAGACTTGGCAAAAAGAATTAGAGCTCATCACGTGTTCCTTATAAATGACACTCACCTTTGGGCAGTGGTATGGGAAGAGGCTTAGGGACAAAGAATATAAGAGAGTAAAACAAACTCATGCCTCTCCCAAGAAGCTCCTGGCATCTAATCAACTCTAAGAGGGGGGATTTAGGCTTATGCATCAATGAGCAATACAAAATATATATACACACTGTGTGTGTGTGTGTGTGTGTGTGTGTGTGTGTGTGTGTCCTTAAGGACAAAATATCCTATTAAGAGTATTGTACTACACAAGAGAAGGCAGAAGAATAGTGCAGGCATTGGGAGTTCCAGAAGGCTTTGTTAAGCACCATTTGTTCTTTCATTTGCCTAACCAATATTTACTGAGTAGTTACTATGTGACAGGTCTTGTGCTGAGATCCAAGGACACACAGATTAATCAGACATATTGAAAGCATCTAGGTGAGACAGATATATAGAAGAGAGTTGGTCCTCGAAGGAAAGAACCACTGTTCTATGCAGAGGAAAGTGTTACCACTCAATCCCAAAGACAGAGCCAAGCAACTTTCTCTCCAACTCCTCCATCCCCATACTGCCTGAGACTGCACAAAGTTTTCCACTCTTAACTGATCACGCAGCTTGGTCAACATCCAGAGAAATCACAAAGCTTATGAAGTGTCACAGAGGAAAAAGAATTTCACAGATAATGTCTTGAATCACATTTCTGCCACTTACCACTGTGTCACCTAGAGCCTGTAAAATGCAAACTACCTCACAGTTACAATGTGGAGAAAAGGAGATAATTTAAGGCACAGTCCCTTACAGTGCCTGTATGTAGAAGATGCTTCATATGTGTTTGACTATTCTGAACCTAGGTCCCCTTGACAAGGGGGCTCATACTATTTATACTGGTTTATCTGAGGAGAAACCTAGTGTCTGAGGATAAACAAGAATAAAGAATATGAGCCCCCTTGTCAAGGGACCCAGCAACTTCTAATCTTACCAGTGACTTCCCAGAGACTTCTAATCTTACCTCTGCCTCCTCAAGACACCAAGTGGCTAGATAAAAGAGGGCATGCCTCTCATCAAGCCAGTGCCAAACTGCTGAGGTGTATGCCTATGTGGATCTATACCTGAGAAGGCCTGATGCATGTTGGGTACTGACAAAAAATTAGAAGAAACTGGATAACACAACAACTATAGAAATTTGCACACAGCTCTATGGTTTACAAAGGATATTTTTCAAGCCTCACATCAGCCATTGAAGGTATATGTTACTGGTGTCCCTATCTCATAGATGAAATAACTATTCTCTAGATACTTCCCTACTTGATGTCTCCCAGAGTTGCCATATTTTTTGCCTCCTGCCTTTACTCGTTAAGTTCCCCTTTCCTGGAATGCTCTTCTTCCTTTCTTCATCTAGTAAACTCCTGCTCATCTTTAAAAACCAAGTTCCAACTTCACCTCCTCTGCAAAACCTGCTCCTGACATACCTTCAGTCAGAATTAGGGCCAGCTCTGTTTACTTCTAGCTTTTCAACTTTAGGATGAAATCCAAGTTCCTCAGTATGGCACACAAATCTGGCTACAGCCTGCCTTTCTAATCTTATTCCCAACCTCTCCCTCCCTGCCCCACTATTACATTTGCTCAAGTTAAAAGAACCACTGACCACAGATTCCCAAGGACATCATACTTGTTACTCCACATGATGTATCATGCTCAGCCCCCTCCCCATGTAAACCCCTATTCATCTCCAAAAATTCATCTCAGGCAATACCTTTTCTGGATAGTGTTTCCTATCATCCTCAGATGGATTAACTCTTTTCTGTACTTCCAGAGCATGCAGGGCTCATCTCTTGTTACAATATCTATGGGGATTGAATATGTATTTTTTTTTGCCTCAGTAATATGTGAGACCTTTCTAGGTAGTAAATTCATCTTA
The DNA here is from genome assembly GCF_000001405.40 of Homo sapiens. Lineage (NCBI taxonomy): Eukaryota > Metazoa > Chordata > Mammalia > Primates > Hominidae > Homo > Homo sapiens. Next base: position 3,986,113 of record NC_000011.10, on the reverse strand, counting down.
TTAGTCTTTAAATGAATATGCAAAGCATATCCAGCATCCAGCACATAGCACACACTAAATATGTTTGAAGAAAAAAGAGAGAAAGAAGGCAAGGAGCACATCAAAAAGTAAGAAAGATTTCAAAGGAGGTATTTATAAGTGAGGAGAAGAACACAAGAATGAATGAAAGGAAATGAAAGGAAACTCACTGAACTTAAGTGAATCAGACAATTCTTCTTAATGCTATGAAGTACAAGTACACTGAATGTGAGGCATATGCAGACACAGACATGCACAGAAGGACTTGAAAAAATACATATATAGTCAAACAAACACAAACACCAGTTAGGTCTGAAGGGAAGCAGGGCCTTGGGAGCCAGCTGCCAATTCCTCCTTAGACAGGAAGAGTCAGAAGTTTTTAATTTCTGAAGCATGGCTTTTCTCTCTCTGCTAGCTTGACCATTCCTGGCTGCTAGGTGATACCTGCATTCTGCCTACCACTCTGTGGGGCCCAGATTCTGCCTAGACTGACAGCATCTTTGGGCTGCTGATTACATTTCTGGCTCTGCTTTTACTTCCAGGTCCTGTGTCCTATACCTCAGGCCAAACCCTTTGTCCCTAACCTGCTCCTTGATCCTCAACCTCATTTATGGGCTTTCTTTCAGCCCCTACTTCCTTGGCTCAGTGTTCCTCTTCTCCCTCCACTTCTTGTCTTACACAGACACATCTAAATGCAGAAAGACACATACCCACACAAGCACAAAATGATGTATACACACATACAAAAAAAACACAAACACAAAGGCACATATAGACATATACACATATATAGACATCTATACAAACAAGTCTTACAAATATATCTCATCCCTGTCATCGACAGGATTACCATCCAGAAAAGACAAAGCAGACTCAATAACAAAGAGGGGGGAAGGAAAACAACAGCCTGCTTAGTGAGAAAGAATTTCCCTATCTGTCAAAGCAAGCCACCGTCGGGTTTTCCTGGAAACATGAGGGGTACCATCTGGGGGAGCTGCTGCCTCATCTTGTATCTGGCTAAGGTACTGGGACAGATTGCAAACTATGCCTACTCTCACTGATACGTAGCTCAGCTTGTCTGGGAACTGGTACCCTTGCCTGCGTGCTGGCTGACAATATGGCTTCTGCTACACCAGTACATATAAGATCACTGCATCCTGATTCCTCTGGAAACTCCCACAGGACCTATGCATACTACCATTACAGCCCTTAAAATGTGCTATTGTCACTGCCTGTTTACATAATTGTGTCTCTCACTAGCCTAGGGCTTGTTCATGGCAAAGAGTATCTTATTGTCATCATTACTTTATAGATGAGGAAAGTGAGTCTCCAAATCACTTGGCCATATATTTAGTACATTGCAAGGTTTGGATTTGAACCCAGGTTGGACTCCAAAGCTCATGCTTAGACTTTTAAAAAGTCAAAGTCCAAATAGTTTATTCTAAAGCTATTCTAATAAACTCACAAAAGTTAGGACTGAATGTATGAGCTGGGCCAAATAACTTGAACTCAATGGAAGTTGCGGCCTATAAACTGATGAGCCACTCCTGGTAGGTGAATTCTACAGCCACCCTATAAGTACTTACAAGGAAGAATGGGAACAGGACATTTCTTTAGCCTAAGGAGCAGGTTTCACTTGAAAAATTATGTCATTCATGGTGTCAGCTATCTCTGTTCTGTCCAAAGGGCCTGAGCAGACTTCAATCCATGCTTTGCCTGAATTAAGAGCAGGGGGTCAGAATGTTCCATGAAGTAGGAGACAAGATGATGACTGCACCAGGATACAGGCAGAGAACTAGAAAGAAAAAAGGCAGAGCAGTGCCTCCAAACTGAAGTCAAAGAAGAATTACTGTAGCAAAAAATATATATACCAGAAACCAATGCTGAAGTAAATTTGCATATAGTAAATTTTTTTAAGAAAGGAGAAAGAGGCTGGACACGGTTGCTCACACCTGTAGTCCCAGTACTTTAGGAGGCCAAGGCGGGCGGATCACTTGAGGTCAGGAGTTCGAGATCAGCCTGACCAACATATGAAACCCCGTCTCTACTCAAAATACAAAAATTAGCCGGGCATGCTGGCATATGCCTGTAATCCCAGCTACTCGCGAGGCTGAGGCAGGAGAATCGCTTGAATCCAGGAGGCGGAGGTTGCAGTGAGCCGAGACTGTGCCACTGTACTCCAGCCTGAGCAACAAGAGGAAACTCCATCTAAAAAAAAAAAAGAAAGGAGAAAGAGGAGGAGGAGGAGCAGAAAGAGAAAAAGCAGCAGCAGCAGTAGCTCCAGGCTGTCAAAGCTGTGTGCAGGGAATGCAAAGAAAAGTTATGTTCAGAATTGGGTCCAGGGACCAAAAGGAGAGCTCTGCTTCTCAGGTGCCGGTATGGCCTCTGGGAGTGATATAGCAGCCATGGGAATCAGAGAGAGGCCCTGAGCACAAGGTTAATCAAGGAAAAATAAAACTAGAGCCACTTGGCTGGCTGTCTTTGACAACTCCTCACATGTAATGTCACATAGTAGGGGTCAAGAAATTGATTCAGGCCCCTGGTATATGGGTAAGAGGGAATTGCCACCAGGGTTGTCCCACAGATTCTTTGACATCTTAACTTCCCCAGAAGCAGTACTAACTACAAAAAAGGAAAAGGAAGGAATAAAAAGAGGGAAAGAGGGAGAAATTCTCCAAAAGAGAATGCTCCAGGACTCTTCAGTCTGACATTCTCAAAAGTCATCTATACCTCCCCAGGAACTGAGGCAACCTCGCTGTCAGTTAGCTAACCACGGATCTGCTTCCAGCAACCATGGTACTTCAGACTTCAAAGCACCACTGCATCTCTATCAAAGTTGGAGGCAGGGGAAATGGAGATAGAGGCAGGGCATGGTGGCTTACACTTGTAATCCCAACACTTTGGGAGGCCAAGGCAGGCCGATTACTGGAAACCAGGAGTTGGAGACCAGCCTGGCCAACACAGAGAAACCCCTTCTCTACTAAAAACACAAAAACATTAGCCAGGCGTGGTGGTGCATGCCTGTAGCCCCAGCTACTCAGGAGGCTGAGGCATGAGAATCACTTGACCCTAGGAGATGGAGGCTGCAGTGAGCAGAGATCACGCCACTGCACTCCAGCCTGGGTGACAGAGCAAGACCCTGTCTCAAAAAAAATAAAAATTAAAAATGGAGATAGAAATCAACATGACTTTCAAAGTGCTTTTCTACAGGGCCCTAAGGATTGTTATGGGCTGGGCTACAGAAAGGCAAGCGAAAGGTGACCACCACTCCAACCAATGCGGTGACACTTTTTTAAAAAACATATTTATTGAGATTTAATTCACATACTAATTGTAGTATAAAACCCCATAGTTTTTAGTATATTCACAGAAGTATACAACTATCACCACAATCTAATTTTAGAACATTATCATCAGCCTGAGGCACATCTGAGTTACAATAACCTCAAAAATGGTTAACAATGAGCTAATTCAGTCTCTTTCCTTATGGGTTATACAGAAAAAAATTACTGTCTGTCTCAGAGATTTCTTGTAAGGATTATATGAGACAGCATATGCAAGAGTACACAGCACAAGCCTAGTACATCATAGCAATGGTAGTACGAGTTAAAGAAGTAGAAATACTGCTACTATAAACTAGACCATAGGCTGGGTACTTGATATACATGATTTCATTTCATCTTTGCCATAATCTTTCAAGGTAGGAATTACTGACTAATTTGACGGTAAGGAAATGAAAGTTCACAGAGTTTAAGAAAATTTTCCAGGCTGGGTGCGTTGGCTCATGTTTACGATCCCAGGATTTTGGGAGGCTGAGGTGGGCAGAGATTGCTTGAGCCCAGGAGTTTTGAGACCAGCCTGGGTAACATGGCGAAACCCCGTCTCTACAAAAAATACAAAAATTAACTGGGCATAGTGGCGTGCACCTGTAGTCCCAGCTACTCAGGAGGCTGTAGTTGGAAGATTGCTTGAGCCCAGGAGTTTGAGGCTGCAGTAAGCTATGAGCATGCCACTGCACTCCAGGCTGGGTGACAGAGCAAGACTCTATTTCAAAACAAAAAAGAAAGAAAAGAAAAGAAAAAAGAAACAAAAAGAAAAGAAAGAGACAGAGAGAGAGAGAAACTTTCCAAAGTCAAACAACTAATAATTGGCAAAAGTATACCTGAAACTATCTTTCTTGCTTTATAAGTACATACTTTTGCTCTACTACATAGCCTTTGGGCATTCTCAGTGTTTTCCTTTTTTTCTTCACTTGTGCTCCTATAGTATGTGTTATTCTTAAAGTCTTTCCTATCATTTTAAGTACAGTAATCTTACCTCCATCCAGATTCTGCACATGATTCATAACATAGGGCAGAAGGGTAGGGAAGAAGGTCACAGAGGAGGTCAGACGTATAGGTCATATACTAACATATCTAGAGCCCAGACTATAGCAACTCCAGAAAAACAACCCAACACTGACTTCAGCTTTTATCCTGACAGGGAACTCACAAGTCCAAAGCACTCTGTCCCCAGTACCATTGACCAGCCCACTCTGTACTCCTCCTTTGCACTAGAGAAACTATTTAAAGGGCATAAAACAATAAGATAGTATCTTTGTTTTCGAATTCAAAATTCAAAAATAACGTCAACTCAGCACCCTTAAGAGAAAGGTCCTGAACCAAACACAATGTTATGAGAAACAGCAATGAATAAAACCTAGTTCATGACCCCTAAAGGAACTCAAAATCTGGTAGGACAGTTAAGGATGGACCCAATTACAATACAGAACAGAGCAACATGACAAACATAAGGTTCATGCCAAGTACTCTCGAACATGAGAAAGGATTACTTCCCACTGTAGGAGAACAAACAAGATTTCTCGGATTGGCTGGGCGTGGTGGCTCACGCCTATAATCCCAGCGCTTTGGGAGCCCGAGGCAGATGGATCACAAGGTCAGGAGTTCAAGACCAGCTTGGCCAACATGATGAAAGAGAGCCTGAGGCAGAAGAATCATCGGAACCTGGGAGGCAGAGGTTGCAGTGAGCCGAGATCACACCACTGCACTCCAGCCTGGGCGACAGAACAAGACTCCGTCTCCAAAAAATATATATATATTTCTTGGATGAAGCAACATTTAATCTAGGCCAGTAGTTCTCAACAAGGGGCAGTTTGAAAATTGACAACTGACAATAGTAACTGGCAATATTTTTGGTTGTCAAACTGGAAGGGGGAAGGGGAAAGGTTTGCTACTGGCATCCAGTATGTAGAGGCTAGGAATGCTACTAAACATCCTACAATGTACAAGACAGCTCCCCACAACAAAGAACTATCTGGCCCAAAATATCAATAATGCTGAGGTTCCGAAACCCTGATCTAGGCCTTGGTGGACAAATGAAATTTCTTTTTCCTTTTGTTTCTATTTGTTTTTTTTTGTTGTTGTTGTTGTTGTTGTTTTGTTCCAGGCATTGCACTGAAATGTGTGGGTTTTTTTTTTTTTTTTTTAAAGAGATGGGGTCTTGTTATGTTGCCCAGCCTGGTCTAGAACTCCTGGCCTCAAGCGATCCTCCTGTCTCAACCAAGTAGCTGAGATTATAGGCATGAACCACCAAACCTGGCTTGATTTTTACAGGCAAAGTGGGAAGCAGAGAAATGCCAGGATAAGGATTTATCTGGAACAGGGGCACAGTGATAAGATATGAAGAGCATGTCTGGGGTGGCTATAGCATAGAGTAAGGAAATACAGTATAACATGAACTAGCAGCATGAGCTAAAGCCAAATGGTGGGAGCATTGAATGACAGAGCAGAGTTTAGATTAATTAAACAAGCAAAAGTAAGCCACTCATTTATAGTTTTATCATCTCTAAAATGGAGTTAATAACACCTAGTTCACAGAGTGGTTAAGGATTAAACAAAACTTTATATGTAATCAGCTTGGCTTGGCACATGGTAGAAGTAATCTGATGAGTTGTGCTTTAATAATGCCAGTATTAGTGCAGGAACACAAAGTTATAGACAAAACAATACAATCAAAATCATTAGGGCACAAAGCAAGGCAATTTCTAATTAAGTGCTAAATCGAGCGATAGAGACTATGTACTATGGGAGTTAGTATTGAGATGAGGAAGATCAGTAGGAATGGGAAAGTCAGGGAAGGTTCATATAAAATGAAGCTGGCACATTCTAGAGGACAACTAAGATTGATACAGACAGGGCTAGGGGTGCAGGGAGGGGCACAAGAGGTTAATTCCAGGTAAGGAGAACTACCTGAGCAAAGAAAGGGGACTGGAAATAAACATAAAATGTTTATAAGACAAAGAAGATTGGAGCCAGACCGAAGCGGTAGGAGGTATGTCCAGAGAATTAACAAAGGTAGCCAAGGTGCAGTGGCTCTCACCTGTAATCCCCGGCAACTTGGGAGGCTGAGGTGAGGGGTTGCTTGAGACCAGGAGTTCAATACCAGACTTGGCAACATAGCAAGACCCTGTCTCTACAAAAATAGTTAGCCTAGTGTGGTGGTGCACACCTGTAGTCCTACCTACTTGGGAGGCTGAGGTAGAAGGATCATTTGAGTCCAGGAGCTCAAGGCTACAGTGAGCCATAATTGTGCCACTGCACTCCAGCCTAGAGGACAGAGCAAGACCCTGACTCTTTTAAAAATATATTTCAATGAAAAACAAAGAAAAGAAAGGCTAAAATCGGATTTAAAGAGATGGAGTGGTAGGTACAGGAAGTTAAAGGAAACAGGAAAAGGAAATCATGCAGGAGACACAGAACCCAAATGTAGGTTAGGAAGATCACTGGCAGCATGTACAACATGGGCTTTCCGGGAGAAACTAGAGGCAGAACACTTAAGGGTTGTCTACAGCTATCTGAATATAAGAAAGTGAGGCCCAGAGCACAAAAGGGAATATAATTATTATTAATTATGGTAATAACATCTGCAAATAACCCAGCTACTTAATCTTCATCTAATTTGGCCCATATTAACCACAGCACTGGGCTTCCTACTCTCTCCCTATATACTACTACCTATAAAGTCCAAGTTCCTCCTGGCACTTTAGATATTGCAAGTGAACCTGCTGACTGCTCCCCTCAGAGTTTAGCTCCCTTAGCTCTGATTCTGTTTGGGGTGGCTATAGCATAGATTAAGGAAATACAGCATAACATGAACTAGTAGCATGAGCTAAAGCCAAATGGTGGGAGCGCTGAAGCCAAATGGTGGCATCGGGAACCTGATGCCAGCTTCCCGAACTCTCACAGCCTCCCAGGACCTAGCATTACTCTGGATGGGACAATGAAAAACATAGAAAACAAGTCTATTTCTACCCCCACTAAACTCTAAACAGGTCTCATGACATTTCTACTCTGTCACTCAGGCTGGAGTACAGTGGCACAATCCCGGCTCACTGCAACCTCCGCCTCCCTGGGGTTCAGGTGATTCTCATGCCTCAGCCTCCCAAGCAGCTGGGATTATAGGCACCTGATACCAACCCCAGCTAATTTGTGTATTTTTAGTAGAGACGGGGTTTCACCATGTTGGACAGGCTGGTCTCAAACTCCTGACCTCAGGTGATCCACCCGCCTCGGCCTCCCAAAATGCTGGGATTACAGGCATGAGCCACCGTGCCTGGCCCAAAAGCCAGACCTTTTTAAAAGTACACAGGCGCCGGGCGTGGTGGCTCACACCTGTAATCCCAGCACTTTGGGAGGCCGAGGCGGGCAGATCACCTGAGGTCAGAAGTTTGAAACCAGCCTGACCAACATGGAGAAACCCCGTCTCTACTAAAAATACAAAATTAGCCAGGCGTGGTGGTGCATGCCTGTAATCCCAGCTACTCAGGAGGCTGAGGCAGGAGAATCGCTTGAACCTGGGAGGCGGAGGTTGCGGTAAGCCGAGATAGTGCCATTGCACTCCAGCCTGGGCAACAAGAGCGAAACTCCGTCTCAAAAAAAAAAAAAAAAAGTACACAGGCATATGTAGGAGGCTGGGTGAGCTGCCAGAAAAGTTGTAGTCCCTATAAATGTGTGATCCTGCTTTATCATGCCCTCCCTCTTAATATCAACCACTTAAGCGAAAACAGAACTACCTCTGCCTCCTACAGTGTCCTGGCCCTAGTCAAGTTAGGCACACTGCTGGGAGTGGCTCCCATGGCTAAATGCTGTGGTGCCATGGGATGGTGATAGAGCTGATATGGAATTTTGCTATACAAGCCAGCCCTCACTATTGTACCCTCATGTTGAGGGAGAAAAAAACATGGCTTTAGCACCTATCACGTACCAGGCATTGTGCTAGGGGCTTTACATACATTAATGTCTCACAACATCCCTCTTCAAATAGCTTAAAAAAAAAATCAAGGCTCAGAAAGGTAAGGTTATTTGCCTAAAGTTGTATAGCCAGTAAGTGGCAAAGCCAAGTTTTGAATACAGGCTTGTTTGCATCAAAATATATGTTCTTTCTGATGATAACGTAAAAACTTTAATTGAGCCTCTTCTATGTGCCAGGCATTGTATTAAGTGCTTTACATGCATTATTCATTTAATATTTGCAACATCTTCATGAAAAGCCTACTACTATTATTACTCCAATTTCTAATGAAGAAACTGAGGTGGAAAGGGATTATGTAACTTCTCTAAGTTTCCACAGCTGGAAGAGGCAGAATGGAGTCTGTATGATTCCAGAGCATAAGCTCATAACCCTGTGTTATACTTCTATACCAGACACCACAGACACTAACAGAAGTCATAAGTAGATCTTGTAGCTTCCTGGATTCATACTGCTACCTACTCATCCTTATCCCCTAAAATGTGTGATCACACCCTTGCTAAGACTCCCATAGCAGAATGATAGCATTCTGCTATAGCAATATTGGTCAGTCATTCAACACAGTGATTAAGCACATATTCTATAACAGACTTTGTTGGGCACTGGGGAAAAGAGAGACAAACCAGATAAGAGCAGTTCTTTCCCTAAAGGGGCTCAAAATACATCAGACAAACATTAAAATACAGCTGTCAGGGGCCAGGCGTGGTGGCTCATGCCTGTAATCCCAGCACTTTCGGAGCTGGAGGCGGGCAGATCACCTGAGGTCAGAAGTTCAAGACCAGCATGACCAACATGGCGAAACCCCATCTCTACTAAAAATACAAAAATTAGCTGGGTGTGGCACTACGCGCCTGTAGTTCCAGCTACTAGGGAGGCTGATGCAGGAGAATCGCTTGAACCCAGGAGGTAGAGGTTGCAGTGAGCCAAGACTGTACCACTGCACTCCATTCTGGGTGACAGAGTGAGACTCCATCTCCAAAAAAAAACAACTGTCAGGCTAGGCGTGGTGGCTCACACATGTAATTCCAGAACTTTGGGAGGCTGAGGCAGGAGGATTTCTTGAGCCCAGGAGTTCAACACCAGCCTAAGCAACATAGTGAGACCCTATCTAAGAAAAATACAACTGTCAGATGCTAGTTGATTTCCTGGATATATAGAGGAAAAGAGAAAAGGGAAAGTAGCGAGTATTCACTGAGCTTGAATTACGTGTCAGGTACTATGCTGGGAACTTTAAAAAAATTAACATATGATGAAATTTAACTTTTTGGCGCATAGTTCCATGAGTTTTAATACATATTTATTAATAGATTCATGTAACTGCCCTTGCAATCTGGACACAGAACAGTTAGGCCATTACTCCCAAAAACTTCCTCCATGCTTTCCCCTTGTAGTCAAAACCTCCCCTACACTAATAACCCCTGATAACCACTGACCTAGTCTCCATCCCTATAGTTTTGCCTTTCTCAGAATGTCATATAAATAGAATCACATAGTATGTAATATTTTGAGACTGGTTTCTTTCCCTCGGATAATGCCTCTGAGATTCACATATGTTGTGTATATTAGTAGTTCATGCCTTTGTTTTGCTTTTTGTTTTTGCCTTTTGTTTTTGCTTTTCCCCACAGGTGTTCATCCAAAAAATTCATGCCTTTATATTGCTGAGTAGTTTTCCATAGTCTGTTTATCCGTTCATACATTGAAGGACATTTGGGTTATGTCCAGTTTTTGGCAATCACAAATAAAGATACTATAAACATTCATATACAGGTTCTACTGTGAATATAAAGTTTCATTTATTCATAGGGTAAATACCTAGAGGAAGAATTGCTGGGACATATATTTAACTTTGTAAGAAACTGTGAAACTTTTCCAGACTGGCGGTATCATCTTGCATTCCCATCAGCAAGAGTTCCAGTGGCTCTTCCTCCTCGTCCAGGACTTGATATTGTCCATTTTTTATTTTTAGCCATTCTAACAGGCATGTGGTGATACCTCATTATGGTTTTAATTTGCATTTCCCTAATGGTTAATAATATTGAGTATCTTTTCATAGCTTATTAGCCATCCATATATCTACTTTGAAGTCTCTGTTCAAATCTTTTCCCATTTTTTATTAAGTGGCTTATTTTCTTCTTCCTTCTTCCTTCTTCCTTCTTCTTCTTCTTTTTTTTGAGGCAGAGTCTCACTTTGTTGCCCAATCTGGAATGCAGTGGTGCGATCTCCACTCACTGCAACCTCCGCCTCCCGGCTTCAAGCGATTCTCCTGCCTCAGCCTTCCCAGTAACTGGGATTACAGGCACGTGTCACCACACCAGCTAATTTTTTTGTATTTTTAGTACAGAGAGGGTTTTGCCATGTTGGCCAAGCTGGTCTCAAACTCCTGACCTCAAGTGATCTGCCTGCCTCAGCCTCCCAAAGTGTTGGGATTACAGGCGTGAGCCACTACCACACCTGGCCTGGCTTATTTTCTATTGTCGAGTTTTGAGAATTCTTTGTGTTGGGAACTTTAAACAGCACTTTTCTCACTTAATCCTGACAACAACGCTGCAATGGTAGGAATCATTAACTACCACTTTACCCTGAGAAAACCAAAGGCAAAGTCACTAGACTACTATAATCTGATCACAGTTCTGCCTAATTTCAAAGTTTTCTTATCACTTAATCACCTGTGACATACAGATCACTAGAACGCAAGCTCCCTAAAAGCAGGGATCTTATCTGTTTTGTACACTGTGGAATCCCTAGCCTTCGAATAGTGCCTGGCTTTAATATGTATTAAATAAGAATTTGTTTAATGACTGAATAAATGCCCTGATTTGCCATGTAGGCTCCAGAAAAGAAAATAGCACTGCTCTCAAAAAGTCTGGTCCAGTCAAGGGGACAATGGTCTTAGGTAGGCCCTTGTCTGCCCAACTCATACTGTTAAGGACAACCTAACAGTACCATCCCACTGCAACAAATCTTTTGCCCATGGAGCAAACCCCACCAGAAGTTTGAACAGAACACAGGTCATGAATTCTCATACTGCCAGCCTGGTAGAACTCCCTGCCAGCTCTGCAAGAAGGGCACCATCACCAATAGAGCCATCTTGCACATCTGAAGGGCCCACAATACATAGCCTCTGCTATCCAGAAGAGAAGCAAGCAAAGATGGCACTTAACCAAACTAGCTGCCCCTACACAAATGATTATATATTTTTCTTTTCTTTTAAGAGACTCTTAAAAAGTCTCTTTTAGGGTCTCTGTGCCAATATCTGGCTTTTTTTTTTTTTTTTTGGTAGAGATAGAGTCTCCCTATGTTGTCCAGGCTGGTCTTGAACTCCTGGGCTCAAGCAATCCTCCTGCCTCAGCCTCCCAAGGTGCTCAGATTACAGCTGTGAGCCACCACAACTGGCCTGATTATATATTTTTCTATAACATGCCTACTGAGTCTCAGTTTGCCCTAAGTCTAATTTCACAGCAGAGTATATTCAGCAATTAGAAACGAGAATGGCTTTTTCTACCCATGGATGCCGCTGAAAACATCATTAAAGTCTCTCTTCCCACTGCTATCATGTCTAAGACAGAGTCTCTTAAGTAGTCCCAACAGCTGTAGAAGTTCTTCATCAGAGAGTTGAGCTTTGAAATGACCAGTGAGGGTCCAATGAGCCATTCTGAGCAACAGGGAGCACTCACAGACTGTGGTAATGAGAGATCCAAATACCAAGTGCTCCAGGGGCTTTGGGTTTGTCACATATGCCACTGTGGAGGAGGTGGATGCAGCCGTGAATGCAAGGCTACATAAGGTGGACAGAAGAGCTGTATCAAGAGAAGATTCTCAAAGACCACATGCCCACTTAACTATGAAAAGGATATTTGTTGGGGGCTTTAAAAAAGATACATTTTAAATTTAAAAAAATTTGTTTTAAATTAGCTGGGTATGGTGGCATGTGCCTATAGTCCCAGCTATTCAAGAGGCTGAGACAGGAAGATCGTTTGAGCCTGGGAGGTAAAGGCTACAGTGAGCCATGCGCACACCACTGAACTCCAGCCTGGCCGACAGTGTGAGACTTTGTCTCAAAATAAATAAACAAATATTTTTAAAAGAAATACTGGCTGGGTGCAGTGGCTCATGCCTGTAATTCTAGCACTTTGGGAGGCCGAGGCAGGGGATCACTTGCCCAGGAGTTCAAGACCAGCCTGGGCAGCATGGCAAGACCTCATCTCTACAAAAAATACAAAAATTAGCTAGGTGCAGTGGTGCGCGCCTGTAGTCCCAGCTACTCGGGAGGCTGAGATGGGAGGATCACTTGAGCCCCGGAGGTCCAAGCTGCAGTGAGCTGTGTTCACACCACTGCACTCCAGCCTGGGCAACAGAGCAAGACCTTGTCTCGAGAGAAAAAAAAAGAAATACCATACTGTGAATGGCCACAACTATGAAGTTAGGGATGCCCTGTCGAAGAAAGAGATGGCTAGTGTTTCATCTAGCCAAAGAGGTCGAAATGGTTCTGGAAACTCTGGTGATGGTCGTGGAGGTGGTTTTGGTGGGAATGACAACTTTGGTCATGGAGGAGAAACTTCAGTGGTTGTGGTGACTTTGGTAGCAGCCATGCTGGTGGTGATCTGGTAGCAACAGGGATGGCTATAATGGATTTGGTAACAACAGTGGTTATAGAGGGGCAGCCCTGGTTACGCTGAAGGAAGCAGAGGCTATGGAAGTGGAGGCAGGATTATGGAAATCAGGGCAGTGGCTACAGCAGGAGTGTCAGCTCTCACAGCTATAACAACGATGGAGGCAGAAGCAGCTTTGTTGGTGGCAGTGAAAGCAATTTTGGAGGTGGTGGAAGCTACAATAATTTTGGCAATTATAACAATCAGTCCTCAAATTTTGGATGCACGAAAGGAGGAAACTTTGGAGGCAGAAGCTCTGGATTCTATACTGGCCAAAACACAAAACCAAGGCAGCTATGGTGGTTCCAGTCAGTAGCTATGGCAGTGGCAGATTTTAATTACTGCCAGAAAAATACTTAGCAGAAGAGAGCCAGAGAAGTGACAAAGAAGCTACAGGTTACAACAGATTTGTGAACTCAGCCAAGCACAGTGGTGGCAGGGCCTAGCTGCTACAAAGAAGACATGTTTTAGACAATATTAATGTGTATAGGCAAAAAAAAAAGTAGGACTGTGTTTGTGACTAATTGTATAACAGGTTATTTTAGTTTCTTTTCTGTGGAAAATGTAAAGCATGCCAACAAAGAGTTTTAGTGTAGATAATTTTTTTTACTCATGCTGTTGATTGCTAAATGTAATAGTTTGATCGTGATGCTGAATAAATGTGTCTATAAAAAAAAGAAATGAAAATGAATCAAAGAAGAGATAAAACTATAAGAAGATAACTATAAGAGGCAATCATAAGAATGTATATAGGAATCTAGGTACTGGGGTAATAGTGCAAGAGGCCCTGAAGACATGCTTTGATTCATACAACGAAAAGTTAACACTCTAGTCACAATAATCTGTAGGAATAAAGACTTACTTCAGAAATGGCAAAAATTTTAAAAGATCTGTAACTGGGGTTACAGTCCAGTTATGCAGAAAAGTTACCAGTAGGAGGCTGAATACATGAGGCCTCAATAGAGCACCCCTTCAGACTTCTACTAAGGCTCTTGAGTAATCAGCAAGGCTTTTAAGATGACTTATAAAAATCTCAGGTCCTTCATCAGAACCCAAGGAAATGAAGCTGAAGCAGGAGAACAAGGGGAAAATTAACCAGCCTTCCAACTTTGTCTGCCTCATTCTAAAAGTTACATAGTAGACCATTTGTCATCCATGCTGTCCCACAAAGAGTTTTTGTTTATGATTTATGACAGGTTTATGCTACTTCTACTTGAATATCTATATTTCCCATGTGGTTTTTATGTTTAATATTAGGAGAGCAGGGCCGGTTAACATTTAGGGAGTTATCTGTTTCCATTTTGAGGTGGCCAATATGGAAATGTGGAATTTTTCTAAAGGTTATAAATGTTTGGCATAGTACTTTTGGTACATTGTGGCTTCACAAGGGCCAGTGTTAAAACTGCTTCATGTCTAAGCAAAGAAAACTGCCTACACATTGGTTTGTCCTGGCAGGGAGTAAAAGGGATCATTGGTTCCAGTCACAGGTGTAGTAACTGTGGGTACTTTAAGGTTTGGAGCACTTAAACGGCTGTGGTAGAAACAGATATCCCATGGATATCACGTTACATCTTTTTTGTTTTGTTTTGTTTTTTTGTTTTTTTTGTTTTTGAGACAGAGTCTTGCTCTGTCACCCAGGCTGGAGTGCAATGTTGCGATCTCGGCTCACTGCAAGCTCCGCCTCCCAGGCTCACGCCATTCTCCTGCCTCAGCCTCCAGAGTAGCTAGGACTACAGGCGCCCGCCACCACGCCCGGAGAATTTTTTGTATTTTTAGTAGAGACGGGGTTTCACCGTGTTAGCCAGGATGGTCTCAATCTCCTGACCTCGTGATCCACCCGCCTCGGCCTTCCAAAGTGCTGGGATTACAGGCGTGAGCCACCGTGCCCGGCCCTTTTTTTTTTTTTTTCATACTTGTTTATTTTTTTATAGAGACAAGGTCTCACTATGTTGACTAGGCTGGTCTTGAACTCCTGGCCTCAAGCAGTCCTCCTGCCTTGGCCTCCCAAAGTGCTGGGATTATAGGTGTCAGCCACCACACCTGGCCCACATGTTACATCTTGTATATCTATGGAATATTCAATCTCACTGTGCACACCTTTGACTACGGCTGCAGAAGTGTTCCTTTAGACAAAGTTGTGACCCATTTTACTCTGGATAAGGGCAGAAACAGTTCACATTCCATTATTTGTAAAGTTACCTGCTGTTGGCTTTCATTATTTTTGCTACACTCATTTTATTTGTATTTAAATGTTTTAGGCAACCTAAAAACAAATGTAAAAGTAAAGATGCAGTAAAAATGAATTGCTTGATATTCATTACTTCACGTATATCAAGCACAGCAGTAAAACAAAAAAAGAAAAACCCATGTATTTAACTTCTTTTTTTTTAGTTTTTTTGCTGTTGTGATTTTTTTTGATACTTGCCTAACATGCATGTGCTGTAAAAATAGTTAACAAGGAAATAACTTGAGATGATGGCTAGCTTTGTTTAATATCTTATGAAATTTTCATTAATAATCCAAGCATAATTGTTAAGAACACGTGTATTAAATTCATGTAAGTGGAATAAAAGTTTTATGAATGAAAAAAAAAAAACCCTTCAGGTCCTCAATGGCCAAAAGAACCAGGGTTTCTGGTACCCCACCATCCATTACACAACATTCTAAACCCTGAGATATCTACCCAACTTTCTAGTTAGATCCTGAACTCTAAGGCTATCTTATACATGTTTGAAGTGACTTAGGCACACACATTTTGGTACTTTCTCTCTCAGGAAGGTAGCTTGTGATTGATCATGCAAACCTAGACCAGCAGGCCTCTCTAACCATGTGAGGCCTGAGATTGCAGGGAGAGCAGTGGAAACCAAGGCAAGGCAAAAACTATACTGAAAAAGAACAGCTCACCACTGGCGCAGAGAAGAGCAGGGTAACAGTTTTTGTGTTATTTCGGAACAGTTTGTGCTGATGAGCTTTTTGTTGTGGTAACATTCCTCTAAAAAGAACATTTTATTCCTCCCCTCATTGACAAAGCAACTCAGCAGGATGTAACAAAAAAAAAAAAAAAAGGATGAGGAGCATATAACAAAGATATCCAAGAATTTATAGATCTTGGGTTACATCACCTTCTTCATCCATTCCCCAGTTTTCTGGCCAGGCCCTGGGACAGTGATCAGGATGCCACTAGGCCTCATTCACCCCCAGGAACATGGCTGTATTCTCAGGTTAGACAAATAAAATTTTGATCCTTTACAGGTCAGTGACACTTCTGGATGTAACCAAATTTCAGATACTTACATCATGGTCGTTGTCTTTGCTCAAGAACCTACAGTTGCCTGGTTCAACAAGTATACATATCTCAGCCTGGGCCCCACTTTCCTTTCCAACTTTTTGTTCTGTGGTTTTCTACCACAGTCCCTGTCTAACCAAACCAACCCACTATATTTCTTACTACCTCTACAGCTTTGCTCACACTGATTCTCCACTACTCAGTAAGCCCAACCCTTTCCATTCTATCCAAATTTTACTTTTTATACAGGAAGTCTATTTTTTCTCTTCCTTTAAATTCCTTAAACATTATCTGGTTCATCCTTACAGACAAATCCCCTCTGTTGACCAATCAGTGAATTTTGTGTTTTGTTTTGTGTTTTGTTTTGTTTTAGAGACAGGGTCTTGCTCTGTTGCCCAGGCTGGAGTGCAATGGCATGATCATAGTGCACCACAGCCTCGACCTCCTAGGTTCAAGTGATCCTCCAGCCTCAGCCTCAGAGTAGCTGAGACTACAGGTGTATGCCACCACACCCAGCCAATTTTTTTTTTTTGTAGAGACAGGGTCTCGCTGTGTTGTCCAGGCTAGTCTCAAATTCTTGGCCTCAAGCTATCCTCCTGCCTTGGCCTCCCGAAGTGCTGGGATTACAGGCATGAGCCACCACACCCAGATTCAGTGGAGTTCTGTATGCTACTTGCCCATCTTCAGTGATAGGGAGTTCACTGTCTACCAAGGAAGCCTCTTCTATGACAAGATAGCTCTCACTATTAGTCAATTCTTTATTCTAAAAGAAAATGCCTACTTTTTACTTTCCCCACTTTACTTTGGACCTGGTTCTGCTCTTAGAATAGGAGAAACAATACAGCAGTACTTAAGAGCATGGGCTTTGAAATCAGATCTGCACTGATATTCACTGTGTCCCTGAAGAAAATGCTTAACCTTTCTAAGGCTCCATACCCTAGTAATAATACCAACTTCATAAATCTGTTGAAGTTAAAAGAGTAACTATGCAAAAAGCTTAACACTGTGACTGGCATAAGGTAAGAGTTCAATCAATGAGAGCTAGTATCATGGTTTTCACTTTACTATCATCATTACTTAAGTCTGATTGATTTACTTCTTATGTATTTAAAGATAGAAATTATATTACCTGAGTCTCCTCTTCTCCAGGCTAAAGTCTCTTCACTAGACTTTAAGTTATATAAAGACAGACTGTATCTGTTTTATTTACAGTCCCATCTCCATGCCTAGCACAGTGCATGGTACATAGACGCTTAATAAACATAATTGTGTTGAATGCTCTTTGTTTCATACTTTCCAAACTCTTCATCACTCATGTCACTCCTCTCTGTATAGGCCCTCATTGTTCCTCACATTGGATCTGACAATGTGGGATCCAAAATTGAACTCAAAACTCAAAGGTAGGCTGGCAGGAAAGAGAGAATGGGGATATCTCCCCCATCGTGATATAACTACATCACTATTGAAGATTTGGCATAACTTGGTAGCTTCACCAAACTACTGGTATATGTTGAGCTTTAAATGAACAAACTTTTAAATCTTTTCACACATAATGACCTTATTCTCTGGGATCTGCTGAGCCACAGGTACAATAATGCCAAAAGATGAAACAACAATAGAGCTTTTTTCCATTTAGAGACTCCTTTAACTCTTACTATCTAGACCACTCAACTGGCTCCCAAAAACTTCAGCCTGGAATTCAGAATGATCTTTCTAAAACAATTTGTTTCTTCTTCCCATATAGAGTATAAACTCCCAGAGGGCAGGATCTGGGTGTCTTATCTTCTATCCCTCATGCCAACACAGGGCTGAGAACAGACTGATGCCCTCCATCTATAGCAGGATTGCAAGAAGGATGCAAGGAAACCATAGAGACCAGCCTCAGGGATCTCTCTCCCTCCCAAACAACACAGCTTAGTCAGTGTTACACAACTAGCCAGTAGGCAGGGGGCAGCCAGCCCAGGCACAGACACAAGCATAAAGCCTACACTCTGACAGGCTGACTCCTAGAGGGCTGCTCTTCTGGGAGCCATCTTCCCTGATAGGGATGAGTTCCTAAAGAACAAGCCAGCAGAGAACATCTCTCCCCAGGGAAGAGGCTGTCTAAGTAGCTTTCAAAGACTAATTCACACAGGAAGAAAAGAGAGACATAGCAGGATGGGAGAGCTCACCTCATCACTTTCTTCCACATCCACATCACCATTGGCATCATCGTCCATCAGTTTGTGGATGTTACGGACTGCCTCGAAGCTGAGTTTCTCATCCTCACTGTGACACAGGGGCTTGTCAATTCGGCAAAACTCTGTGTAAGAAAAGCAAGAGACAAAATTACTCAGAGCTGCCACCCAGAACCTATCACCCACCTGTGTCAGCATCCTTAGCTTCTAGCATCTGACTCCTCATGTAGGCACTTAACTGGCTACTTGTACAGTGACAGAGGTGTTTCATCTAGACTGTAACTGTCTCCCCAAGAAAATGCTGAGCTCCCCCACAAGGACAATGCTTTATCACCCTAATAGTTTCTTGGCAGGGAAGTCTTGCATAGGACTGGGAGTATACTGGGATCTAGACAAGAATGTGAATCAGTAACTCACAAATGAGAGAAAACATAAATAGCCAATGAACACAGGAAAAAATTTGGCCTCATTAGTAATCAAAGAAATACATATTCAATTGAGCTATTATTTTTAATCAGCCAAATACACAAATGTAAATCAACATAATCTTTCTGGAAACAGAACAACAGCCAATTAGTCCCAGTGCCCAAATGATGTGTAATTTTCCTTTTTGTTCATTTTGTCAGTGCTGATACATATAAGGTCAGCCATTGACTGGGGAAACCTCTCACATCTCATGCCTTCTCATAGACAGTTATATCAGGCAAATATTTTTTAGATATCTGAAGGTCCCGAGCTCATCTGATACAACACCTTAGGTGGTCTGGGATACAGTTTCTTCTGCCTACCATTACATGTCCATGTAGCAGTAAAACCAGCACAAGAGCCTAGGCCACCTTAGCTCTTTCTGTGACACCTAGTCCTCTCTTACAAGCCTGGAAAACACCTAGTCTGAATGATGCACACAATAGGAAGAGCCTGAAATCTAGGCTTAGCTCTACCATATGATCTAGGGAGGTCATTTCTCTTCTCCAGGCCTCAAGGTCACTATTTGAAAAAGGTATTTTGACTGAAGTTTCTAGTATTTCTTCCAATTCCTAGATGCTAAAATTCCTCTTTCCTTTTGACCTGGATCTCGACAACTACTTCCTTGGCAAAATACTCTTCAGATGACCCTCAAAGAAGATAGATCTTAACTTCCTAGGCAATAGAAGAAGCTGTCACAGGACAGAAAGTAAGGACAGGGTGAAGAGGCTGTGGTTGTGACGCCTTTTAGAAGGCACTAATCAAAGACCTAAAATACCCTAATCCATTTAATCATCTACTTGTCTGACAGCCAAAGACAGTGATAAGACTAGACAGGTCACCTCTCTACCTCTTGCTAGTTATTCAAATCCTTTTCAAAATAAGGGAGGAGTATAAATATTAAATTTTAAAGTGTTCCAGATGTGATTCAATAGAAGTATGTTGAACATTGAAGCTCACCAATGTTAAGTGATGTGCCAAAGTCAAAGGCAGCTAAAGAGCCACAGTGAGAGCCCAAGTCTGCTGACTCCCAGGCCAGCACTTCAAAATTCCATTTTCACCACTGCCTTTTTGCTAGGGTGACCAGATAGCTGGCCTTGTGTTGCTTTCATCTTTTAGAAGCCACAGGTGATAATATGGGCAAGAAGAACATTGAAGAAATGGGGTTTTTTTTGGTTTTTTGTTTGTTTGTTTGTTTGTTTTTTGAGACAGAGTCTCACCCTGTTGCCCAGGTTTGAGTGCAGTGGCATGATCTCTGCTCACTGCAACCTTCGTTCCCTGGGCTCAAGCAATTCTCCTGCCTCAGCCTTCCGAGTAGCTGGGATTACAGGCATGCGCCACCACGCCCGGCTAATTTTTTGTATTTTTAGTAGAGACGGGGTTTCAGCATGTTGGCCAGGCCAGTCTCGAAGTCCTGACCTCAAGTGATCCGCCCACCTCGGCCTCCCGAAGTGCTGGGATTACAGGCATGGGCCACCACGCCCAGCCTGCAATGGTTTGATAAAAGAAAAAAGTATGATAAACAGTATGCATACAAAAAGAAATATCTCTGCATAAACTTATTTCTCTCTACATTTGTTCTGCTAAATTGGGGAGTGGGATGAAGGGGTAGTGGGAACTTAGGGAGAGAGCAGAATACACCCAAAGATTAAGGCATTGTTTCTCTACTACCTCACCAACAAAAACATATATAATTGCATATTAGAGCTTTTTGATCAGCCCATGATATGCCCATTTAAACATTTATTGAATGTTCTTCATATATCAGGCCCTGTGATCAGCATGGGGCATAAAAACATGAATCATATCTCATTTTTCTCTCAGAAGGCTAATTACAAAAGTGGGAGAGACAAGCAATTAAAACACTATGTGCTAAGTGCCATGATAGAAAGGATCATAATTAAGTATCAGCAAATTTTTCTGTAAATGGCCAGATAGTAAACAACTTAGGATTTGTCAGCCATATAGTCTCTGTTGCACAACTTAACTCTGCCATTGTAGCACAAAAGCATCCGTAGACAAAATATAAGTGAATGAACTTGAATGTGTTCTAATAAAACTTTATTTATAAAAGCAGGCAGTAAACTGGATTTGGCCCACAGGCCATAGTTTGTTGAACCCTGTTCTAGAATATCATAGGTAGCATACCTAAATCATATTGGATTGACCTAAAAGAAAGAAATCCAAGGCTGGCTGTGGTGGCTCACACCTGTGATCCCAGCACTTTGGGAGGCTGAAGTGGGAGTTCCCTTGAGCCCCAGAGTTAAAAGACTAGCCTGGGCAACATGGTGAAACCCTGTCTTTACAAAAATTTAAAAAATTAGCCAGGCATGATGGCACACACCTGTGGTCCCAGCTACTCAGGAGGCTGAGGTAGGAGGATCGCTTGAGGCCACGAGGCTGAGGCTGCAGTGATCCATGTTTGTGCCACTGAACTCCAGCCTGGGCAACAGAGCGAGACCCTGCCTCAAAAAAAAAAAAAAAGAATTAAAGAAAGATAGAAATCCAATCTTTTCATTAGCCTGTATCCACACATATCCTAGGTAAAGCAAAACTTCTAATAGGCTTTTTAAAATAATGGAAATAGTTTACCAAGCTCTAGGGTTTGGGGCCTCCAGGCTGCACCACTGGCCTGAGGTCAATTAACCAGCACCTTTCCCAAAAACCTACAAGATCCAAGAAGTTTGGGCTTCAAATACCCAGTCTCTGGTTTGTAACCTAATCAGACAGACAGGTGACCTTTGCTGCTAGCATCAGATGACATAGAGAAGGATTAAAGGGATTGAGGGTTAGGGAGTACAAAAGCTTGATTCTCCTATGGCCGTTGAATCCTGTACAGAAAAACCATGTCAGCCAAAACTCACAAATAATTCCTTCAACCAAGCATGTCCTAAGCAGTCTCTCTGTTCTTCCTGAGACCTTTCCTACCTTCTCTTACGCATTCCAATCTGGCAAGGTTTCCCACAACCATCTGGAAATACCTTCAAAGAGCCATGCATTTAGCAACACATAACTACAGTGAAAAAGCCTGGACTTAGAGTCAGAACACTATCAAAATCCCATCTTCACCAATTACAAACCATAAGATATTGGACAAGTTAATTTATTTGAGCCTCCAATTTCTCATTTGCAAAATAAGGATAATAATCTGCTGCACAGACTTTTTAAAAATAAAATCACATTTGTTAAAACATCCAGCATAGGGCCTGGTGTAGGCTGACATTTAATACATTTGAAGTATCCTTCTTTACCCCCAGAGCAGCAAGTAAACAGTTCCCATCTTCTTTTAACTTCGGCCACTTTCCCTGTCTGACTATGAAGAATCAAATATAGGAGGTATAATCCAATCAACCTGACCAGTCATATGTTCCAAGTGAGTGGGAAAGTGGCTCTTTGCAAGACTCTGACAGCAGCCTGTACTCCCACAACATTTATATGCTATCACTGGTAACATTCAACATACTGGGTTTAATGTGTCTTCCCCACCAGACTGTGATCTCCATAAGGGATTGGTACCATGTCCCCAACAGCAACAAAAAGCCAGGTTCTTGATAAGATGCTCAGTAAATGTTTTTTTAAAATGAATACCTAAATATTAACTCTACAACTATGTGTAGGATTTCTCTAGAGAAAAAAGAGAAGAGTTCTAGGCAAAGAAAATAGCATAGGCATATGTTTTTAAACTTTTTGGTCTCAGGACCCTTTTATATGCATAACATCTTTTAATTACAAAGAACTGTTTAATATTTACCATATTAGAAAGTAAAACAGATGCAGCCATAAAAAAAGAACGAGATCATGTCCTTTGCAGGGACATGAATGGAGATGGAGGTCATTATCCTTAGCAAAAGAACACAGGAACAGAAAACCAAATACCACATGTTCTCACTTCTAAGTAGGAGCTAAATGATGAGAACACATGGATACACAGAGGGAAACAACACACACTGGGGCCTTTCGGAGGGTGGAGGGTGGGAGGAGGAAGAGGATGAGGAAAAATAACTAATGGGTACTAGGATTAATACCTGGGTGATGAAATAATCTGTGCAACAAACCCCATGTCAGAAGCTTAGTTATGTAGCAAACCTATACTTGTATCCCTAAACTCAAAATAAAAGTTAAAATTTAATTACCTACATTGCGTTAATGAATATTTAGCAACATAAAACTTTTGCAAACTGCCTCAGTAAGATTTTTTCTAGATTGATAATATGTTTCATAAGGTATAGATCAGAGCATTTCAAATAAAATTTCCACAAAATTTTGAATTAAAAAAGGAAAGTAAAACACAAATTTTTATATTTAGTTATTAATTCATTTTATTTCTTCTTAATAATCAAAACAGATGAACACTAAATGAGTAACACTAAACTCACTGTAGAACAGATAAGCCAAAAGAACAAACAATTGCTAAAGTCTTTGTATACATACTCCCAGAGCAAGACTTTTCTAAAAAGTCAATAAACAACAGATGTTGGTGAGGATGCAGAGAAAAGGAAATACTCATACACTGTTAGGGGAATGCACCAGTACAACCTCTATGAAAAACAGTATGGAGATCTCCCAAAGGACCAAAATTAGGCAGCTAGCCAAAGGATAAGAAAGGATAAGAAATCATTATATAAAGAGATAGCCACCACTCATGTCTGTTGCGGCACTATTTACAATAGCAAGACATAGAATCAACTTTAGTGTCCATCAATGGATGACTGCATAAAGAAAATATTATTTTTATACACACACACACACACACACACACACACACAATACTACTCAGCCATAAAAGAAGAATGAAATCATGTCTTTTGCAGCAACGTGGATGGAACTGGAGGCCGCTATCTGAAGTGAAACAACTGAGAAACAGAAAATCAAACATCACATATTGCCACCTACAAGTAGAAGCCAAACAATGTGTATAGGGGGACATGGAGAGTCCCTGGAGGCAGTGGAGACTTCGAAAAGTTGCCAGGAGTGGGGGAGGACGGTAAGGGACAAGAAACTACCTTTTGGGTACAATGTACCCTATTTGGGTGATGGATACACTAGGTACACTAAAAGCCCAGGCTTCACCAATACACAATATACCCATGTAACAAAACTGCATTTGTACCCCCTAAATCTATAAAAATAAAATATAAGACACTTTTCTAAAAGAACTTTTACAGACACCTAGTTTAAGTAACCACAGTTTAGTTAACTAGGTAGTTTCAATTTACTCCTAATTATTACAATTCATGCTAACAGCAAAAATGTAGATGATACATAGAGTTAAAAGTGCATTTCCCCCACTAAATGTTAGGTCATGATACCAGTATGAAGGCTTCCAAAGGACAATTTTCTCCTATGCTTTATCCTAAATTCAACCTTTTTCTATCAGCTCCTTTGCTTAGAAATACAGGTATTTGGCCGGGCGCAGTGGCTCACGCCTGTAATCCCAGCATCTTAGGAGGCCGAGGCAGGCGGATCACAAGGTCAGGAGTTCAAGACCAGCATGACCAACATGGAGAAACCCCATCTCTACTAAAAAATACAAAAATTAGCCAGGTGTGGTGGGGCACACCTGTAATCCCAGCTACTCAGGAGACTGAGGCAGGATAATCGCTTGAACCCGGGAGGTGGAGGTTGCAGTGAGCGGAGATCGTGCCATTGCACTCCAGCCTGGGCAACAGAGCAAGACTCTGTCTCAAAAAAAAAATATATGTATATATATATATACTCATCACATTGTCCTTTGATATCCCATTTTGGAAATTCAATGCTTCTCATTTGGCCTTGCCTTTTAAATCTAGCATTCCTGAACACTCAATATTAATGTCCCCAGTTATAGCTTGTTTCTAAAGCCCATAGAGTTGTTTCAGTCCTTCCTCATCTGGTCTTGTTTTCAGCTTCCTCACATCTTCTGCAACACTGTCAAAATCAGCCTGCAGGGCCAGGTACAGTGGCTCACTACCTATAATCCCAGCACTTTGGGAGGCTGAGGCATTGCTTGAGCCCAGGAGTTCAAAATCTGTCTGGGCAACATAGTGAGACCCCATCTCTATAAAAGCCAAGCATGGTGGTGCATGCCTGTAGTCCCAGCTACTCAGAAGGCTGAAGTAGGAGGATCACTTGAGTGCAGGATGTTGAAGCTGCAATGAGCTGTGATTGCACCACTGCACTACAGCCTGGGCAACAGTGAGACCCTGTCTCCAAAAAAAAAAAATCACCTTTCAGGGACATGGTGATGACAGCCAGGCTGCTACTGCTCTCCAGGCTCTCTTTAATTTATTTTAGAACAATAACAAATCTCTTACATATTAATGTAAATAATATTTTTATGGAAAATAATTGTTTTCTGAAAAAATCTCGAGAAGGGTAGAATTGTACATTTTTGCAAATCTTTTAAATGTCTGGCTTAATAGAAGACAGACATAATCTTATAGCTACATTCAACCTATTGTGATGTGTTGTTTTGGCTAAAGATCAAAACATAGATATGCAGTTGGAAAAGACAGGAATATTTTACTAGTCAGACTATTGTGGATACCTTATACGAGACTATACCCAAACTCAACAAGCGGTAGGTTTCTTAAAGGTTAGTTGCAATGTGAAATCCCAAACTATATGAATAAACTTTTTGTACCCTCTAACATTAAAATCCATTGGTCTATCTTACACTTTGAATGGATCTTTAATACATGCATGACTTTGTAACATGATGCACTTGTCATTTGGAAACTATTGGTTAGGAGTTAGTGCAGAGCTTCCAAATGTTGACACTTTCATTTATACAATATCAAAATAGCCACAATTATTAATATCACCACTGATTTCATCAGAAAAGCTTTTAATCCAGGAAAACTGTCAATTTCACAGTGACAGATACAAGTTTTCTAAAATCCAGTTTTCACTTAAAAGCTGGAATTTTATCATTGGCAACAAATACTACCAGTTGTTTTCCTTAAAGCAGAAGATGCATTTCATTTATTTACAAGAAAATTCTGCCAAATACTGAATAACCATAGTTATCTATCAAGTATTCTTTCAACTAATGATAGTGCTGCCTGAAAAAAAAGAGGTATGTCAACTTACAACTCAATTGCACAAGTGCTTTCCTTGAGATAACCATCAAACTTCTACATGCAGCAGAAATGCTTTATGCATACTTATATTTCATCACACAGAATACTAAAAGGCATGAACTCATGGGATGCAATTCAATAAAATTAATGATTTCTACTTCTTTGTTGAAAACTTTTATTTTTTTTAACTGACAGTGTGTGGAGGTGAGGAATACAGTCATTACTAGTAGTTCAGTGCCACTGGTTTGATTTGTGTTAAGGTGCCAGCAGTTTTACCTACCACTGTTTTTGCAACATCAGTACAAAGGTATACATAGTTTTTTTTAAGGCAAATAATATATTATTATGAAACGGCTTTGATCTTCTGGATGTCCTGAAAAGGCCTTGCTGCCACCCGCCATGGTCTAAAGACTACACTTTGATAGCTATTGGCAGAAAAAAACACAAAGTCCTTTCCCTCCTGCCCAAATCTCCTCACCTTTCTCCAGGCAGAGCTAATCATTCACTGTTCACTGTTCTATGCTCCAAAGCACTTTGTGCATAGCTCTGTTATATTAATTCTCATGTTATGAGTTGTTCACATACCACATCCAAGTGGTAAGAACCAAGCTTGACTCACTCTATCCCCCAGGGCCCATTATAATATTACCACTACCATCTACCCTGTCAAGTATGAAATCAGTATGTGCTGGCTAAATGAATGAATGAATGAAGAATGTGTGAATTAATTAATTAAAAAACCATATCTCCCAAAAAGTCAAGGGAATTCTTGAATACAACCCACCAATTCCCACCACCAATATCCACTGTCCATCTAATGCTTCGACTTTCCCAACCACTTTCTGTTTCTCGTCACTAAACAGTAATTCATCCCTATAGGACGAATTGGAAATTGCCAAGTTTTACCAGCAGGGGCCCCATCAGTAAGAAGAATTTCTCCCACTTCACCTCTTATTTCTCAGCCAGGACTAGCAAATTCTGCAGCTACTCTTGATGGGATTAGAATCCACCCTCATTCTTGGAAAGGGATCAAAAGACTAAGACTTGAGAGTACTAGCCCTGGGAAGATTTTCAAATTTGGTCAAGGACCATGAAGTTCAAGAGATAAAATAGCATGGGGCCTAGAATGGGGATGAGGTGAGGGAGGAGTAAGGGATGGACGCTCTGGCCAGAAATGTAAAGTCTTTTTTTTTTTTTTTTAGACAGAGTTTTGCTCTTGTCGCCCAGGCCCAGGCTGGAGTGCAATAGCTTGATCTCGACTCACTGCAACCTCTGCCTCCCAGGTTCAAGCGATTCTCCTGCCTCAGCCTCCACTGCCACGCCTGGCTAATTTTTGTATTTTTAGTACAGACGGGGTTTCACCATGTTGGCCAGGCTGGTCTCAAACTCCTGACCTGAGGTGATCCACCCGCCTCAGTCTCCCAAAGTGCTGGAATTACAGGTGTGAGCCACTGCGCCTGACTATGGAAATGTGAAGTCTTAAAAAAGGAACAGGTTTGAGACCTGGAGTTATCCAAGAAAGGTCCCCAGTGAAATATAACATCTCAGCTGAGGCACACAGCAGGCCTAGCCACAGAAAGAGGAGTCATACCCCTAGGCTAGGCAAAACTCAGCCTATCTGAGAGATATTCCTGCGTCTGTTAGAACCACTCGTCCTCATATCCAAGAAGAGGACCAGCTCTTCTCAGCAGGGGGCAGGAATTCAAAAGATCTTTTCTTCTGGACAAAACTGGCACTGGTTTCAGCTGCCCAAGCAACACTAACACAAATCACTACAGATTCTAAGCTCTAACTTCCTTTTTATTTTTGAGAGGGGGGTCTTGTTATGTTGCCCAGGCTGGTTTCAAACTCCTGGCTCAAGCAATCCTCCTGCCTCAGCCTCCCAAATAGCTAGGATTATAGGCTTTTGCCACTGCACTCAGCTTCTAAGCTCTGAATTTTGACCAAGCTCACTTCTCTCCCTGAGGTCGCTCATCAAAAATTAATCAGCTGGGAGCGGTGGCTCAAGCCTGTAATTCCAGCATCTTGGGAGGCCGAGATGGGCGGATCATGAGGTCAAGAGATTGAGACCATCCTGGCCAACATGGTGACACCCTGTCTCTATTAAAAATACAAAAATTAGCTGGGCATGATGGCACGCGCCTGTAGTCCCAGCTACTTGGAAGGCTGAGGCAGGAGAATCGCTTGAACCCGGGAGGTGGAGGTTGCAGTGAGTCAAGACTGCGCCACTGCACTCCAGCCTGGCGACAGAGTGAGACTTCGTCTAAAAAAAAAAATTAATCCATTGGCCAGGCTTGATGGCTCATGCCTGTAATTTCAGCACTTTGGGGGCCAAGGTAGGAAGATCACATGAGGCCAAGAGTTCAAAATCAGCCTGGTCCACACAGTGAGATCTCATCTCTACAAAGGAAGAAAAAAAAATTTTTAATTAGCCCAGTGTGCTAGTGTGCACCTGTAGTCCCAGCCACTTGGGAGGCTGAAATGGAGGACTGCTCGAGTCCAGGAGTTTCAGGCTGTGTCAGCCATGATCATGACACTGCACTCCAGCCTTGATGACAAAGCAAGAACCTGTCTCAACATTAATAATAATAATAGGCCAGGCGCAGTGGCTCACCCTAGTAATCTCAGCACTTTGGGAGGCTGAGGCAGGTGGATCGCAAGGTCAGGAGTTTGAGACCAGCCTGGCCAACATGGTGAAAGCCCATATCTACTAAAAATACAAAAAAATTAGCCGGGCGTGGTGGCGGGCGCCTGTAATCCCAACTACTCAGGAGGCTGAGGCAGGAGAACGGCTTGAAACCAGGAGGCAGAGGCTGCAGTGAGCCAAGACCACACCACTGCACTCCAGCCTGCGCAACAGAGCAAGAATCTGTCTCAAAAATAATAATAATAATAATCCACAGCATCAACTATATATACAGGTCCATGTTGAGCAATGCAATGAGATATACTTCTGAGTTCCAACAGCAATTCTGACTTTGCACCTCATATGGCCTTACCTCAGTCAGTTTATAACTATAGTTATTTGAAGATATCTGAGGACACAGCTTGTGATTCTCATTTTTCATAGCATTTGATTCCACCTGACACATGATATATTTATTCCTTGGTTTGCTTATCACCTATCTCCCTCCACTAAAAGTAAGGTCCACGAGAGCAGTCGCTTTTTTGCTCACTGCAGTATCCCAAGGGACTCGTACAGTGCCTGACACATACTAGGTATTCAATAGAGAATTTGCTGAATGAATGAATAAATCTTCGCTTTCCCTAATTTGCAAGGTAGGTTTCTCCTCTCTGACTTTTTTTTTTTTTTTTTTTTTTTTTTTTGGAGACAGGGTCTTGCTCTGTCACCCAGATTGAAGTGCAATTGCATGATCATGGTTCACTGCAGCCTCTACCTTTTGAGTTCAAGCAATCCTCCTGCCTTAGCCTCTCATAGTGTTGGAATTACAGGCATGAGCCACTGTGCCCAGACTTCTACATAAATTCTAAATGTCAGAATTTTTTTCTAAATTCTGGGCTGTCTTCTTACTACACTCTTTCCTAAAGTGATTTTACCTCTTCTCATACCTTCAGTTACTATTTAAAGAAATTACTATTACCAAGTCCTAAAATTATGTTTCTGGTTCAAGTTTCACTTAGGACCTACAGAAACCCACAGAACCTATCTACCTAGTAGACATCACATGGATGTCTCTCAGGCACTTGAACTAGTTAAGTTCCAATTCTAAATTCATTTTTTCCCTAACCTTCCTACTTTTCCAGGTGCTTATGTCAGAAGCCTTGACACCTCACTCTCCTTCACTCTCCACATTTAATCAATCACCAATCCTAATTCAATATTCCTTAACTATTCCAACTCTTATCCTGCACACAGCATGCCTCTCCCAGAGGAGATAATCTAAATACTTAATGACCAATCAGCAGAAATGCGAGCTATAGGCGGTGCTAGTGCATACTAGCTGAATATCCAACCTAGTCACTCTCTGCTTATAACCTTTCAAAAATTTCTCCTTATTCTTAAGATAAAGTTAAAATTTCTTAATGTGGCCTGCAAGGCCCAGAATGATCTGACACCTGCCATCTTTCTGATTTCATCTCCAGTAACTCCTGCTTTTTTTTTTTTTTCTATAACTTCATATTAGAAGTGAAACTCCTGACTACTCTGGGCATACTGCTTATGGGGTAGCCCTGCTGCACAGGGAGCAGTAAAAAATAATAATAAAAAAATTTTTAATTAAAATTTTTAAAAATAAAAGAGAAGTGAAACTCCTGCTTTTTATGATCCTTCTTTACACACCATTTCTTCCCTCCTCAGCCTTTCCACATAGAGCAGTAGTTCTCAACCCTGGCTGCATAGCAGAATCACTTAAGGAGCTCTTAAATTGCTGATGCCCAGGCCCCACACCAGACCAATTAAATCAGTATCTCTCTGGGTGGGGCCAGGCATAAGCTGGGTTTTTTGGGGTTTTATTTTTTCTTTAATAGAGACACTTACAGTAAAGTACATAAGTAAATATATAGACAATTTAAAATATATATTTTTACATTATATACATTCAATTTTTATGTAATCTATATGTTCATGTAACTACCACTGAAATAAAAAATATAGAACATTTCCAGGAAGGCTCCACCCTTCTTGCCCCTTTCCAGTCAATACTACCATGAGTAACCATACCCCACAGTAACCACATTCTGACTTGTATCATCATAGACGAGTTTTACCTGTTTTTGACCCTTATAAAAATGAGGCATGAATATTTTTAAGGTACAGTTACATATAATAAAATGCCCTCATTTTTAATGTACTGTTAAATGTGTTGGACAAACATACATCCCTGTGTAACCACCACCCCAATCAAGATGCAGAACCTTTCCATCACCCCAGAATATTCCTACTTGGTCCTTCACTGCCAACCCTCATTCTCCCTCCCCACACAACCACTGTTCCAACTTCTATCACTATAAACTAGTTTTGCCTGTTCTAGAATTTCAAATTAAATGGAATCATCAGTATGTACTCTTTTGTGCCTAGCTTCTGTTACTCAACAAGATTTGAGATTCAACCATGTTGTCACATGAATCAGTAGTTTGTTCCATTTTGCTGCTGAGTAGTATTCCATTGAATGGCTATACCACCACTTGTTTATCCACTCATCAGTTTTTGGCTATTTTACAAATAAAGCTATTATGAGTATTCATGTACAAGTCTTTGTATGAACATATGTTTTCATTTTTCTTGAGCAAATATCTAGGGTGGAACTGATGCATTTACAAAATAAAAGTATGTTTAACATTTCAAGTAACTGCCAAACTGTTTTCTAAAGTAGGCATATCACTTTATACTCCCACCAGTCATGCATGATATGTCCAGGTGCTCCATATACTCCCTTTTACGTGGTGACGCTAGACTGCAGCCCAGGTCAAGAACCACTCAGAATTCTTTCGGTATGGAAGGCTCTTACTTCTTTCTTAACCTGCAAATTCTGACTCATGCTGCTGATCTCCACTTAAATGTCTTTTCTTCAAAGATCCTGACTCATTCTCCCTCCCAAACTGGTTTAGGCCCACATTATACATTCTCAAAACAACCTATATTTTTCATTTACAGCACTTTTCACAATAGTAATTATTTCTGTGATAATTTGCTCAATGTCTATCTTCTCCACTAAATTGAAAGCTCCATAGTGGCAGGAACCATGGCTGTCTTGCTCATGGCTGAATCCTGGCTGCTAGCACCTAGCTTAGTCCCTAGGACAACGGTTAGACTTCAATGAACATTTGTTGAACGAACAAACAAATGCACAGAAAAACTTGTTGAATGAACAAATTCAAAAAGAGATGAATAAACACCATCCTTTGCTCACAAAAAGTACTAGGAGAATGAGCACAGTATATGAATTACAAAGTAAAATATGGCAAGGGGCAAGAGACCACACAAGCAGGAGTTACCACTGAAAAACAGGTAGAAGAGAATGGGAGAAGAAGGAAGGGCAACCCAAACAAAGAAAGCCCAAAGGCAAGGAGCACAGCATCTCACACAACTTGACTTATTAAAAGATCAGAAAGTCAGGCCAGGCATGGTGGCTTATGCCTGTAATCCCAGCACTTTGGGAGGCTAAGGATCACCTGAGCCTGGGAGTTCAAGACCAGCCTGGGCAATATAGGGAAACTCCATCTCTGTAAAAAATACAAAAATTAGCTGGGAGTAGTGGCACACACCTATGGTGCCAGCTATTAGGGAGGCTGGGATGAGAGGATTTCTTGGGCCTGGGAGGTCAAGACTGCAGTGAGCTGTGAGCATGTCACTGTACTCCAGCCTCAGCAACAGAGCAAGACCCTGTCTCAAAAAAAAAAAAAAAAGAAAGAAGAAGATCAAGAAGTCAATACCGATCTTGCAAAAACTCCTGGCATAGAATGGGAATAATGGATGTTGAGATCACATATTATACTCAGACTCTAAATGGCAGAATTGAAGGGGATTTGGAGGGCCTCAAAGGCCGTTGCTCTTTTAACACCTGGAGAAGAAAATTGAGGCCATAAAATGGGTTGTTTTGCCCTAGGTTGGCCAGCAAAGAAGTGGCAGAACCAGATTAGAAACCACACTAACTTCCTATACCACGTCCTATGGCAAGGCTATAGTTGGGTGATCTGGATCAGCCTATGCAACCGGGCTCCCTGGCATTACTAACTCTTACTTTCCAAGGCAACAAAGCAAGGGCTGTGGGGTGAGGAAGCAGGGCTTCCATCAGGGGTTTTTTGTCTATTAATGACAAATACAAGAAACTCCATCTGGGCTTGAACCATTCCCCAAACAGGGTAAAATAGAACATCCTTGCTTTGCCTTAAATTCTTTAGTGTTCAACCTCCTGAAACAAACTAGCCAAAAACCTCTTTCTCATTAGAACTTAAATATAAAGTTTAAGAATCACTAGAGAAGAACTGAGTCTCTGGTACACCATGCTGGGAGGAGCAAAAAGGGAAAAAGAATATGCTTCTGCTAAACCTAATCATCTTCTAGAAGAGAAGTCTCTGGCTATCTCTCCTCCAGGGTGCACTCAGCTACTCCTTCTGTGTCCCATTTCTACCTTCCTCCTCCTCTAAGCATTCTTTTCTTCAAATTTTGATCTCACAAGAAGCCTCCTTCCAGAAGAAAATGGCTAATCCCTACAGCTAGTCACCACCAAGCAGGCCTTGACCTCAATAACATGGGCTTCTGATGCAGGAGCTGTCCAACTGTTATGATACCCTTTGCCCACTCCTTGGTTTCCCATAGGGCTTCAGACTCCTGGTAGACAGCCTATTTGCCTGCCCTTTTGTTTCTATGACCTTCCTGACTGAATTGAAAGTGTCTGACTGACTCCCAGATCAGTGTTCACATGCTGGAATACCCATTTCAACACTTATTTAACACTTTCAAGCAGCTTTTGCTGATGACTGAACTAGCTGAACTAGGCAAAGGCACTGGGAAATCAAACAATAACACACATTTCTCTGGCCTCCAGGATCCCCTTTTTCCCCAATCCCTAATTATTGAAATATGTATTGAATTGCAGAGGTAGCAAATATGGGTCTTTGAATTCCAACTTTCCTATACATTGACTACTCCTAAGGATTAATGTTCTTACCTGAAAAAATCAGTCAAGTCTTTTGAAAAATAGTAAAGCTCTATACAAATGTTAGTTGTTCATCCATCAGTTTTCTACTCTCTGCTTAACCTGGAAGACTTTATTTTATTTATTTATTTATTTATGAGACAGGGTCTCACTCTGTCACCCAGGCTGGACTGCAGTGGCAAGATCATGGCTCACTGCAGCTTCCACCTCCCAGGCTCAGCCTCCCAAATAGCTGAGACCACAGGCATGCACCACTGTGCTCGGCTAATTTTTGTATTTTTTGTAGAGATGAGGTTTCACTATGTTGCCCAGTCTGGTCTTGAACCCCTGGGCTCAAGCAATCCACCACTTCGGCCTCCCAAAGTGCTGGGATTACAGGCATGAGCCACTGAGCCTGGCCCTGAAGTCTTACCTTCCCAACAATAGCAAAGAGAGTCTTTGATTCTTCTGGTATTCCCCTGTGTCTAGCCCAGTGCTGGGCAGCACAATATCTGGTCTAGAGACAACTGAAAGGTGCATACTGATTTTGAAGATTTGCTATCCCAGGTTTGGAGTCCCACATACCACAGGTCTTTATATACTAAAGCTTCCAAGAAGAAAGACGGCCCCAGAAGAATTAAACCAACACACACTTGTTCAAAAGCTACCCCAAATTATCTGACTGGCGCCTGACCCAAACGTTCTTGTGCCCTAGCCAGCACTCATCAGGGTCTGAGATAGCCAAAAAAATAATTACAGACACCTCAAATGGCTTTCTGCTGGGAAAAGTTTGCTGAAAGTGTTGGAGTGGGCACCCAAGGACTTACCCAGATAAAGGACAACACCTAGGGGGCATGTCCAACCTATCAGTGGACCCTCTAAGATTATACCCTTCTGGGTTCAATCAGTAAGGCTGGTTCCCAACAATCAGTCCCAATCACAGCGGCTCTAAGTGCACAATGATAAACGCCTTGAAAATATAAACACTGAGGAACCAGGCACACCACTGCATGGGGTAAAAACAATGTGGATTCCAGTTTCCATAGTAACAAGAGGACAGACTGAAACCTCCCAGGCCTCTTGCTGGCTGGTTAAAAGAGAACACATTCCTGGGCTCCAAAAGAGACATGAACTAAGAGAGAGCTTCTCATTATCTTTCTGCCCCATATAACCCTCCACTCAGACAATAAAAGAAAGATAACTGGCCCCTCTTTGTCTTTTCTTGGGAGAAGATAACCAACAGCATCTACTAAACAATGTTGCAGTCAAGATGATCATTCTAGGAACCAGGTTCTGACTCTCTTCCTGCAGCTGAAGAGCAGCCCTTCCTTACAGGATGCCTTTCTCAGCTGGGGTAGCAGAGTGTCCTCCCTGAAAGGAGACTATCCAGAATGAAGTCTACCTGAGCCTCCTGGCAGCCCAGGCTCCATAGCCCTGCTCCCTCCTCTGCACAAGCCTGATCTGATTTCTGAGGGCGATACCTCTATGCCAAAGCAGTTCAGGCTTCTACATCTCTTGCCTGGGTTACAACAGTTTCCTCACTATTCGCCCTGTCTCTGTTCTAGTTTCTTTCAAACTCATCCTCTACCAAGCAGTGAGTACAATTTTTCTAAAATTCAAATCTGGGCCAGGCACAGTGGCTCATGCCTGTAATCCCAATACTTTGAGAGACTGAGGCGGAGGATCACTTGAGCTAGGAGTTCAAGATCAGCCTGGGCAACAAAGCAAGATCCTGTCTCTACAAAATAAAAATTTAAAAATTAGCTGGGTATGGTGTCATGCACTTGTAGTCCCAGCTGCTCAGGAGGCTGAGGCAGGAAGATCCCTTGAGCCCAGCAGTTTGAAGTTGCAGTAAACTATGATCGTACTACT
Source organism: Homo sapiens (assembly GCF_000001405.40). Taxonomy (NCBI): domain Eukaryota; kingdom Metazoa; phylum Chordata; class Mammalia; order Primates; family Hominidae; genus Homo; species Homo sapiens. The sequence continues at coordinate 3,950,680 of NC_000011.10, read as the reverse complement.
GCACTCCAGCCCAGGTGACAGAGCGAGACCTTCTCTCAAAAAAATAAAATAAAATTCAAATCTGACTAGATAGCCCTCTGAATAAAATCCTTCACAGGCCCACACAAAAACCTGTACATAAATGCTCACAGAAGCTTTATTTGTAATACCCAAAACTGGAAGCAGCCCATATATTCTTCAACAAGTGAATGGTTAAACTCCAGTACTTATGTACAATGGTACATGACTCAGCAATAAAAAGGAATGCCCAGCCAGGCACAGTGGCTCATGCCTATAATCCCAGCACTTTGGGAGGCCGAGGCGGGCAGATCTTGAGGTCAGGAGTTCAAGACCAGCCTGACCAACATGGTGAAACCCCGTCTCTGCTAAAAATACAAAAATTAGCCAGGCGTGGTGGTGCATGTCTGTAATCCCAGCTACTCAGGAGGCTGAGGCAGGAGAATCGCTTGAACCCAGGAGGTGGAGGTTGCAGTGAGCCCAGATCGCACCACTCCACTCCAGCCTGGGCAACAGAGCAAGACTCTGTCTCAAAAAAAAAAAAAAAAATGAATGACCTATTGATACACACAACTTGGATGAGTTTCCAAGGAACTGAACTGAGAAAAGAAAAAAAAGAAAGAAGCCAATTCCAAAAGGTTATATACTCTGTGATTCCATTTATGTAACATTTTTGAAAGGATAAAATTCTAGAAATGGAAGGCAGAGAGAGATTAGGAATGAGGAATGGGGTTGAAAGGAGACGGGAGTGGTTATAAAAGAATAGGAAGGATCTTTGTGGTGTTGGAATAGAACTTTATACACATAGATGAGTACAAGTAAAACTGGGAAATCTGAACAAGATTGGTGGATTTTATCAATGTCAATGTCAATATCCTGGCCATGATATACTACAGCTTGTCCAAAATGTTACCATGGAGGAAACTGCAAAGTTTTCCAGTGATCTCTCCATATTATTTCTTAGGACTCCATGTAAATCTATAATCATCTCAATAAAAATTTTAATTTAAAAAATCCTTCACAGGGTTCCCAAACTCCCTTAACAGTGATGCCTAACTTTTTTCAGTGAGGAATTCCAAAGAGCTCCATGTAATGATAGGTGTGCTTTTACTAACCACTGGTTGAAAAATGACTGAGGAAATAATATGGATTCATGAGACACCCCTCAAGGACCCCTTTCAGGGATTCAAATCCCCAAGACTGGGAATACTTGGCCTTTGCAATGAATATAATTTAGAAAAGCATGCAAGACTTTTTCAAGAGGCTGTCTCTATAGCATTTTCTAGCCTTATCTCCTGCCACTCACCAGCTCACATATACCCTACACTCCCACCATACTAAATTACTTTCAGTTCCATAAATATGCAAGGCTCACTTTGTGGCTTTGTACATGATGTTCCCTCTGCCCGCAATATCCTTGCCCCATTCTGCACCTGACTAATTCATACTCAGGTTTCAAGATTCTACTCAGGCTTTTTCTAATTTCTCTAGGAGCCTTCTCTATACTGACCCCCGGGGTTTGATTAGGAGTCCCTCTTCTGTGCTCTTATAGTCCCTGTGCTTCTCTGTATCACAATTTGGACCAATTACTTAAATTCTCTATGCCTACATTTCTATCTGTAAAATAAGGAGAAAACAGTATCCACCTCATAGGGTTGTGAGAATTAAATGAGTTAATACATATAAAGTACTTCAAATAGAGCATGGCACATAGTAAGTGTTCAATTATTACCATGTTATTTTTGTTGTAATTGTCTAACTAGTACACTGAAATATCTAAGCAGAAATTGGTATTTGCATTCGTGTCTAGCCTGGCATATAGTAGATGCTTGGTAAATATTTGAGAAGAGAATTAAGGGATCTAAGGTTGGGGCAGGAAGGTACAATCTAAATTAATGGTAGAACTGGAGATTTAGAGGATTGGGAATAACTGCTAAGAGCAGGAGGTGAGTACAGGTTGGAACTAGGAATAAGATAGACGTATTTAGAAGATAAGTGTAAAAAGAACCAGACTATTATAGATTGAGAACTTGGAATGAATAAGCACAACTGACACCTGCTTATACATGTCTTCTAAACTGGCTCACGTAGGGCTCCTTTGATTTGTCATCATAATTTGTTATTGTAGAGCTAGAAAAGTTGTCTAACCTTTTGGAGGCACTATTTTTTCATCTGTAAAATACGGCATAATAATGTATTTTTCTAAATAAGTAAGATTATGCAAGCAAACTACATAGCCTACAGATTCAAGTAAAACTAGCTTGTTCTTAATAAATATTAGGTTCTCCTCATCCCTTAATTTTTTTCTCTTATATATTAAAAAAAGAAAAGATAAGCCCCTTGGATAATAACCACCTAGAAGAAGAGAAAGGGAGATATATGGGAAACTGACCTATACAAAACAAAGCACCAGAGCTTGAGAAAGGGTAGATAGGTACCTAGAATTATTCTCTCTCTAGCTTTTCATGTCTAATACTTTCTGAACCTTCAAGGCCCAGGGAAGGCCCTGGGATGCCTTCTTTAACTACTCCGCGCCCTATAAGTCTCCCATTTTGAGGTCAGAGTATTGAGCCTACACTGGCCAACGGACCACCTCATAAGAGCTCTTCTAAACCTAACTGTATTCTGTTCTCATGTGGCCTGTTAGCTCCTCTAGAATGGAACTTGAGTGTCTTTTTGCTTTCTCCACAAGAACAGAATTAAGAATACTGTTAACTGTCTAAGGGAGAAAGGGAGGATGAACATGTCAGGAACTATGTTGATCACTTCTACATACGTTGTCTCTTTGAAACTTTGTAAAGTCAGTACTTTTATTATCCTCAATAAAAAATGAGAAAACTGAAGCCCAGATACAATAAGTGACTTCCCCAAGGTCACATATATGGTGAAAGTAGGTCTGGAAGTAGGATACAGTCTGTCTCCAGAGCCTTGATAAGAATAAATGCATACAGGTGCCTACCTGGTTACCAACCACACAGCTGATTTACTGGGCAATTCGGTGACACCAGCTTCTCACCTCAACTCCTCTCTGCTGCCAACTGAGCCTGGGAGAGCTGTTTGGCTTCCTTTCTTCCTCTTATTTTGTCCAATATAGGAAATGCAAAGGTAGCCTGCTGTGTCTCTTGTAGGATGGAGTATGTGGAAAAAACAGGTGAAACAGAGGGCCCCCGTCAGCAGTAATAAACAAGAGACATATATTCAACATCAGAGCCAGAAAGCCTCCCTCGTTAAAACTTTCTGGCTCCAGAGAGGAGGAAATTGAACCCTGAGAAGGGAGGTCACTTCCATAAGGTCATACAGCTGAGCAGAGACTGAAACTCTGTCTTCTGACACTCAAATTGGTGCTCACTTTGGTCTACCCTGTACCAGGCTATGAAGAGAAAACTACAATATGACCTGTCAGGCCTGTCACTAAGTGCAAAACCCAAAAGCTGTAAACACAGGAAATGGGCTGGGATGAGGTTCAGAGGAGCAGCAACATTTGCCAAGTTAGAAGTGTTCAAGGGTTTCCTGTCCACAGCTGTTAACTGTCACAGAAATGTTCCAGAAAGTAATACAAGGCAGAAAGAAAAAAAAAAAAAAACACTAAGAATGAGGAGAAAATATTCAGGTTTATATATGCCTTTGTAAATTATTCAAGCCAACATACTTAGTTTTACAGATGAGGAAACTAAGACCCCCCCAAAAGAGAAGTGATTTGTCCAAACTCAAATACAGAACTTAAGGACTCTTACAAAGCACTGAGTTGGTTCAAATCATTCATTTTAATGATGACAGCCTGAGACACAGAGAGGGAAAGGGCTATGCCCAATGTCACACAGTCACACAGTGGCAGAGCCAGCACTGGAACTCAAGGCTTCTAACCTCATGGGCCACTGTGCTTCCCAACTGGTTAGAGTGAGCCAAATAAAGTTATTTACCTGGAGCGATGTGGGTAGTGTTTTGGCCCTGGAAAAAGTATAGCAGGTCAGGAAACATAATATAAGCAGGATATGGTAATGGCTAACAATGACAGAACCAAACAGGGCCAGCCTAAAGGAGCCAAAATTAAAATGCTTCTGATTGCTTAAGACACTTGGAAAACTAAGAGGCAGAAAAATATTCTGGTTATTTTTAGGAACCTAGAATCCAACGAAGAACAAGCAGGGCAGGCAGATAGAAAAGGCCAGAAATGCTAAGAATAATCTCAAAGTATGCTACTTTCTTTGTCCTAGGCCAAATATCCAGAAAACATCACCTCAGAAGCATCTCTGGGTTTAGCTCACTATAGGGGTACTATAGGAACCAGCAGATTCTTGGGTTCCACATGCACACAGCCAACAGGTATGGAGACGAATGACATTTACACACTTCCTGGCATTTCATATTAATTTAATTCTCACATCAGGCCTACAGGACAAATATTTTGATTCCCATTTAACAGATATGAAAACTGGGGTGTAGAGAGGGCAAGTCTCTTGCTCATGATCATAAAATTAGTATTGTATAAGGAAAATTCAGCATTCAAATGTATACTATTATTCAAGAAATTCCTATCCAGCGCCTGCTGTTCCAACCCCATTGATATAGTTGGGATATTCATCCCTACCCAAATTTCATGTTGAATTGTACTCACCTATGCCGGAGGTGGAGCCTGGTGGGAGGTGTGTGGGTCATGGGGGCGGATCCCTCCTGGCTTGATGCTGTCTTCATGATAGTTCTCACAAGATCTGGTTTAGAGTGTATGGCATCTCTCCCCACCCACTCTCTATCTTGCTCTTGCTTTTACCATGTTAAGTGTCTGCTCCATCTTTGCCTTTCACCATGACTGTAAGCTTTCTGAGGCTTCCCTAGAAGCTAAGCAGTTGCCAGCACCATGCTTCCTGTAAAGCCTGCAGAACTGTGAGCCAATTAAACCTCTTTTCTTTATAAATTACCCAGCCTCAGGTATTTCTTTATAACAATGCAAGAATGGCTAATACACCTGTGCTAAGAACTATAGATATAATAATAAAATAGACATGGTCCCTGGCCTAACAGAGTTTCAATCAGGGAAGAAGTTAAGCAATAATGATTATTATAATAATACACAACATTATTTTTTTTGAGACAGAGTCTTACTGTGTCGCCCAGGCTGGAGTGCAGTGGTGCAATCTCGGCTCACTGCAACCTCCGCCTCCCGGGTTCAAGTGATTCTCCTACCTCAGCCTCCCGAGTAGCTGGAATTACAGGTGTGCACCACCATGTCCAGCTAATTTTCTTTTCTTTTTTTTTTTATTTTTTTATTTTTAGTAAAGATTGTGTTTCACCATGTTGGCCAGGCTGATCTCAAACTCTTGACCGCAGGTGATCCACCCGCCTCAGCCTCCCAAAGTGCTGGGATTACAGGCGTGAGCCACCATGCCCAGCCTACACAACATTTTTGAATGCTTACCATATGCCAGGCACTAGTCTCCACTCTCCATATATACTGCCTTATTTAAATTCTCACAATAACTGCCAGTGAGGCAGTTGCCATTATTCTCTTCATTTTATAGATAGGAAACTAAGGCACAGAGAGATAAGTAACTTGCTCAAGAGCACATAGCCAGTAAGTTGTAAAAGTAAGGATTCAAACCCAGGCAGCTTGACTCCAAAGCCTATACTCCTAATAGCTACCTCCAAACAAACAATGGTAAGACAGCCTGGTGAGTACTGTGATAGAGGGAAGTCAGAGAATATGGAGGGGCCTTGCTGGGACAACTGGGTCACCCGTATTATATAATGAGGAGTCACTAGATAAAGACAGGAAAGAACAGAAAGATGAAATTGAGCATTGAGGACTAGGCTTTAGTAGCTGATTCCTCTAGAGATAGGAAAACCCTAGCAAGAAATGATGGGATGATGACCAGAGTCACTACACTCCTGCTCTGATTAGGGTACCATCACCTCTACTGTGCAGAGCTCTGTCATCCAACAGCTCACCGATGCTCACTACAATTCAAGGAGTCAGGCAGAGCAGAGATTCCTGATCCCACTTGACAAATGAGGCCCACATGGCGGCAGTGATTTGTCCTAGGTGGCACAGTGAGTTGGTGACAGAAGAAAGTCTCTTACTTAAATTGTGCTCTTTCTACTAGACTACTCTGTCACAAAAGGAAAATCCAAAACATAGTATTGATGAAGAGTTAAAAACTGTAGATTTCTCTGACCATTCTCTTTTCAACTTACCATCACTCCCATCCCACTTCCCCCTCCACTCCCACTACACAGGCACAGAGAGTTCTGGCTGCTTAAATATACTCATGCTCCCTCCCTTGGTGCCTCCAGAGGCCAGTGATTCAATCAGCGAGTTAATCAGGCACAAAACCTTGGCTGCCATGAGAAGCCATGTCCTCAGGGAAACATTCCCCTCCATCAGCTCATCCACAGCATACAAATCTTTAAATGGCAATTAAAGAATTGAGAAGAATGCTGAAAAGCCAGGGGAAACACCCTGTAAAAGGAAAACATTTCACATTATCTCACGTCTGCATAGAAGACATAGAATTTGGCCCCAGCCTAAGGCCCCTTCCTCTAAACAACTCAGTTGGGGTCTTAAGTTCCTAAAAAAGAGAGAAAATGTGCTAAAAATCCATCATTAACTCATTAACTAATTCATCTGTTCATTCACTATTGATGTCTATTCTGTACATAACCTATGTTAGGTGGTAGAGCCACACAACTTAAAAAAAAAATCTCTGCCTTCAAGAAGTTTACTTTCTAGCTTGTACTTCAATATAGATGAAGATATCCTTTGACTAATACATTTGCTTCTGTCACTTATGTGAATCTGTGTATATACGTGATAATTTGTTTTCTTTAAGTCATAGTGATATGACTGTGTAAGATATGCAAAGGAAAAATGAAAGGAAAGTTGTCTTTGTTCCTTAGTATGATTTTCCATCTATTCTAGGATAATTTTTTGTTTGGTTGGTTTTTGTGTTTTGCAGAGACAGAGTCTCTCCTGTTGCCCAGGCTAGCCTCAAACTCCTGGGCTCAAGTGATCCTCCCACCTCGGCCTCCCAACATGCTGGGGTTACAGGCGTGAGCCACTGCACCCGACCTAGAAGATGTTTTTTTTAACTGTGAACTGGACTGTGGCTCTCTTGGAAAAACCTATATTGAGCAATAATCTTTTTTTATTAAAGCACAATAGCTTTACCAGAAGAAAAAACAAAAAAAGTTTACCAGCTTACAGTCTTTATTGTCTGGTGAAGAAGACAGGTAATTAAGAGGCATTGCATGGAGGTAAGAATAGGTATGGTGTGTCATCAAGTTACCAGCCAAACCAGGACTTCAACCCAGTTTCTCTATTCCAGTTAACGATGCAGAAAAGCACTCCTTAAATGGCCATGTAATATTTAGATAGCATGTGGCAATCTTATCATGTGAGTAGTCCCCATTTTCTACTAGGAAATATCTACAATCACAGGATATACCAGGTTCTGTGGAAGCAAGTTGACTAATTCTTTCCTAGGAGTCAAGGAAAGGCTTCCCAAAGAAGATGCCCTCAGAGCTTGGCCTTAGGAAATACAAAACATCTAGATGGCAGAAGGCTGAGCATGCACAGACACAGCTGGCAAGCTCTCTAAGAGCAGACTAGAGGGTCCCAGGCTCCTAGCAGAAGAGTTGCCTTGGGGTAAAAGAAATGATATAACCCTGGTTGCTTTAACAATGATAACATCCTTCTGGGGTGTCTGTTCCAGGCAAAGTCCATCTAACTCTGTAAAGAACCTAACTACTCTGCACTCAAAAAGCTCTAAGCATTAGCTTGAGACTCTACAAGAGGTTTCTCTACCTTGCTCTCAAACACTTACTTCCTGCCTTGCACACTAGCCCCCAAAGCAACCAGGAACACATTACCTCATAAAGAGGTCTGCTGGTACCACAAATGGCCTTAAGACATGAGACTTAAAGCCAGCCAAAATGAGAAATGATCCAGTTCAAATGCAAACTTTGGAGGTTTTAACCTTCAGCTGGCCAAAGATAAAGATAAAAGTCCTTTAATGCTGTATAAACAGAGAGCAAAGCAAACAACCCATACGAAACCACAGTTCATTGAGAGGAAATCCAAAATCCAGTAGTCCCTGCCACCTACCGGTCCATCACCAAACCCATGTTCCAGCTAGGCCCACTCTAGGCCCACAGCACAGGCAGCACTACAAAGAAGGATAGGGTAGGTTCTCAGGAACTCTCCTGAGGCACATCCAAATGGAAGAGGGCAACTGTCTATGGTTCCTTCCCACCCTCAACACTACCCCAAATGCCAGATCAGCCTGGCCCTTATGGGACTTACAAGTTTACAAGGAAGCTGAAAATGTGTCATCCAGGCACCTCAGACCACTCTGCCCAGGAAATGGAGGCTATGCATAGTGAGACTGCCTGCTATAAGTGGTCTAGGTATTATATGGCCATTAGTGCTTCTCTGCACAGCTCATTGGAGTAGACAGACCAGGTTGAAGTCCTGGTTTGGCTACTAACTCGATCACACACCATATCCATTCTTACCTCCATGCAGTGCTCACCAATGATCAAATTCTACCCTACCTTCAAACCCAATCCAAGTACTGCCTCCTCTAATGAGATCTTCCTGCCTTTTACAGTCATCAGTGATCACTCTATTTTTATTTGAACATTTTTTAATTGAGATGTAATTAAAGCCTATTTTTGATCATTTTATATACTCAAAAATATGTACAGACAGGACTTGGTGGCTCCTGACTATAATCCCAGAACTTTCGGAGGCAGAGGCAGGAGGGCTGCTTGACTCCAGGAGTTCAAGACCAGTCTGTACAACAACATAAGACCCTCTCTCTACAAAAATAAAAAATTAGCTGGGTGTGATGGTTCATACCTGTAGTCCCAGGTACTCAGGAGGCTGAGGTGGGAGGATTGCTTTAGCCCAGGAGGTCAAGACTGCAGTGAGCCATGATCATACCATTGCACTCTAGCCTGGGCAACACAGTGACACTGAGACACACACACACTCTCTCTCTCTCTCTCTCTCTCTATATATATATATATATATATGTATACACACACACTATCTCTCTATATATATATATGTATACACACACACACACACACACACACACACATATATATGCTTCTTCTATGGCAATACTATTTGCTACAACACTGCTGCATTCCTTTCACCAGAACTCACGTTATTTGACAAGGCTGCCCAAGTCCTACACATCTACTGCTTAACCCTACCAAGAATTACTTTCAAATATAACAAATGTTTTGTACTGTTAGGTGATTTAACATGGACACACCCTATCTCAAGAGCCCATTGCCAACTCTCTTTCCTCTAATTCATCCTGCACCTCCCAGTCAGATCTGTTTTGTTTAATATCACTTTATGCAGGCCTCACCTTGCTTACCACTTTCATGGATCTTCATTACCTACAGCAGAAGTCTTCGAACTGTAGATATCAATCCCTCAGTCAGTGGACCATTTTTGTTCTGTTTAATTATCAGAGTTCATTAGTAGAGGCATGTACTCTTTTGTAAAAGTTTTGTTTCATTTAAATAATAACAATAAAAATTATAGCACCTCACATGTGTCAGGTACTATTCTAAGCACTTTATATTTGTTACCTCATTCATCCTCACAACAACCCTATGAGGTATCATTATCAACATCTCCATTTCTCAGCTCAAGAAACTGAGGCACAGAGAAGTAAACTAAGTGGTGGCATATAGAGACAGGCAGTCTGGCTCTAGAGTCCAAGCTCTTAGCTACTACACTACACTGAAGAGTACAAGAAAGGCCTTTCTATAAATATAAATATATGCATATGGCATAAAAACACTTCCTATAAAAACATCTCTTTTAAATAAAGTCCAAACTTCTCTGTTTCTTTAATTTTACTCCACTGCTTCTTCCATGTATCCTCCACTCCCCCTAGATTGACATTCTCTGTGGGACCTGTTCCTTCATTCATGGCTTGCCATCCCCCCTTTTCTCTTTCTCCAAATGCTAACCAACCTTTCCAGTTTAGGTCCTCCAGGATGGCTCCTTGAAAGGGTCGTAGGGGAGGCAGTCAGTGCATGGGGGTATGCTGCTTCCCAATAGTTCGATGCCTACCATGATGCATCAGCCACTATGTTGGTGCTTTACACACATCACCTCATTATTCCTCACAACCCTGTGAGTCTGCTGTTATTATCCCCATTTTACAGAAAAGGAAAAAGTAGTTCAGAGAATTATGTTAACTTGCCAATGGCCTACAGTTCTAAAGCATACACTCTTTCTGCTATACCTTCTCAGCCCCTTATGATCTATTCCCCACATTTAAATATTTACATGTATACAATTTGATTTTGCATTTTATTTAAACTGCCTCAAACTATTTTCCCATTTATGTATGTGTCTTATCTCCCCAACTGGACCCTGAGTGAGCCCCTCTCCTCCCCTCACACCAACGGCTTCCTCTGTAGCACCTAACAGAGCTAGGCATTCAAGAGTTTTGGCCAAACCAAATTGGTAAGTCTGGGCTCACTAGAAGACGGAACTGTTGTGTTCTGGGTAAAGCTACTAAATAGCTGTGCTTTAACCATACAAAACCATGAATTAATTTCTTCTGGAGTTAAGGAAAAAGGTCTCTTAACCAAGAAAATCACATAGTGAAGTCTATGAGTCACTCTTGTCAGCAATGATATGAAGATCCCAGAAAACAAGTAACAAAAAAAGATTTACAGTGGGTGGAGTGTTTTTTCCCTTCCCACTCCTTAGGGAACACAACTGGAATGATGATCTCTAACGAGTGCACACAGCTTCAGCTACAGAACAAGGGAATCCCAAAGAGAAGGTCAACCAAAAACAGCCAACCCAAAAGGTGCTCAGAGAAAGCCCCCAGGCAGCTCAGAAGAATAGGGAAAGAAAAATACTGGCCAAGGAAACAAAGAATCTTCCTTGTTCCTAGTTCTATGTTCTGATTCATTCATTTATTTAACAAATATTTATTAAGAGCACTGAGGATACCAGTTGATCTAGTGTGTAATCTGGACAGGTAAATTATTTAACTTCTCTGAATCTCAATTTCTTCATCTCTAAAATGACTTAATAAGTACTTTCTTGCCTATATCACAAGGTATTGGGAGGGTCAAATGAGAAAGGATAGACTAACATTGTGGACAAATAAAAAAGCTGTATTTTTTTAATTGTGGTAAAACATACATTTAAAAGGCTGTATTTTACATCTGTATTTCTCTGGCCTAAGTGGAATGCAGTGGTTGGGAGAAATGCAGAAATGAGATCAGTGGTAACCTCAACTATGTCATAGTCACCTACTTTCCTGACCCCACTGTTGGGCCTGTAAGATTTGCAAGAATCACAGAACAAAGTCAGTTCTAGAATTTTCAGTTTGGAAAAGCCTAGAAGAATCACAGAATCTCAGAGCCAGAAGGATCTTTAGAAGTCACACCTCTCTCCTCTCTCTTCCATCATAACCAGATAATCATGATGGTACTGTCTAAGTGTATATCCTCTGATAGCCCCAGAGATCAAGCAGCATTTTATAAGCTAGTCTATCTAGTCTCAATTCTATTGCTATCCCTTAGTTTTTAGAAAATTCTTGTCTAAATATTTTATATAGGGCTCAGTTATATGTCATACAGAAAAGTTCTTTGCCCAACTTGGGGCCAAACATAAAGGGAGAACAGTACCTTGCTGAAGCTAGTATGGCAGTAGTGGAGAAAATTAGTAAGAGTCCCTCCTAGGAGAAAGGGGTTTCAAGATACTGGTTCAGACTGCATGGCCACTTGCCCCTTCTCACATCTTCTAATGATAACCCTGCTCATTCTGGATGATGGTCTTAAACTGTCTTTTTTTGGGACAGTCGTGCCCTGTCACCCAGGCTGGAGCGCAGTGGTGCTACCTCGGCTCACTGCAACCTCTGCCTCCCGGGTTCAAGCAATTCTCCTGCCTCGGCCTTCTGAGTAGCTGGGATTACAAGTATGTGCCACCACACCAGGCTCATTTTTATATTTTTAGTAGAGACAGGGCTTCTCCATGTTGGCCAGGCTGGTCTCAAACTCCTGACCTCAGGTGATGTGCCCACCTCAGCCTCCCAAAGTGCTGGGATTACAGGTGTGAACCATGTGCCCAGCCTTAAACTGTCATTTTAAAACTGTCAGTCCCTCCTGTCAGTCCCTTTTAATGTTTAGAAACATTAAATCATTCTGGGACAGACCCTCACTCTTGAGGAGCCCTGTTTTAATGATAAAACATAAAGCAAATGAGCACACATTGCTCTTGGGGAAAAGGATACAACAGGATATTTTGTGACTTGGCAAAGACTGTTCTCAACACCCCTTGGTATGCAAAGCTGAAGAAAATGAAAACAAATATGCATAGGGTCTAAAGCTCTCCTAGGGAGAGACTGAAACTTTGACTCCCCTTACTTCTGAAGTTCAATGCTATTAGAATTTCTCTAACAGGCCGGGCGCGGTGGCTCATGCCTGTAATCCCAGCACTTTGGGGGGCCAAGGCAGGTGGATCACTTGAGGTCAGTAGTTCGAGACCAGCCTGACCAACATGGCAAAACCCTGTCTCTACTAAAAATACAAAAATAAATTAGCTGGGTGTGGTGGTGGGCACCTGTAAACCCAGCTACTCGGGAGGCTGAAGCAAGAGAATCGCTTGAACCCAGGAGGCGGAGGTTGCAGTGAGCCAAGATCGCCCCACTACATTGCAGCCTGGGCAACAAAGCAAGACTCCATCTCAAAAAAAAAAAAAAAGAATTTCTCTAACAGACTCAAGATCCTAGGTGAAGTTAAAGGTAGGGGGGGACACCAACAGCCAACAGTAAGAGCTCATGCTGAAGGGATGTCCCAAGCTCTATAACAAAAGTGATCATGAGAGAAGGTTCTGGAGCTAGAATGTGGTGGAAGCTAGAAACACTTCTAGACTTAGCCAAATGGAAAATTGTGGAGGTTTCCTCCTCCAGTGGATGAGCTTATATACATATAAACTTGAGCATTCACCTTGAGAGCTCAAGCAGAGTGAACCCTGGGACTAAGAGTGACATTGAAGGACTGCCATCATCCTCCCTCAATGAACCACTGTGACTTATGGAGAATCAGGTTCTTGTGGCTACAGTAAATACAGAAACCACATTCTGTGAAAGATCCATTTTTAAAAGCCATACTGTGCAACACCAACAGAAGCTAAAAATGGGGCCCGCTAGCAGGCCAATAAGATTCTTTAGTTCTCTACTTGGAACTAAGCCTGACCCCTTTGGATTGAATAAGCCCTTAGAGTTTTTGAATACTTCATAAAGAGAAAGAGGGAAGAAGAACAGCCCCAAGGGAAACATATTAAATTTCCAGATAATTTCACACTCATTCCAGATATTTTATTATTATTATTATTATTATTATTATTGAGATGAAGTCTCGCTCTGTTGCCCAGAATGGAGTGCAGTGGTGTCATCTCGGCTCACTGCAACTTCTGCCTCCTAGGCTCAGGTGGTCCTCCCACCTCAGCCTTCCAAGTAGCTAGGACTACAGATGCATGCCATCACACCCAGCTAATTTTTGTATTTTTTGTAGAGATGGGGTTTTGCCATGTCACCCAGGCTGGTCTTCAACTCCTGGACTCCTCGGCCTCCCAAAGTGATGGGATTACAGACGTGGTCCACTGCACCCAGCTGCAGAGATTAATTTTAATATTGAAAAAAGATCTGATCTTATTTGTACTCCAAGCTAATGAGATATGAGATATGTCATATTCACTGTACTTTAATTTTTCCAAAATACTCTACACCATCCCACCCATTGGGTTCTAATTACCCCTTCTGAAGCCACAAAGAAAAACAAGTTGGTTTTCTCTGCCAAAGAACAGCCTTTCAAGGATATGAAGCCAGTGATTACATTTTCACTTCAGGGCATCCAGTCTTGGCTCCTTCAACCTCTCCTCAAAGGATTGGATTTCAAGGCCACTCTCCATCTCCAGACTATCTATGTTGCCTCTATAGTGCCAAGTCCAGAATGGGCTGCAGCCACTACTAAGGTCACTCTCAGAACATATGAGACTATCATCTCTTCTCATTTTCTATGTTTCTATTCCAGTTATGTGAGCCTAGGAGCCGTCCTTTTTTCAGATACTATATCATACTGGTAACCTTATTATAAGACTCTCTAGTCTACCCTATTCTTTGCAGGCCTGGAGAAGCAAAGGCTGAGCAAAAGGCACGTTGTTCTGCCTTCTTTGGGTCCTGGAACTGTAGGGGTACTGAGATGGCTATCTCATTCCTCCCCACTGCCTATCTCTGGGCCTCTTGCTCCCCAACACCCCTCCTAGTGCTTAGATTGTAAGTCTATGTCATCTTAGTCCTTAATGCACTTGTCCACTAGGACAAGAGAGGCAATGGCTTGACCACAAATTGAGAGATGAAAGGTAGCACAGCTCAGAAGAATGTGGACTCTGCAGTCACACAGCATGGATTCAAATGCTGGTTCTATTACCATGGGGCCCCACACAAGTCACTTAACTTCTCTGTCTTTCAGTTTTCCTCTTTGTAGAATAAGGATAACAAAAGTACCTACTGATGAAAATGTTCTATATCTTGATTGTAGGGGAGAGGTTACGCAGGCATATACTACATTTGTCAGAACTCGAACTGAGCACTTAAAATGAGTATATTATATGTAAATTATATCTCAATAAAGTCCATTTGAAAAGTTAAAAGAATTATAGTAACTACTCATGGATGATTGTGAAGATTAAAAGAATTGTAAATACCTCAAAAAGTTCCAGAAAACTTAGTAAGCATTCAATAAATGTTACCTATGTATAATGTAGTTAGTTCTCAATGATGCACACAATCTCTGTCTTGTGATTGCTGCTAGGGAATAAGGGAGGCATCTGAAGACTCAAAGGCATCCTCAGTTAGCCCAGGTGTGGTATTTTCACAGACATTTAATTACAGACCTGGTTTTCACCAGATAAAATACCATAGTTACAATCCATACTTCTTCCACGCTCCAGCCAAGGTTGCATTTAACACTGGGAAAATCGAACCACAGGAATCATCATCAAAGCCAAAGATGTCCAGTGAAACTGGGAGGAATCTGCTTTCGTTAGTCTTCTTCTGGCTTAGACCATGCAGTTTTCCTGGGCCAACTTTGTTTTTTATTTACTCCTTCACTAAGTCTTCCCAGAATGTCTACTGTGCCCTGATGTCCAGAAACTAGGAAGGTGACAGAAAGAAAAGAAACCAGGTTTCCTGGTTACTTCAGCCTCACCAACTTCACAATCTACAGGCATTACAAACATAAACTGATATCAGAGACAGCAGGGTATAATGAAGAGAGCACCTTGCAGGGAGTTGGAAGACCAGTGTCTAGCCTCACCTGACACTAGTCACCCAACCTTGAACTAGTCCTATGCCCATGGTGGGCCTCAGTTTCCCCATGTATAAAATGAAGGGCTAAGGGTACACAATCTCACAGTCTTTGGCCTTACAATGGTAGAAAAACACGGGTAAGATGACTTGTTTCAGGCTCTCAGCCCTATGAGAAATCTCAGGACAAGCCAAGAGAGCCAATTTAAAAGATGAATTGATTTTGTCTTAGATGCAGAATGCAATGAGGGGAGTGTCTCATTGCTGCAACTGCAGCTGCGAAAAGATGACAGTAATAATCTGTAGAGATCCCTTTCAGCTGCTATTACAGGGAACAGGTTCTTTTCCATTTGCTCACCTTGCACTGCCCCACAGGGCCAAACCTGCAAACCAAGGAGTTAGGATGCCAAGGGTGGCTCATTTCTGGCATTTCCTCCCTACTCATTCCTTGGGTCAAGCCCAGGGACTTAGAAGAGCACTGTGAGGTGAAGGGCAAAGCAGGCAAAGATAACATCTGTGCTCTGTTCTCTCTCAAAGTCAGCTACTGCACTGCATGTTTGAAGGGCTATGGGCCTGGGAGATACACAAAACAGTGAATTATGGAAGAGAAACTTATTTAGTTTATGGAAGTACACAAGATAGTTGTACACAATCATCTACTTTTGATTTGGGCATCAGTGTACCAAGGTACTGATGTAATGAATTGAATTGTTCAATTCTACAATTTTTGAGACTCTAGTCTCCCTCATACCCTGTGCTTGCTAAAGAGAGGTGAAACTAACTCAGCCTCTTGCTCTTAAGAGGTTCAAGATGTGGAGAGTGAAGCAGACAGCTAAGTGAATAAGACTATATAAAAGGCTGTACAAAGTGCTATGGAGGCACAAAGTGGGCATGACAACCTCCAGAGAGAAGAGATCAAACTGGGCCTTCAAGGATGAGGGAACAGAAGGTACAAAGACTCAAGATATGAAAAAGCCTGTCAGCCTTCAGGAAAAGGAAGCAGAGTTGGAACACAAGATGGGTGAGTGTAGCAGCCTTGTTTTATTTGGGACCCCACTTCTCAAATGAGACTGCAAAGTCTCCAGAAGAAAAGAGGAGGAAAAAAAAAAAGAGTGCTGAAAAGCTATTGAAGACACAAAAACATGTTACACTTCCTCTTCCACCATTCCCTGGATTCTGCCTTATACACAGACCCCTCTCCCACCCCGTACACAACCCTGACAACTCTGTGAAAGAAAAAAGTCTCTCCACTCTAATGTCAGTAGCTCCAGAATCTCCAGATGATGAGGCAGGGCTTCTACGGGAAAGAGAGAAAAGAGAATCTTAGGTCCCTGGAAAAGGGACATTAAGTACTAACTTACAAAGATCCAACCAACTTCAGTAGCCACGCAATTTAGAAAGGCTGAGGGAGGCTCTTTCCACCACTCAAGCCAAGCCCCAATGCCTTTTTCATTCAAACTCATTTCTAATGAGCCATCCCCATCTTCCGTCTTCCTGAGAATGCTGTGGGAACTGGATTAAGAAAAGCAGCCCACCAAATTTAGAGCTAACTTACTCTTTAAAAATGACTCCAATTATAGTTATAATGTTGCCTCACATTAGACACAAAAATACATTGTAGACGGCGGGCGGCGGGGAAGAGAGAGAGACTCTAGGTTATCTACCAAACAGGATATATTCCTGAGCCTCAGCCATGTTGAGAATCCTTAGATTACTGACACAGGGAGGCAAGGCAAATAAGTCAAGGTAGACAAGGCCAAAGAGGCCATGGAAACAAGATGACATGCAAGATCTGAAGTCTGTAACTACATTGGGAAACAGCTGGATGAGAGAGGGAAACATGGACTTTAGAGTTGGACCTAAACTCTAACCCCAAACCACTACTTACTTGTTTACTTAGTTCACTAAACTTCAGTCTCCTCATCTGTAAATTAGAATAAAAGTACTTACTTTAGAGCATTACAGGGAGTATTAAATGAAATAAAGAATACAAATCACACAGCCTGAGGCACACAGTCCATGTTTCAATAACCTAACTTCCCTTCCCTTTAACCAGGGCCACAATGTTGCACTGTTGCACAATTGGGGAAACGTGGTCCCATTCACAACACAGCCCATGTGAACAACACACCTAGGACTTAGGCAATTTACAGTCCAAGATAGCCAGCCGCTAAGACTTTTGTCTATAAGCAGTATCAGAATCCAGAAAAACACAGCTAAAATACCACCTTAGGTGTACTCAAGACAATGGATGGGTGTGAGAACACATGATCAATTGTAATAAATATGAGACACCAAGGACACAAAGCTCTGAAAACAGAGGCAACTTCACCTCAGCCAAAAAGCTCCTTCTATGTTTTCTACTGGGGACAAAAGCCAATCTCTGGACCCCAATAACCTCAACTCTGTAGAGGAGCCTGTCTTAGTCCATTCAAGCTGCTATGACAAAAATACCATAGACAGGGCAGCTTAAACAACAAACTCATTTTTCACAATTCTAGAGGCTAGGAAGTCCAAGACCAAGGTGCCAGCAGATTCAGTGTCTGGCGAGGGCCCGCTTACTGGTTCATAGATGGCTGTCTCCTTTCTGTGTCCTCCCACTGCAGAAGGGGCAAGAGAGATCTCTAGGGTCTCTTTTCTTTTCTTTTTTTTTTTTTTTTTTTTCCTTTGAGACAGAGTCTTGCACTCTTGCCCAGGCTGGAGTGCAGTGGAGCGATCTCGGCTTACTGCAAGCTCCACCTCCTGGATTCATGCCATTCTCCTGCCTCAGACTCCCAAGTAGCTGGGACTACAGGTGCCCGCCACCACGCCCGGCTGATTTTTTGTAATTTTAATAGAGACGGGGCTTCACTCTGTTAACCCTGATGGTCTCGATCTCCTGACCTCGTGATCCACCCGCCTCAGCCTCCCAAAGTGCTGGGATTACAGGCGTGAGCCACCACACCCAGCCCTCTGGGGTCTCTTTTCTAAGGGCACTAATTCCATTCAAGAGGGCTCTGTCCTAATGACCTAATCACCCACCAAAGGCCCTGTGTCTGTTGTACCAAACCCTGTTAACTTCCATAGGGAAGGCAGCAGGTTTAAGAGGCCAAAGAAGAGACCTAGAGCCAGCAAACAAGACACAGGGTTTTATTAGGGGCTTACATACACGGAAGAGAGTCCAGTGGTGGTGGGCTGGACAAGAGAACTGCCTTATGTACAGATATGGTCCAGTAGTGGCGGGCTGAACAAGGTATCTGCCTTACATACAGTCCAGTCGCAGCAGGCTGGACAGGAAAACCACACAGCCCAGGAGCAACAGGCCGGGCAGGAAAATCGCAACCGCTTGTAAACAGCGTGCAATTTACATAGCATTTTCACTTAACACCCTCCTCTTAATGGCCTCATCTGGCAGCCTTCATTCAACTCAAAACCCAGGGCCTCAATCCCCTGTATGGCCCGTGTTCCACAGGGTAGGCTAGGGCTCAGATATTACTTATAGAAAAGGAACGAAATCTCTGGATTGGCCACTCCCAGATTCCCTAGCTTGGAACATGCATTCAGGTGTGTCTGCCATACAGTGTCATTCTAAGGGAATGCTTGTTATTGCTCTCAGGTCCATTTACCCTACAACCTCCTAATACCATCACATTAGGGGTTAGGATTTTAATGTATGAAATGTAGAGGGACACAAACATTCAGTCTATAGCAGATCCCCATTTATCATGGATCTGGTAAGTGTGAAGCCAGGGATAAGAACACTGCAGGTTTTCATCTGAGGTCCATGTCCTGTCGGCTTGACAGATGGACCAAACACTCAAGGGCAGGCAGTTTTTCTAAAGGTGTTAAGTCCTATCACATGGGACCCAAAAAACTGAGTCCAAGATCTAGGGTGAACTTAGCACCCTGGTTACCAAGGAGTGACATCACTACTCCTTACTGAGTTTATCCAGGGCAGGTAAGGACCACGTCTTATTGTTTTTTATGTTCCCAGAACCTAGCACACTGCATGATATAACCCAGCAGTTGTAAATGATTGCTGAATAAATGAACTGACATGGACATGGCTTTATCCTTATTGCCTGGCCTGTAAGCCTTTGCATACTCTTCCAGCTGCCTAGCATTACCTTTCTTAACCCTTACTTATTTTCTCTCAATTTTCAGATCCAACTTAAATGTCACCTCCTCAGCTAATGTCAGGTCTTTCCTAACACCCTAAACAATATTAAGTTCCTCTGATATATGCACCCTCCCATCACATCCCTTATTTGCACTTCATGACATTCATCAGACTTCATTATGATTATTTTGTTCATTTTTGCCTTCCCTACTACACTGCAAGCTCTAGGAGAGCAGGAACCATATCTATCTTGTTCATTATTCTGATTAGCAGGGCCTAGTACAGTACCTGGCAGAGAGGCAGTGTCCTGTATGTTAAAAGAATGATTGAATACATGAATGAATGACAGAGCTCCAGCCCAAAATGATTCTGGAGTAAATGGAGATTCAAAACTGTCTGCTCGGCCCTAAGGTAGCCACAGTTACTTTTTTACTAGAACCTTAATAGAGCCTCCAAATGCCCATGCATGGAAGATGACAGCAGATCTGGCAAACAATAGAATGAAAAACAATTTGTATGATAGGAAGTAGGAAGAGATAAAATGGGATGAAGCAGGAACCCTAATTCTGAATGCCTTGTACGCCAAGCTAAGAAATATGGTTGATTAACCTGCAGGACAGCCACTATCTGACTTGGGTTCACTAAGGTCACATGGACCTGTACAGTAGGCACCATCCTGCTACACTGAGCTCCCTTTGTTGCCCACAGCCTGATAGGCCTTATTCCCCTCCCTTCATGTTTGCCCCCATTTTCCTGAGCTATATGAGATAATTCAATAATACAAGTGTCCCCAAAGATAGCATGGTTAAATTATCCTAGCCCAATTTTACTATAGAAAGTTATAAACAGGGAAGCTGTCATTTTCGAAAGACAAAGTCAGAAGGCCTGGATTTTAGTCTTGCCAGCTGTGTAACATTAGGTTACTAAGTCAATCTTCCTGAGTTTTAGTCATCTCCTCTGTAAAATGAGAATATCTATCTCACAAGGTTCAGGGAAGATTGTGGTAAACACATGCAAAGTGCCTAGTACAGTGCCTTACATATAGTGAAGGTCAAATACATGTTTGGGTTTTTTTTCAATCCCATCCAGGGCAAACTGGAATTACTTCCTCCTAAATGCTAAGCATTTCCACTTGACCTGATGCAGCACAGACACCCATGAGGCCAGAGGCTACTCATATATATACACCTGGGCCTGCATTACCTCCTAAAAGGGGATGGGCAGATTGCCCTGTTTCCATTCTCTGTCCAGTTGTCCGGGCACTGAAGAAATTACCAGCAAGCAGGCTGCTGGAAGTAGAAAGGTGGGGGAAGAGCTGAGGCTCTCCCAGAACTTCAGATCTATTAATAGACCAGTCACGTGTCCAGAGAGGCACAGGACTGTTGTCTGTAAACTTGGTAACCTGTGGCCCGAGACATGCAATTTAGGACTGGGTTGAATTTCAGACCAACGATTGCAGAACGGGGTCCACTCTGAACAAAAAATGCAGGAGTAAAGCAAAGCGATCAGCGGTAAGGTGTTGACCCTTCCCTCGCCCTCCTCAACCCTTCTAACTTTGTGTTACAGTATTCTCTAGGCTTGTTTCTACATGTGAAACTCAAGAAGACTAGGCCAGATGACCCCAATATCTTGATGAACTTGCTCACAAATCTTCTCAAAGTCCCAGCTCTGATTTATAAGCCCAAGTCTAAAGCACTGTGTTCTAGAAACAAAAAGACAGGGATCCCAGGTGTACTACCCTTGGCACTAGCTTCAGCCACTCCACCAGGAGAGAGGCAATAATAAACTGGCAACAAGCCATTCCAATCTCTCAAAATCCTGGCACCTCCAGCCTCAGAATGCCATTATCTCATAGCATACAGCAAGGGGCTCCGTAAATGCAAGCAAATGACTTCATGGAACCAGAATGTGGGGTACTAACTGCCAGTTCCCACAGCTCCTTAACACACAAATCTAGAGCAGAAGTTCACCTGCTTTAACATAAAAAGGAAGTAAAAAAGGACCTGTATCTCCTGCCTTTCCCAATCTTAGCATACCATCATAGGAAAAGCAAAGCAGGACATCTGTAGAAAATTTAACAAGAATCATCGGCCAGATGTATGCCTGTAATCCCAGCACTTTGGGAGGCTGAGGCGAGCAGATCACTTGAGATCAGGAGTTCGAGACCAACCTGGCCAACATGGTGAAACCCTGTCCTGGGCGTTGTGGCACGCACCTGTAATCCCAGCTACTTTTTGGGAGGCTGAGGCAGGAGAATTGCTTGAACCCAGTAGGCGGAGGCTGCAGTGAGCCGAGATTGCTCCAATGTGCTCCAGCCTGGGCTACAGAGTGAGTGAGAGTCTGTCTCGAGGAAAAAGAAAAAGAAAAGAAAATTTAACAAGAATCATAAAGTTGTTAGGTGGCAGATAGAAGGTTTAAATACAGTTCTACATTTGTGTATGAATGTATGAAATTTTCTGTGGGTGTATGGTCTTTTCTTTACTCCATCAACAAGCCCCTTGAGGAAGACTCAAGAGATGCCTTCCAGAATCCCAGGAAAGATGTTAGACTGCCTTGTGACACCAGGAAGGGATTCCTGTCAGCATTCTGGGGCTCTATAAGATGCATACACATGCACACACGCGCACACACACACACATCCCCGGGCTAAACTACAAAATCCACAGAATAAAGATACGCCAAGTGAGTTTAAAAAACAGAATAGCAGCCGAGCGTTGTGGCTCACATCTGTAATCCCAGCACTTTGGGAGGCCGAGGTGGGTGGATCACCTGAGGTCAGGAGTTCAAGACCAGCCTGGCCAACACGGTGAAACTTCGTCTCCACTAAAAATACAAAAAATTAACTGGGTGTGGTGGCACACACCTGCAGTCCCAGCTACTCAGGAGGCTGAAGCAGGAGAATCACGTGAACCTGAGTGGCAGAGGTTGCACTGAGCCGAGATTGCACCACTGCACTCCAGCCTGGGCGACAAAGTGAGACTCTGTCTCAAAAAAAAAAAAAAAATGGACTGTTACGCAGGATTACATCTGTATTAACATATCGAAAGAAAAAATATGTCCTTCCTTAGGGAGATCAGTCAACCATGAAAGCTGAGAAAAAGCAGAGTAACAGACACATATTGGCAGTACCCATCATTCTTTCATTCCACAAAAGGTTTACTAAGCACTTACTTTATTTCAGGCACAAATCTAGGCCCTGGGAATAGGGTGATCTTAACACCCACAAGGGGAGAAGAAGCCAACAAAGTTTAAATACTTCATTTGCTTTCCCATGACCTTTCTATCTGTATTGCAAGACAAATGCATCAGGCTATTGTAGCTGCTATATCCACAGGGTTCTTAGTTGCAAGAACAACTTAGATTGCAAATTTAGCAACCCAGCTGATTTTGGCTAGTTTGAGGAGAAAAAGAACTTATCAAAAGAGTAACTCAGACTTACAAGGAGAAGTGAAAAACCAGGGATTGATGCCGAGAACAACGCCTAAAACTAAGTAGCAGAACTAATCTGATCAGGATGCCTCTGCTTCCACTGCCAACCTCCACTATCTCTAGCCACTGTAATATAACCGGCCCTGCTGCCCCAGGAACTCAATTTGCTACCTGCACCACCATCACTGCACCCTGCTTCTTTGCATCACAGCTCTTCAGAGTCAAAGTCCATGATGAGTGGCTAAGACCAAAAGAGCCTAGGGCAAACTGCGAAAAAGGTTACAAGTAAGTAGCTGGCATTTTAGGTAAAGAAATTCCTTAAACACAGGAAAGGGTAATAAATATTCACTTCAGCCACTTTGGCATTATACACAAAACACTGGATTCACCTAATGAATGTCCCTAATTCAGACCCTATGTTCAATATAACCTTCGTGATTAGGATGTTTGTGTTCCATGGTGCCATCCAGAGGTAGAAAATGTACAGGTCATTAACAACATAGGGCATCCAGTATATGTGACAGTTCTACTTCCTGAGGTAGACTTAAAAATTGGCATTGTAGTTTTATAAGAACTTAATATAAGTCTGCTCAAAGATAAATAAAGGTTAATATGAGTCTGCTCAAAGATAAATATTCTCAGTGAACTGTGAACTGACCAAATCTGAACCGCCAGAAAGTTAACTAAAAATTAACATTCATTGAGCTCTTCATATGTGCTAGATAGTATGCCAAGCACTTAATATGGATTAACTAATTTTTCATAGCAACCTTAAAAGTTAGATGCCATTCTCCCTATTTAACATAAGAGGAAACTGAGACACAAAGTGGTTAAATGAACTTGCCTAGGAATACACAGCTTATAATAGGAGGAGCCCAGAATTTGAGCCCAGACTGTATGACTCCATACTTAAGCATCTGTCAACTCCCTAAAGTAAATCCCTACCTATTGAGGCCTCTAAGGTGGTAGCTCTCCTCACTGGAGTGGTTCTGGTGGGTTACCTATTGGCAGGAAGACATAGTCCTCTATCCTCCATCCTAAGGTTAAATTCTTGATTTAATTAGCTGCAGATACAAAATTCTATTGGAAGAGAGATGACTGTCCACACAGGATAAAAACAGATAAAGCATCTGAGTAAGGCTTTGCTTAGCCCACAGATTCTCTAATTGCAGCTGCTGGCAGTACTATCCACACAAAGTATTTGCTGGACTTAAAGCTCAATTATTATGATACTACAAACTTTTATTTATATTCAGGGATTATGCCTACATTCAGAATTTGAAAGAATTTACACAAACAGTATGTATTAAGACAGTGGTCTCCAAAGTGGAATGCATAAGACTTTCCAGTGAAGCACAAAAAGAAAAATTAAAACTCTTATTTTATAATTGTTTTTAATCTTAAAATATAAGAATT
Source organism: Homo sapiens (assembly GCF_000001405.40). Classification (NCBI taxonomy): domain Eukaryota; kingdom Metazoa; phylum Chordata; class Mammalia; order Primates; family Hominidae; genus Homo; species Homo sapiens. Next base: position 3,926,386 of record NC_000011.10, on the reverse strand, counting down.
ATGCTTTACCAATGTTAACTGTACTGACTAACAATGGTGCCCTCTCTGGGTCTGTATGTCATGTATTTCGGTATCGCTTACCACATATGAGTTTTCCTGAGAATAGAGATGGGAGCTCCCCAGTGTGCAAGGAAGAACATCAGTATCTGCAGTCACTCATTTGCTTTCAGGGTACTTATAAATTATGGTTTATATTTTTTTCTCAACTAAATCAAACTTTACCACACAAATGATCTTAAGGGATGTTTGCAAATAAATAAATGAATATGAAAAACAACCCCCATAGGTTAAAGATAATATTAAAATTACAAACAAAAATAAATAGCAAGTAACAAAGCTGACCCTTCTATACCTAATATGAGCTCTCTGAGAGCTATATTACAGGACGAAAACAATCTAATTGGTTCAAACAATAAGTTGGCAAAAAAATTCAAAATTATCAAAAGATACTTAGAATACTGTATGGATTTAAATTTATTATTAACAATAAACTAAATCTTTACCGGGCCTGATATATTAAATCAGATGTCAGCAAAACATTTCATGTAAAGGGCCAGACAGTTAATATTTTACAGCCTCTATTATAACTAATTAACTCTGCCACTGTAGTTTAAAAGTAGCCACAATTACATTACATTGTTATTGATTACATTAATCAAATGAATGTGGCTTTGTTCCAATAAAACTTTATTTATACAAGCAGGCATAATTTGTTGACCATTATATTAAATAATGATAAAATAAAGCTATCATGATTAAAAACCATCTAAAAATTATATCTGAAGATAAACTTTTATAATTTTTCTGTAGTGTTTAAAGTCCAAAGATATTCAATCCAGTGCTAAGAAGTCTCTTTATACATGTCCTGCTTAATAATGAAAAACAGGAACATATTATTGGTAAAACATTTATTCTTTCTTATTGCAGTAATAAAGTGGATTAAATAGTACAAAGAAAGCAATATTTTGTTTGTATTGTTTGTTTGTTTGTTTTGAGATGGAGTCTCACTCTGTCGCCAGGCTGGAGTGCAGTGGCACAATCTTGGCTTACTGAAACCTCCGCCTCCCAGGTTTAAGCGATTCTCCTGCATCAGCCTCCTGAGTAGCTGGGACTACAGGCGTGCGCCACCATGCCCAGCTAATTTTTATAGTTTTTGTAGAGACAGGGTGTCACCATGTTGGCCAGGATGGTTTCGATCTATTGACCTTGTGATCCACCTGCATCGGCCTCCCAAAGTGCTGGGATTACAGGCGTGAGCCACCGCAGCCAGCTGGAAAGCAATATTTTTAAAACTGCATTCCTTTGTCAGCAAATACTGTTAGAAAATATATATTAAATATTGTTTAAGATTTGAAAAACAAATATTATTATAAATTATGGAGCATGAGGTATTTTCTAGAAAGTAAGATACAAGTTTTCTTTCATGTGCCAGTTAAGGGTATTTGCTATGTTCTGTTAAATTCTGAAATAAAAAAGGAACTGTCTTTCAAGGGACAGTAAAGGAAAAATGTACAAGAGAAGAAATATCCTCCATAGCATAAGACTTTCTTAGTTGAAATAAGATTTTTTTAAAATGATAGAAAATAAAGTTTTATTTTAAAAATACTTAAGTGTAACCACGAAAAAGTAGCTGCTTCAACTGGAATTTTAAAAGGATTATGGGTAAGATTAAAGAAATAGCACTGCACATGAAATTCTTTCCTGAATTGTTCATAAGCAAGCTATTACAGCAAAGAAATTAAAGCTGGAAGTGTTGAGTACTACAAGGCTTCATTGAAATTGTTTATTTTATAAAAATAAGACCTTTAAAATACAGTAATACTATTGACTATTGCATCAAAAATACATCAAATACTTAGGGGGGAAAAAAACTAATAAAAGATATATAAAGCCAGGCACAGTGGCTCACGCCTGTAATCTCAGCACTTTGGGAGACCAAGGCAGGTGGATCACGAGGTCAGGAGATCGAGACCATCCTAGCTAACATGGTGAAACCCCGCCTCTGCTAAAAATACAAAAAATTAGCCGGGCGTGGTGGTGGGCGCCTGTAGTCCCAGCTACTTGGAAGGCTGAGGCAGGAGAATGGTGTGAACCCGGGAGGCAGAGCTTGCAGTGAGCCGAGATTGCGCCACTGCACTCCAGACTGGGTGACAGAGGGAGACTCCATCTCAAAAAAAAAAAAAGAAAAGAAAAAAAAAGATATATAAGACCACTACAAGACAACTTACAGACTTACAGAAAAAAAAAAATAATTTTAAAGTTCTAAATAGGCCAGGCATGGTGGCTCAAGCCTGTGGCAGGAAAATCACTTGAGCCCAGAAGTTCAAGACCAGCCTGGGCAACATAGTGAGACCCTGACTCTAATTTAAAAAATAAATAAATAAATAAATAAACTGAATAAATGGAAGAACATATCATGTTCATGAGTTGAAAGACTACATATAGTTTGTCAGTTCTCCCAATCTATAGATTTAATGCAAAGCCAATCAAAATCCCAACAGGGGTTTTTCTTAGCAGAAGTTGACAAACCAGTTCTAAAATTCACATAGAAATACCAAGGACAGCCAAGCACTGCTGAAGAACAACAACCTGATAAACTTAAACTTCCAAATATCAAGAATAATTAAAATAAAAATTAGCACAGTGTGGTACTACTGCAGGATACAAAAATGACAATTAGAATAGAGAGTGTGGAAACAGACCCACAAATATCTGCCTTATGAGAAAGGTAACACTTATGGTACAGTAGGAAAGAATGACCTTTTTTTTTTTTTTTTTGAGATAGGGTCTCACTCTGTCGCCTGGGCTGGAGTACAGTGGCACGATCTCAGCCCACTGCAACCTCCGCCTCCCAGCTTCAAGCAATTCTCATGCCTCAGCCTCCCAAGTAGCTGGGATTACAGGCGTACACCACCATGCACAGATGATTTTTGTATTTTTAGTAGAGACAGAGTTTCATCATGTTGCCCAGGCTGGTCTCAAACTCCTGGCCTCAAGTGATCCACCTGCTTCAACCTCCCATAGTGCTGGGATTACAGCCATGAGCCACTGCGCTCGGCCCAGGAATGATCTTTTCAATAAATGGTGTTGGATCAATTGGTTATACACAGAAGGAAAAAAATGTACCTAGAATCATTACTTCACACCATACACAAAAATATCAATTTCAGATGGATTGCAGATCTAACGGGAAAGGTGAAACAATAAAACTTTTAGATAAAAAAAATTATGGGGAAATCATTATGAACTTGGAATAGGCAAAGAGTGTTTGTTTTTTTTTTTTTTTTGAGACGGAGTCTCGCTCTGTCTCCCAGGCTGGAGTGCAGTGGCGCCGATCTCTGCTCACTGCAAGCTCCGCCTCCCGGGTTCACACCATTCTCCTGCCTCAGCCTCCCGAGTAGCTGGGACCACAGGCGCCCGCTACCATGCCTGGCTAATTTTTTGTATTTTTAGTAGAGATGGGGTTTCACCATGTTAACCAGGATGGTCTCGATCTCCTGACCTCAGGTGATCCGCCCGCCTCAGCCTCCCAAAGTGCTGGGAATACAGGCATGAGCCACCGCACCTGGCCTGCAAAGAGTTATTTTTTTTTTTATTACTCATTTTTTTTTTCTTTAGGAAAGAAGCAGACCCAGTTAAGGAAGAAGAATCCTTAAAGGAGGTTTTCCTGCCCAGGGACTGAACGCTGTCACAGAGTGTCTTCCAATCACCAGCTACCGAGCAAGCTGGAATGGAAAGGGTGCCTCACCACGTTTGCTTTCCCTCCCTTTGTGAAGCAGGCAGAATACTAAGCACTTTCCAGATGGGATCCCAGGAGGCCAGATTTCTTACAGGGCACAAAAAGGGATAAGGACACATGGAGGAAAAGGTTGATAAACTGAGAAAAGATATTCATAATACACATATAAGACAAAGGACTTATATCCAGCATACATAAAGAACGCCTACAAATCAGTAAGAAAAAGATAGCCCAATGGAAAACTGGGCAAAAAGGCTTGAACAAATAATAAAATCCAGATAATCACCAAAATAATAAATCCAGATATTAAATACACATATACATATCTATATGTCTATATAGATATTCATACATATGTCAAAAGATGCTCTATACATTAGTCACTGGGGAAAAACAAATTAAACCACAATGTGATAACAGTGGTGTTAGCACTCACTAGAATGGCTAAAATAAAAAAGGGAAATACTAGATGTTGAAAAGAAGGTCAGACAACTAGAATTCTCATATTCTGCTTGTAGGAATGTATATTAATATCTATAATTGCATAACAAATTACCCCCAAAATTTAGTTGCTTAAAACAATAAACATTATTTCATACAGTTTCTGAGGGTTACGAATCAAGGAAGTGGCTTAACTGAGTGGCTATGGCTCTGGTCTCTTAGGTTTTAAAAGGCCAATAGCCATCTGATGGTTTGACTGGGGCTGGAGGATTTGCTTTCATGGTGGCTCACTCACATTCCCAGCAAGTCCATGCTGATTGTTGTCAGGAAACACTAGTTCTCCACATGGCCTTTTCCATATGCTTCTTGAGTGTCCTCACAATATATTGATGGGACTTCCGCAGAGTGAATAATTTAAGAGACAGAGAGAAAGCAAAAAGGAAACTGTAGTGCCTTTTATGACCTGATTTCTGAAGTTGTACACTATCATGTTCACTTTATTCTATTTGTTAGAATAGAAAGTGAGGTCCAGCTCAAGGGGAGAGGAATTAGACTCCACCCCTTGATGGAAAGAGTATCAAAGAATTTGTGGACATATTTTAAAACCAAGTATATCCAGTTTGGCAAAGAATGTGACAGTACCCACTGTGGAGCACACACATCTTACCAAGGCCTCCAGTGTGCTAATGCTGTCTGGTTAGCATGATGTTGTCAACGTAATATATCATGGTGATGTTCTATGGCCAGATGGTCCAGGTATCTTTTGACTATATTATGACAAACAGTATAAGAGTAGAAGTGTTTACATATCCCTAGGCAAAACTATAAAGGAATACTGATATGTTCCCCATGAATACAAATAGTTTTTAATCCTTTTTTCTGACTGAAACAGAAAATAATGCGTTTGCCAAATCAATGGCCAAATATCGAAGTATAACCTGCTCTAGCAAAGATATCAAATCCATCATGGCAGCCACATTTGGGGATGCTAAATCAAAATTACTGAAGTCCAGTCATTCTCTGATCAATCCAGTTTTACAGGGGCAGACTAATGAATTAAATATAGATAGGATAGAGACCACCACCTTGCATCTTAAGATACTTAAGGGTAGGTCGGGTGCAGTGGCTCACGTCTGTAATCCCAGCACTTTGGGAAGCCAAGGTGGGCAGATTACCTGAGGTCAGGAGTTCAAAACCAGCCTGGTCAACATGGTGAAACCCCGTCTCTACTAAAAATACAAAAATTAGCCATGCGTAGTGGCGGGTGCCTATAATGCCAGCTACTTGGGAGGCTGAGGCAGGAGAATCACTTGAACCCAGAAGGTGGAGGCTGTAGTGAGCCAAGACTGCACCATTTCACTCCAGCCTGGGAAACAGAACAAGGCTCCATCTCAAAAAAAAAATTAAAAAAAATAAAAAAAAAAAGATACTTCAGGGTAGCACTACTCTCCACCATCTGTCCCAGAAGGTGTTATTGGGTTTGGTTCACTATCTTGGCCAGGAGAGCAGAAGGTAGTTTCCAAGGCTTCCACTTAGCCTTCCCACTATGACACCTCTTATTCAACAGGTCAAGTATCCAGTATGGGTGCTATCTTTAACTGCTGAGTTTGTCAATCCCAATTATACACTTGGGGACAGAGAAAATGACCAGTTGGTAGGTCTGTGGGATAATTCTACTTCAAAAAAAGTATCACAGAAAAGTAACAAGATAAATATATATATTAAAATCATACTAAGTGAAAGAAACCAGACATGATTCCATTTATATGAAATGTTCAGAATAGGCAAATTCATGGAGACAGAAAGTAGACTAATGATTGCCAGAGGATAGAGAATAGGGAGTGTGACTGCTTAATGGGTGCAGTGTTTCTTTTTAGGGTGATGAAAATGTTCTGAAATTAGATAGTGGTAACGGTTACACAAAATTGTTGAAAACCACCAAATTGGGCGGGGCACAATGACTCATGCCTGTAATCACAGCACTTTAGGAGGCTGAGGCAGAAAGACTGCTTGAAGGCAGGACTTTGAAACCAGTCTGGGTAATATGGCAAGACCCCATCTCTACCAAAAAAAAAAAATTGTACACTTCAAAATAATAAGTTTTATGGAATGTGAATTTTTTTTTTAAGAAACAGGGGTCTTGCTCTGCTACTCAGGCTAGAGTACACTGGCGCAATCATAGCTTACTGCAGCCTCAAACTCCTGGGTTCAAGCAATCCTCTCACCTTAGCCTCCTGAGTAGAAAGGGCTAAAGGGGCATGCCACCATGCCAGACTAATTTTTTAATTTTTTGTGCAGACTGATTCTTGCTATGTTGTCCAGGCTGGTCTTGAACCCTTGGACTAAAGGGATCCTCCCACTTCAGCATCCCAAGTAGCAGGGATTACAGGCCTGTACCACCACCAAACTGTTATGTGATTTTTACTTCAATTTTTTAAAAAATCGAATGGTTGTTGGCTGCCTGGTAAACTGGATAGTACGTGAGGGCAGCTTTCATCCTCACTCAATTTATAATACAGAATCCATCCAGCTCACAGCTTTATACACCGTACCATATAGAGCCCCTGCCAAATGCTTAGGATACGAATATATTTCATCACTTACATTAACCAACACATTATAAAGCAACTTCTTCCTGTTCTCTATGAGTCACTATTTAAATTTGAAAGACTCATGGCTTCTAAAAAAAAAACTCAGTTTCAGGCTGGGCATGGTGGCTCACACCTGTAATCCCAGCACTTTGGGAGGCAGAGGCAGGTGGATCACCTGAGGTCAGGAGTTCGAGACCAGCCTGGCCAAGATGGTGAAACCCCGTCTCTACTAAAAATACAAAATTAGCTGGACATGGTGGCGCATGCCTGTAATCCCAGCTACTCGGGAGGCTGAGGCAGGAGAATCACTTGAACCCGGGAGGCAGAGGTTGCAGTAAGCCGAGATCGCACCATTGCACTCCAGCCTGGGCAGTAAGAGCGAAACTCCATCTCAAAAAAACACAGTTTGGTGTTGGGGCTAAGAAAAGTCCTTGGCATCTTCAGCCCCAGACAATGACTGGCTCTGCTACTTACCTCCCTCTCCCTGATTAGAAGGAAAATACAATCTCTATTATAAAATGTCAGAAAGATGCAAAGAAAGGATTCAAGCACTATCCCACCTCAAGCAAATATTTAATGGATAAACTGTCTAGCAGTTTTCAAATTATGCTCTATAGACTCCTCCTCTCCTTCCCTCCCCTGTCCAAGTCTCCTGGCAATATCTACTTCAAGTAGAATTCTACTTTTGTTGAGTTTTAAATATTGGAAACACACTTTTTTTAACAAAAATGGCTTAATTATGTAGTAAACATCTACGAATTTTGTTGACTTAAAACTATTTCCCTACCTCCCAAACCTACCTTTCTGTAAATGTACCTTGATCTTCTTCCCTTAAGGAACCACCTCTTTCCTGTTCTCGATCCACATGGTTCCAGGGAAGCTGACCCTGACCCCTGGGTTCCATGAGTAGAATGGAACTCTGTTGGCCAATTAAAGGCCAGTATTCTCCTGGCCACAGTGATTACTTTAGGATGGGCATAGGACCCAAGCCAAAATCATACCCAGGACCACCAGCACCATCAGGAAAGAGAGGTATTATGTTGTATCTTTCTTTCTTTCTTTCTTTCTTTCTTTTTTTTTTTGAGACAGTGTCTGACTGTCTCCCAGGCTGGAGTGCAGTGGTCTGATCTTGGCTCACTGCAGCCTTGACCTCCCAGGCTCAAGCTCAGTCTCCTGAGTAGCTAGGACTACAGGTACAAGTCTCCTGAGTAGCTAGGACTACAGGTACAAGCCACCACGCCCAGCTAATTTTTGTATTTTTTGTAGAGATGCGATTTCCTCATGTTACCCAGGCTGGTCTCAAACTCCTGGGCTCAAGTGATCCACCTGCCTTGGCCTCCCAAAATGCTAGAATTATAGGCTTGAACCAACATGCCAGGCCTGTTGTATCTTTCAATAAGCTGTTAGGATGCATACCCAAATCTGATATCTTTCTTTGCCACTACATGGGAGAAAGCCTGCCTAAGAATGACACCAGTACAAAGAAAAGCAGAGCCAAAGGGGGAGAGAGTGAGTCCTAATGACATAATTTACCTCCCTGTGTCTAGCTGTGTCTAAAAGTAGAACTACTTCTAGGCTTTCTAGTTACTCAGTCAATAAAGTCCCTCTCTTGGTTAAGTCTGTCTGAATTGTATTTCCGTCACCTGCAAAAGAAAGAGTCACAACAAATGCAAAATTATTTGAATAAAAAATTGAAAATCAACTATCTAGTCAGTAAGCCTCAAACCTTTTCTGAGAATCACAGTCACGAAAGAATCTTTTTAAAAACTCCCAGAAAACTTAGTCTTCGCCTTGATTCTCTATTACATTCCCAAATCTCATTTTATGGTTTCCAAATCACTTTTCCACTGATAACCTCAGCTCATCTTCAAAAACAAAACAAGGCTGGGTACGGTGGCTCACACCTGCAGTCCCAACACTTTGAGAGGCCAAGGCAGGTGATCGTTTGAGTCCAGGAGTTCAACACCAGCCTGGGCAACATGGCAAAATCCTGTCTCTACAAAAAATGCAAAAATTATCCAGACATGGTGGCATGCGCCTGTAGTCCCAGCTACTTGAGAAGCTGAGGTGGGAGGATCGTTTGAACCCAGGAGGTAAAGGTTGCAGTGAACCAAGATCGTGTCACTGCACTCCAGCCTGGCCGACAGAGCCAGACCCTGTCTCAAAAAAAAAAAAAAAAACAGAAACCCTGTGAAGTCAGCATTCACCTTTTGTAATCAAAGACATTAAGGTTCAGAGAGAAGTGACGAGTCTTAAGTCATCCAACTTGAAATCAAGGCCTCTGTCTCCATATGATCTTCTCACTAATCATTACTGTTTTTGCACAGTTCTCAGGAAGCCATACCCAGGGCTGGGAACCTGCCTGGGCTCAGTACAGACTTGCTACCTGACTACATTGTTCCCCTCACCCCTGCCAGCTGTGCCTTGTTTCAATTAGGCCTCACCCTGCTCCTCACAGGCTGAGATACAGACAAGCCAATAGCAGAGCATCTCACTACGCGTACATAAGGGTGTGTCACTCAACTGACTGGCATCCCTGAAAGTCACTGGCCTTACTCTCAAAGTTGCCCCTAAACCTATCAAATGCACATCAGTGGATCAGATCCGAGGAGGAGGAAATGTCTTCTAAAATGCCCCTATTGAAAGAAGCTTCAGCCAACAGCCACTAAAACATTGCCAAACCACCTTTCCATAGCTATTGGGATTTAAAGATTTAAAAATCATTACTGGCTGGGAGTGGTGGCTCACGCCTGTAATCCCAGCACTTTGGGAGGCCAAGGTGGACAGATCACCTGAGGTCAGGAGTTCGAGAACAGCCTGGCCAACATGGCGAAACCCCGTCTCTACTAAAAATACAAAAAAATGGCCGGGCGCAGTGGCTCACACCTGTAATCCCAGCACTTTGGGAGGCTGAGGCAGGCAGATCACCTGAGGTCAAGAGTTCCAGACCAGCCTGGTCAACACAGTGAAACCCCATCTCTACTAAAAATACAAAAATTAGCTGGGTGTGGTGGCAGGCACCTGTAATCCCAGCTACTCGGGAGGCTGAGGCAGGAGAATCACTTGAACCCAGGAGGCAGAGGTTGCAGTGAGCCGAGATCACCCCATTTACACTCCACCCTGGGGGACAAGAGTGAGACTTCGTCAAAAAAAAAAAAAAAAAAATTGGGTGTGGTGGCACATGCTTGTAGTCCTAGCTACTCAGGAGGCTGAGACAGGAGAATCGCTTGAACCCAGGTGGCAGAGGTTGGCAGTGAGCCAAGATCACGCCACTGCACTCCAGCCTGGGCAACAAAGCGAGACTCTGTCTCAATTAAAAAAAAAAAAACATTACTGACTGGATTGGCACACATTCAAGGGTTTAAAGTTCAAGAAATTCACACTACACCCAAAAGTTAACTCAAAGTGGATCAATGACCTAAATATAAGTGCTAAACCATAAAACTCTTTGAGGTAAAACATAGGAGCAAACCCATAAAACTGAGGAGTAAATCTTCATAACCTTGGCTTTGAAAACAGATTTTTTATTTTTTAATCTTATTTATTTACTTATTTATTTTGAGATGTATCACCCTGTGGGCCCAGGCTGGAGTGCAGTGGCACAATCTCAGCTCACTGCAACCTCTGCTTCCTGGGTTAAAGTGACTCTCCTGCCTCAGCTCCCAAGTAGCTGGGATTACAGGCATGCAGCACGAAACCTGGCTAATTCTTTTTGTATTTTTAGTAGAGACAGAGTTTTGCCATGTTGGCCAGGCTGGTCCCAAACTCCTGACCTGAAGTGATCTGCCCACCTCAGCCTCCCAAAGTTCTGGGATTACACATGTGAGCCACCATGCTGGTCAAACTTTTTTAGATACAACACAAAAGCACAAACAACAACAACAAAAGATAAATTAAAACCTATAAAAATTAAAAACTAGGCCGGGCACGGTGGCTCATGCCTATAATCCCAGCACTTTGGGAGGCTGAGGCATGTGGATCACAAGGTCAGGAGATCGAGACCATCCTGGCTAACACCGTGAAACCCCGTCTCTACTAAAAATACAAAAAATTAGCCAGGCGTGTTGGTGGGCGCCTGTAGTCCCAGCTACTCGGGAGTCTGAGGCAGGAGAATGGCGTGAACCCGGGAGGCGGAGCTTGCAGTGAGCCGAGATGGCACCACTGCACTCCAGCCTGGGCGACAGAGCAAGGCTCCGTCTCAAAAAAAAAAAAAAATTAAAAACTAGACTGGATACAGTGGCTCAGGCCTATTAATCCCAACACTCTGCAAGGCTGAGGCAGGTGTATTGCTTGAGCCCGGGAATTCGAGATGCACCTGGGCAACATAGCAAAATCTCGTCTCTAAAAAATAAAAATAAATTTAAAGCTACAGTGTATCAAAAGACATTATCAAGAAAGTGAAAAATCAACCTATAGAATGGGAGAAAATATTTGCAAATCATACATCTCATTAAGGGTCTAGTATTCAGAATATATAAGGAATTTTCATAACTCAACAACAAAAAACAACCTAATTTTAAATGGACAAAGGACTTAAATACACATTCTCCAAAGAAGACATACAAATGGCCAATAAGCACATGAGAAGATGATCAACATCATTAGTCACTAGGGAAACACAAATCAAACCACAACGAGATAACATGTCACACCCACTAGGATGGTTGTAATTAAAAACAAAACCAAAAAGGAAAAAAAAAAGAAGTACTGGCAAAGATGTGGAAAAATTGGAACCCCTTATACACTGCTGATGGGAATGTAAAATGGTATAGCTGCTATGGAAAACAGTTTGGTGGTTCCTCAAAAACTTAAACATAAAGCTACCATACAATTCTACAATTCCACTCCTATGATACACTCCCAAAAATTGAAAACAGGCCAGGGGCGGTAGCTCACGCCTGTAGTCCCAGCACTTTGGGAGGCCGAGGCGGGCGGATCACGAGGTCAGGAGATTGAGACCATCCTGGCCAATATGGTGAAACCCCATCTCCACTAAAAATACAAAAATCAGCCGGGCGTGGCGGTGCACACCTGTAATTCCAGCTACTCGGGAGGCTGAGACAGGAGAATTGTTTGAACCCAAGAGGCAGAGATTGCAGTGAGCTGAGACTGCGCCACTGTACTCCAGCCTGGCGACAGAGTGAGACTCCGTCTCAAAAAATATAAAAAAATTGAAAACAGGTACTGGAACAAGTACATGTAACTAGCATGTCCATAGCATAGCAGTCTAAATATTCATCAACAGATGAATAAACAAATTGTGGTATGTATATATACACATAATTCAGCCAGTAAAAAAAAAAAATGAAGTTTTCTGATGCATGTTGCAACATAGATGGACCTTGAAAACATTATGCTAAGTGAAATAAGCAAGACGTAAAAAGACAAACATTATATGATTCCACTTAATTAAATATCTAGAATAGGCAAATTCACGAAGACAAAAAGTAGACTGGAAGTTAACAAAGGCTAGCAGGAGGGAGGAATGGGGAGTTATTGCTTAATAAGTACAAAGTTTCTGTTTGGGATGATGAAAAATGTTTTAAAATAGTGGTGAAAGTTGCACAATACTGTGAGTGTAATTACTGTAATTAAATTGTATACTTATCAATGAATAAAATGACAAAATTTGGTTATATATATTTTACCACCAAAAAAAATAATAAAAAAAGAAAGTACCGACACGTTACAACGTAGATTAAGCTCCAAAATATTATTCTAAGAAGCCAGATACAAAAGGTCACATATTATATGATTTCATTGATATGAAATATCCAAAATAGGTAAATCCTATTGGTGGCTGCCAGCGGGAGCGGAAAATAGGGAGAAACTGCTTAATAGGTAAGGGGTTTTCCTTTGGAATGACAGAAATGTTTTGGTGCTAGATAGAAGTGGTGGCTGTACAACATTGTGAATGTACTAAATGCTACTGAATTGTTTAATTCGAAATGGTTAATGTTCTATGAATTTCACCTCAATAAAATGTCTTTAAGTATATGAGAGAGTTCAGGGAATCATCCAGGCATCAGGAATTAAGGCTTAGAAGCAAGGCATGGCAAGAAACAGTCAGGAACCCGGTGCATAGTGTGACTAAGAGATACCCATGAACAGCAGCAAGAAGCAACTTAAACTGGGCACAGTGGTTGATCCCTGTAACTCCAGCACTTTGGAAGGCTGAAGCGGGAGGATCACTTGAGCCCAAGTGTTCAAGACTGGCCTGGGTAACATCGTGAGACCTCATTTCTAGAAAGAAAAAAAAAAATAGCCAGGCATGGTAGTGCCCATCTGTGGTCCCAGCTACTCAGGAGGCTGAGGTAGGAGGATCACTTGAGTCCCAGGGATCAAGGCTGCAGTGAGTGGTGATGACACCACTGCATTGCAGCCTGGGCGACAGCAAGACCCTGTCCTAAGAAAAGAAAAAAAAAAGCAACTTGATACTGCAGCAATTTGATGCCTCACTGTACTGGTCAGGATACAGATAAAGCTGCTGTAACTAAGAGACCCTCAAATACAGTGGATTAAACAAAAAGTTTATTTCTCTCTCATAATAGTTAAGCAGTGAGCAGTCTCAAATGAGAGTGGGACTTTGCCATTCTCACTCAAAATGAGGCTTCCATCTCTGGGACCAAAAAAGGTGCTGTAGATCTCACCATATTCCAGCTAGCAGGAAGGGAAAAAGGGAAAGAGAAGCACCACATACTGTTTTTAAGTACATGATATAGAAGTGGTACACATAAGATTTCCACTTGGATCCTCACCCCCCAGATAGAACTGACACATGTGGCCACACTTAGTTGCAAAGGAAGCTGAGCAGCTATGCATCCTGCTAAAACTCAGGTGTTCTATCATTAAATAAAGAATGAGAGAGCCCACATTGGCAAAGGCATCTAAGAATCTCTTTCATATTACCTCAGTTTTTTTTATATTTTGTCTTATTAAACAAATGATTTGGCTGCACACGGTGGCTCACACCTGTAATCCCAACACTTTGGGAGGCCAAGGCGGGTGGATCACTTGAGGTCAGGAGTTCAAGAACAGCCTGGCCAACATGGCGAAACCCCATCTCTACTAAAAATACAAAAAATTAGTTGGACATCATGGTGGGTACCTGTAATCCCAGCTACTTGGGAGGCTGAGGTAGGAGAATCACTTGAATCTGGGAGGCGGAGGTTGCAGTGAGCTGAGATCGCACCATTGCACTACAGCCTGGGCACCAAAGTGAAACTCCGTCTCAAAAAAAAAAATTTATTCCCAAACCCAGCTATACTGAAGTTTGCAGTTATTGTTCAGTGAAACCTGATGGCTAGCTTGGAAAAAAAGAAAGAGAGAAGAGAGGGGAAGAGAGGGGAGGGGAGGGAAGGAGAGAAGGGAGGGGATAAGGGAGGGGAGGGGAGAAGGGAGGGGAGAAGGTAGGGGAGAAGGGAGGGGAGGGGAGAAAGGAGGAGAGGGGAGGGGAGAAGGGAGGGGAGGAGAGGGGATGGGAGGGGAGAAGGTTAGGGAGAAGGGAAAGGAGAAGGGAATGGAAGGACAGTTATGGATAGATGCCCCCTATTAGCCTCACTAGACTGAACAATACCAACAAAGCCTACTTATTTAACTTCTGTGACCAGTATTTATGGTGGAAATAAAAGTTGCTCTAAAAAATCAGTAAGTGCTATCTCTGTGCAATACTAGGCCAAGTGGTATAGAAAACAACAACAACAACAACAGCAAAGCAGTGTTTCTGTCTTTAAAAAACTTCCAATCTTGTGTGGCAATCACATACAAAGCAACCACAATGCAGCAAGATAACTGAGACATATAAAGTATGATAGGAGAGTAACAGTAGAATAGACTGCCTGCCTACAGGCAAGGAGGACAGAGAAAGCTTAAAAAGTGGTGACACTGGAGCTATGTACTAAAAGATGAGGAGTTTACTAGATAGAAAAGAGTAAGCAAGCCAGGGGTGGTGGCTCACACCCAACACTGTGGGAGGCCAAGACAGGAGGATCACTTGAACCCAGGAGTTTGAGAGCAGCTTGAGCAACAGAAGGAGACCCCGTCTCTACAAAAAAAATTTTAAAGTTAGCCGGGCATGGTGGTATATGCCTGTAGTCCGAGCTACTCAAGAGGGTTAGGTGGGAGGATCACTTGAGCTCAGGAGGTTGAGCTCTGCAGCCTGGGCAACAGAGTGAGACCCTGTCTCAAAAAAACAAAAACAATTTTAAAAAGATGGTAAGGAGACATTCCAAGCAAAATGGAAAACATGAATAATAGCATAGAAAAATGTTTGCTGAAAAGACAATATGCAGAACCCAGATCATAGAATGCCAGGAACACCAGATTGAGAAGCTTGGATTTTAGAATCTCTGAGAAATAGGAAAGCAATAGACTTCTGAGCAGAGGTGGGCCACAGTTAGATTGACTTGTTAGAAGATTCTGGCAGCCAACTGGAAGGATGGACAAGGACACATGCTTTGGAGTCTCATCCTTGCTGCTATGCCTAGTCCTATCCTTATCTCCCCAATGCTACCACTGATAAACCAAGCCCTTACAGAAGGAAGGCAAATCCAGGCCAAATCCCACAGACTCCAGCAGGATGAGACTTGTAGATTTGTTAGTTTGTTTTCAGTTTTCTTGTTTGTTTGTTTGTCTGTTTGTCTCGCTCTGTTGCCCAGGCTGGAGTGCGGTGGTGCGATCTCAGCTCATTGCAACCTTCGCCTCCTGGATTCAAGCGATTCTCCTGCCTCAGCCTCCTGAGTAGCTGGGATTATAGGCAGGCACCACCACGCCCGGATATTTTTTTTTTTTTTTTTTTAGTAGAGACAGGGGTTTCACCATGTTGGTCAGGCTGGTCTCGAACTCCTGATCTTGTAATCCGCCCACTTCGGCCTCCCAAAGTACTGGCATTACAGGCATGAGCCACCTCGCCCGGCCTGTTTTTAGTTTTAATCTTTTATTGAGGTGAAATTCATATAACATTCACCATTTTTAAGTGAACAATTCAGTGGTATTTAGTACATTTATAGTGTTGTGCATCCACAGAGGTTTTTAGTTCTAAATTTTTTTGTTTTAAGAGACAGGGTGTCGTATGTTGCCTAGGCTGGTCTTGAACTCCTAAACTCAAGCAATCTTCCCACCTCAGCTCCTGAGTAGCTGGGACTGCAAGCAGGTGCCACCATGCCCAGCTGGACCTTAGTTTTTGATGAGGTCCAGGAAAGCCTCTGCTTACTTCACTCAGGTCAGGTTTCATCCAGTCCTCTGGCATCTCTGCTCAGATGGATACGCCAGATACTTTTGGCTTTCAATAAACATCTGCCTAGAGTCCCTAAACTGCCATACTCTTTTCTAACCTTTCCTGACCTCAGCTCCCCTAGGAACACAGGTCATTATGACCAGGAGGAAATTTGACCATGTCTATCCCTTATTTTAAATTTTTCAGTGGTTCTGCATTGCCCAAAGAATATAGTCGCAAATCCTTAACAGATAGACAAGGCTCTCTATAATCTGGCATCTGCTTGTTTCCCTAGCCTTATCTCCTAAACATCTTGCCCTAAAATTCTTCCCTCTCATTATGCTTCCCTTCCTACTCATGGCTGCTCAAACATATTTTTTTCTTTCACCCTGGGAATGATTTTGTCACCTCATACACATTTCCCACAGACTTATCTCACCCTAGGGAAAGTTCTCATATTTTCATTATTTCCTCGGAACGGCTCTGATTCCAGTCTCATTTCCCTCTGGGTGCCATTCTAATCCATACCTCATTATTCACTCTTCTTTACATATGTTATTGACCATATAATACCACAAGATGACTTTTTTTTTCTTTTTTTTTTTTCTTTGAGATGGAGTCTCGCTCTGTCACCCAGGCTGGAGTGCAGTGCCAGGATCATGCCATTCTCCTGCCTCAGCCTCCCAAGTAGCTGGGATCACAGGCGCCCACCACCGCACCAGGCTAATTTTTTGTATTTTTAGTAGAGACGGAGTTTCACCGTGTTAGCCAGGATGGTCTCAATCTCCTGACCTCGTGATCCGCCCGCCTCAGCCTCTCAAAGTGCTGGGATTACAGGCGTGAGCCACTGCGCCCAGCCCCATAAGATGACTTTTTTTCCACCTCCTACTATTCTACTTCTGTCATATTACTGAGAATAGCCTTACTGAATATATCTGCTTCTGCTTCCTCTGCCTGGGTCTCTCATAAGCCCAGGACTTCACCAGGACCCTCACCCCAAAGTTACTGGTACCTGGGACTTAGGAGGGAGATATGTTATACCCATACCCCCAATCAGCTGGGGAGTTGGATCCAGACCTTATTCTCTCTCACCTTCTTTCTGACAGAATCCTTGAAATGACAAAGCTCTATTAGGACGGCACTTGAACCCACCCTCATTTTACCCTGGAGACATCACTGACCCCAGTTTCATCTTACTTTGAGATCAGCTCTGGCCTTGGCCTCCCCAGTCACCATACCAAAGAGAAAGTCATACCCCAGTATACCTTGGGAATGATTTGCACTCTGGCCTTGGCTGGCACTCAACTCAGGAAAGAAAAGTGACATGAAGCAACTGGCCCAAAGTAACACTAGTACTATCCCCAACTAGGGAAAGAAGGTCTTTCTCTGGGGTGGTAGGGGAGAAAAACTTCCAAATCATCATAAAACCCCCCTCACTTTCTGTGTATGCAAGCCAAATATGGGTCAAATGGTGCACAGGAAGAACTCACACAAAGGCCTTTTTCCAGGTGTATTTTAGGCTTCCAGGTATGTCACAGTCACAAATATCAGCTTGCTCCCAAGTGAGTGAATGAGCAATGTCCAGTTCAGGAAATTCAGACTTCGGCTTTCTTCTGGTTTCTAGGCTTGTGGTTTATAAACTCCATTCAGCAGCAAAGCAACAATATTTATAAGCCATAAGCCATCTTTCTATAACATTTTATTTGAGCTTGACAATGTATTAAGCAGAATAAACCTAGGCTTTAAACTTTCTAGCCATGCAATCTTGGCAAATAACTTTTTTTTTTTTTGAGATGGAGTCTCGCTCTGTCACCCAGCCTGGAGTGCAGTGGCTCGATCTCAGCTTACTGCAAGCTCCACCTCCCAGGTTCATGCCATTCTCCTGTCTCAGCCTCCCAGGTAGCTGGGACTACAGGCGCCCGCCACCACGCCCAGCTAATTTTTTGTGTTTTTAGTAGAGACAGGGTTTCACCGGGTTAGCCAGGATGGTCTCAATCTCCTGACCTCGTGATTCACCTGCCTTGGCCTCCCAAAGTGCTGGGATTACAGGCGTGAGCCGCCGTGCCTGGCCAGCAAATAACTTTCCCCATTCATAAAATGGGAATAATAGTAGTATCCTGCAAGACTGTTGTGCAGAAAAGTAAACAAATATATATAAAGCATCAAGAAATATACCAGGCCCAAAAAGGTTATTCAATCATTTGTTCATTCAGTCAACAAATATTTACTAAGTATATGCTATATGCACCAGTCAGTATTCTAGCACTGAGGATTTAGCCATTAACAAAAACCCCTGCTCTTATGGAACTAACAGGGAGTGGGGGTGCAAGGTGAAAGGCCTGACCAATAAATATGCCAGATGGTGATAAATGCTGTAATGAAAAATAGAGAAAGGGGTTGCAGTGTGTGGTGGGGGAGGGATTGCTATTTTTAAATAGAATGATTGGATAAGGCCTCACTGAGTTGAAATTTGACCAAAAGATCTGAAGGAAATAAGGCATGAGCCATGCAGAAAGTTAGAGTAAGAAGGAAGAACCAATGCAAAGGCCCTGAGGCAAGAGTATGTCTGTCTCTATTGTTCAAAGAATGGTAAGAAAGCCAGTGGGGCAGGGTGAGCAGGTGGAGAGGAAATGAGGCTAAGACAGTAACTGGGAGCCAAGTCATATGTGATCTTGTGGGCCACTCTAAGGGCTTTGGCTTTTTCCCTGAGAGATATGTAAAGCCACTGAACAATTTTGAACAGAAGAGTTATATAATTTGGATTTACGTTTTGAAAGGATCACTCCGGCTTCCTGTTTAGAATAAACTGTAGACAGGCAAGGGCAAAAGCAGGGCAATCAGTTAGGCTATTATCTCACCAGGCAAGAGACGATGGTAACGTGGATCAGGGTGGTAGGTGCAGAGGTAATGAAAAGTATCTGAATGTTGGATTTGTTTTAAAGGTAGAACCGACAGGATATGCTGACAGATTCCATGTAAGTGAAACTTGTTAAATTTAAAATGCCTATTAGATATCTAAAATGTTAATTAAGAGGTTAGATATGCAAGTCTAAAATTCAGGGAGAAATCTAAGCTGGAAACACAAATTTGAGTTGTCAATAAATAGATGATAGTTAAAATTATGTAAGTGGACTTTTAATGCCATGAGATATTCAATAAACAAAGCTCCCAGTGAATAGTAACTGCCATTATAACCCCGTTTTGTTCGTTTTTTCCCCCAGCTTCCCAAGCTTATAAACCCCTTTTTATTCTTAAGGTATTGGAGATAATTGCCAACTTCTAAACTTCAGTGCCCAACCTCTAACCCTGTCCCCACCCCTCAAGAAAAATTTGATTTTCTGATCTTGTATCCTTCTTTACTGTTGTCCTTCTTTTCAAATTTGCAATTAAAACATCAGATAAGTGAAGGCACGCTGGTGTTAAGTAGTAAAGGTACCAATTTTAGAGTTGGATTTAGGTTTGAATCTTCTCTCTCTCAGCCATTTACTAGTTCTGTGACCTTTTACCCTCAATTTTCTTATCTATACGATGGTACTAATAGTACCTATCTTAAAAGATTGTTATCTTATCGATGGTAAGACATCTACTTATTGCTTTATTCAACAAAAACTTACTGAGCATCCATTACATGCCTAGCACTGTGCTCAGCATTAGGGTTACAGCAGTGAACAGGCACTGGTACTATCCTCATGGAGCTTATAGCCTAAGGGACCATAGTATTTCTAAAGCACCTAGACAAAATTTAAATTTTTTTAAATCACCTAAATAAAATAAATATGTAAAGAACCTCACACAATGCCTAGCAAATAGTAGGTGCTAAGTGACAGTATATATTATTTTATAATTAAAACATCATAAGCCCTCACAGAACAATACGCTTTAGAATTGGCAAATCTTTGGAAATCAAAAGGTCCAATTTTCTCATTTAATAGAAGAGCAGATTAACTAGCTCCATAATAAACTTATTCAGGACACCTATTCAGTCAGGGCATATGCTAGCTGCTCAGGATACAAGGATGAGTAAAACACAGTCCCTACCTTACATCAAGTAAATATGCAAAGGGAGAATGACTCGCCTGAGGTAACCTAGTTCATCTCTTAGACTGGAAATCATGTCTTCTAATTCTCAGTGTTTTGCTCTTTCCACTGAATCAAAATTATTCAACTCAAATAAAAATACTTAGGAAGAAGCCTACCACTGTGCCAAAGAGAGTGCATCCTACAGCTCAGCAATTCCTCACGAGTAGTTTGTCAAAAAGGATAAGCCCCTCTGGGCCTGGAAGCTGATTCTTTTTTTCCTCTGTAACAGTCCATAGCACACAGCAGCTAGGGCCTCAGGGGCCCTGGTAAGAAGTTACAGAAAGATGCAGAAAAATAGAGTAAAAGCCTGAAACCACCAGAGCCACTGGTAAGTAAAGAAAAGGTAGAGCAAGGCCAGACCAAGACCCTCCTCCCTCATCCCAGATATTAAGTCATGTTCCCTCCAGGCTAGCACTAGCCCCAGAACTCTACCTTTGTCCCTCTAGGCCACCCACCCTGCCCCCTGCAAGGGCCCTCTTTAGAGTTTCAACATTAAGCTCCATTTAATGGAAAAAAAATAGCACTGGGAAGCAGAAAGAATACATCATGCAGTTCCAGAAACCTGGCTGAAACTGGCTCCACCACTAACTAGCTGAATGTTTCTTAACTCATCTGTTTCTGCATTTGGAAAATAGGGACAATACTCACTTCTGGGAACTGTGGTGAGCATCAGAGATGTGTCTAATGTATCTAGAAAAATGCCTGGCATGCAGCGGTTACTCAATAAATGGTGCAATGATTACTTATGAATGACAAGGTCTCCCTTGTCTGCCCCATGCTCTAGTGACCGCAGGCTTCAGCAGAGCAGCACAGTTTAAGACTCCCACAATAGTATGAAGTATTCAGGGAGATGTGGCACCTTCACTGGCTACATTTCTCAATCTCTTCTCCCCACAACCTATACCAGCTCAGGTCTCCACTCCACCCCTCCACCTTTAAAAAAAAAAAAAAATCTTTGAACCTGCCTCCTCTGCTGCCTCTTCAAAATACCACCCTCTTTCCTTCCTTCCCTCGCAACTATATTTCTCAAAAAAGTCTTTTGTTCTACATCTTTGCCTCATACTGACTCCCTAAGCCACAGCAGTCTAGCTTCTGTCCCCACCCCTCCACTGAAACTGCTGTCACCATGGTCACCAATGACTCAGTAGCCTCATTTCAGGCTCACCCTACCTGTTCTCTGCTGCAACAGACACTATTGCTTTCTTTTAGAAACTTTTCTCATTCCTGGCTTCCCAGACAGTACTTTCTCTTGCCTCTCTGATTGCCCCTCCTCAGGCTCCCTCCCTAACTTTTCTGTCCACACATATCAGAGTTCCTCTCTGCTCTATCCTTAACCCCCTTTCTTTCCCCATTTTATAAATTTTACTCAGGTGATCTCATCTACTTCTACAGTCTCTACTATTTCTTAGAGTTCATGATTCTCTCATGTCTATTCCTACCTCTCTCAGGAACTCCAAAACTCATGTCTTCTCCCCCAACTACCAGATATTTTCTCATGGATATCACCCATAACCATCTCAAGAGCAGCATTAACTTCCCCGGCTCTCTCTCTTGTATTCCATGTGTTAACAGCATCACAGTAATGCCCAGTCACCTAACACTGCCTCCTTCATCCTTCCGTCACACAATTTAAATCAACCCCCATGACCACTACCCTTGTTCCAGCCTCATCATCTGCTACTGCAAATCTTCTGGCTGCCTTCCCTGCCTCTAGTTATAATCTATACATTCTAAGCACAGGCATATAAGAGGTCTTCCTAAAAAAAACACTCTGGTCATGTCACACCCATCTTAAATATCGACGGTAAAGCTTAACTCCAATAGGATTTAAGCTCTTTACCATAAAATACAAGGTCATTCGGGATCTGGCCCTTCACACACACCCAGCTTCATCTCGTGCCACTCCCTCCAAGTAGTCCAACACTCCAGTTCAGGGAACAACTCGTCATTCACTGAATATGCCATGCACTTCCACAGTCACACTGCCCAGAATATGCTCCAGGGCACTCTGTCTGGCACAACCCTGGTCATCCTTACAGGGTGGCATCTTTGATATTGCTAAGTATTTAGACCCTCCTTCCTTTCTCTCCCAGTATATTTTCTTTTTTTTTTTTTTTTTTTTTTTGAGACAGAGTCTCACTCTGTCACCCAGGCTGGAGTACAGTGGAGCGATCTCGGCTCACTGCAACCTCTGCCTCCCGGGTTCAAGCAATTCTCCTGCCTCAGCCTCCTGTCTAGCTGAGATTACAGGCACATACCACCACACCCAGCTAATTTTTGTATTTTTAGTAGAGATGGGGTTTCACCATATTGGTCAGGCTGGTCTCGAACTGCTGACCTCGTGATCTACCCGCCTCAGCCTCCCAAAGTGCTGGGATTACAGGCGTGAGCCACCAAGCCCAGCCTTTCCCAGGACATTTTCTATGTACCTCTATTGTAGCACTTGTGACACTGTACAGAGTGCACTTGTTTATGGGTGTCTCAGTAACCTGCAGGTTGTTCATGGACACAGACTATGTCTTTCACATCTCTGCACCCCAACCCACTTGCCCAGCCTCTCAAGATAAGCAACCAGACTATCAGTCCTAACAGGGGATACTCCCCCTATAGCAGGAGAGCAAATTCTAATGACAACAGGAAGTCTCAATAGTTTCAACTTCCCCTCTTGCAAATGCTTCCAGATGGACTGACCCCACAAGAGCTATTTCCTACCTGGTTCCTGGGGCCCCTATGCCTGGTACAGCCTGTTCAATAGAAAGAGGAGAGCTTCCTTAAGGTTAAAATTCTTTGGAAAATGATTTCTAAAATGGGCTGAGCTGACAGGTAGGACTGCCAACTGACAGAGCCATCTCAGGAAGTAATTTGTGAAATAACTCCAAGACCTTTATACATCTTCCAAAGCAACTGGGATGGTTGCTACAACACCCTGTGGCTGGTCTTCTTGCCTTCCATCAAGGCTTGGGAAATTGCCCTGCATCACAATACTTACAAACAAGTTGCTTCACTAGGCAGAAATCTATAATGACTTCTCATTGCTTAAAACTGTAAACCAGAGTGATTAGGAACAAGCACACTGAAAACATATTACCTGGGCCCGAATCCCACCTCTACCACTTATTAGCCATGTGAGTTTGGGCAAATTATTTCAGTTCTCTAGGCCTCAGTTTTCCCATCTTTAAAACAGTAAAATAATAGTACCTACTTTCATAGGGTTGGTACAAAGATTAAATAAGCTAATCTGAATAAACTACTAATAAAAATTAAATAAGCTTAGCATTAAAAATGCAAAGAATAGTACCTGGCACATGGTAAGAACTTAATAAATTATATATAAACATGTTCAGGTTCCAAGTCCCTCTGTCATTCATAGCCTGAGATATGAAATGTTGCCCTGTCCCATTTCACATTCCATAATCCACCAGCTCCCTTCTGACGATCATTTATGATCCTTTGCCTCTATCCACAACACCAATTGCAATCTGCCCAGCTCCTCCTTCTGGCAATGCTACCTTCAGCTGGCCAGAAATTAACGCCTTCAGCAGTCTCACAGGTGGTGTCATGCCTAAGAGCAGTACAGGATACCACCTTCTCCTGAGCATTCTATTCCCTATGCCAAGGGTCCCCAACCCTCAGGCTGCAGACTGTACCAGTCCGTGCCTTGTTAGGAACCAGGCCACACAGCAGGAGGTGAGCGGCAGGCAAGCGAGCATTACTGCCTGAGCTCCGCCTCCTGTCATATCAGTGGCAGCATTAGGTTCTCACAGGAGTGCAAAGCCTATTGTGAACTGCACATGCGAGGAATCTAGGTTGCGTGCTCCTTATGAGAATCTAATGCCTGATGATCTGAAGTGAAACAGTTTCATCCCAAAATCATCCCCACCCCGCACCCTGGTCTGTGGAAAAATTATCTTGCATGAAACCGATCCCTGGTGCCAAAAAGATTGGGGATCGCTGCTCTCTGCTCACTCCTATTTTCACTCAGGTCATTTTCCAATCTAAATGCCTCCCAAGCTTCTGCAGTATATAAACTTAAACAGAGTTTTAGGGATTAGTTAAGTCACACCATCCCAGGAAGCTACAGTAACTCATAAAAATATCTGCCTTCCCTTAACCTCTAAAGTCCCAATGTGTAACTTATACTTCCACACTCATATCTAATCATCTCTATTAGATTAAGTTCCATGAGGCAGTGTCTGGTTTTCCATCACTACATCTCCATTACCCAAGAACAATAAATGTTTAAGAAATGTTGGGGGCCAGCCACATTGGCTCATGCCTGTAATCCCAGCACTTTGGGGGACCAAGGCAGGAAGATTGCTTGAGCTCACGAGTTCGAGACCAGCCTGGGCAATATGGCAAAACCCCGTCTCTACAAAAAATACAAAAATTAGCTGGGCATCGTGGCACGTGCCTGTAGTTTCAGCTACTCAGGAGACTGGAGCCTGGGGCAGGAGGATCACCTGAGCCCAGGAAGTCAAGGGTGCAGTGAGCTGTGGCTGCACTGCTGGAGTGTACTCCAGCCTGGGCAACAGAGCGAGATGCTATCTCAAAAGAAAAAAATGAAGAAGGCTTAGGCAAACAATAAAAGCTCAGTTAGCTAAATCTCCTACCACTGAGTCTGAGACATAACCAGGGACTGGTGGATTAACCAAGATCTATACCTTTCTACAACAACAACATGGAGAAAACTATATCAGCAATCTCATAGAGCTATTGTGAACACAAAGATGTAATCTATGTTAAACACTTAGGAGATTTTCTGACACATAAGCTGTCATTAAGTATCTCATTTTCTCTTTGAAAAGGAGCCATGGAGGTACCTTGTCAACTAAAGGACAGCTGGCCATACTACTTCTCCAAGTCATACTAATAGAAAAGCAGGGGACCACACTGTGTTCATTTACCTAATGGTGTTCTGTGGAACACTGGTATCTAACAAAATGTCAATAGGTGGTTTTTGAGGATAAAAAAAGATTACATGTTCAGAAAAACATAGAAAACCCTGTATACCTTTCCTTATCATATTAAAGCCTCCTAGCTTTTCCTAACTTAATCTCAAAGGTCTTTTACTGAGTAATAATAATAATGCCATTTCACCTGATACTGACATTCTGAAGAACACTTATTTTATTTATTTTTTTGAGGCTGAGTCTCTCTCTGTCGCCCAGGCTGGAGTGCAGTGGTGTGACTGCAGCCTCCGCCTCCTGGGTTCAAGCAATTCTCCTGCCTCAACCTCCAGAGCAGATGGGACTACAAGCGCACACCACCATGCCCGGCTAATTTTTGTATTTTTAATAGAGACAGGGTTTCGCCATGTTGGCCAGGCTAGTCTTGAACTCCTGACCTCAAGTGATCCGACTGCCTCAGCCTCCCAAAGTGCTGGGATTACAGGTGTGAGCCACCGTGCCTAGCCACTACACTCATTATATCTTAAAACAATGCATTGGGCCAGCCACAGTGGCTCATGCCTGTAATCCCAACACTTTGGGAAGCCAAGGTGGGAAGACTGCTTGAGTCCAGGAGTTCAAGACCAGCTTAGGCAACAGAGTGAGAACCCATCTCTACAAAAAATATATTAGCCAGGCATGGCGGGGTGTGCCTGTAGTCCCAGATACTTGGGAGGCTGAGGTGGGAGGATCATTTGTGCCCAGAAGGCTGCAGTGAGCTGTGATCGCAAACCTGCACTCTAGCCTGGGCAATAGAGGGAAAGACTCTGTCTCAAAAAACAAACAAACAGGTCGGGAGCCAAGATGGCCGAATAGGAACAGCTCTGGCCTACAGCTCCCAGCATGAGCGCTGCAGAAGATGGTGATTTCTGCATTTCCATGTGAGGTACCGGGTTCATCTCACTGGGGAGTGCCAGACAGTGGGTGCAGGACAGTGGGTGCGGCGCACCGTGCACGAGCCGAAGCAGGGCGAGGCATTGCCTCACTCGGGAAGTGCAAGGGGTCAGGGAGTTCCCTTTCCTAGTCAAAGAAAGGGACGACAGACGGCACCTGGAAAATCGGGTCACTCCCACCCCAATACTGCGCTTTTCCCACGGGCTTAAAAAACAGCGCACCAGGAGATTGTATCCCGCACCTGGCTCGGAGGGTCATACGCCCAGGGAGTCTTGCTGATTGCTAGCACAGCAGTCTGAGATCAAACTGCAAGGCAGCAGTGAGGCTGGGGGAGGGTCGTCTGCCATTGCCCAGGCTTGCTTAGGCAGAGGTACAAGGAGGAACTGGTACCATTCCTTCTGAAACTATTCCAATCAATAGAAAAAGAGGGAATCCTCCCTAACTCAATTTATGAGGCCAGCATCATCCTGATACCAAAGCTGGGCAGAGACACAACCAAAAAAGAGAATTTTAGACCAATATCCTTGATGAACATTGATGCAAAAATCCTCAATAAAATACTGGCAAACCGAATCCAGTAGCACATCAAAAAGCTTATCCACCATGATCAAGTGGGCTTCATCCCTGGGATGCAAGGCTGGTTCAATATACACAAATCAATAAATGTAATCCAGCATATAAACAGAGCCAAAGACAAAAACCACATGATTATCTCAATAGATGCAGAAAAGGCCTTTGACAAAATTCAACAACGCTTCATGCTAAAAACTCTCAATAAATTAGGTATTGATGGGATGTATCTCAAAATAATAAGAGCTATCTATGACAAACCCACAGCCAATATCATACTGAATGGACAAAAACTGGAAGCATTCCCTTTGAAAACTGGCACAAGACAGGGATGCCCTCTCTCACCACTCCTATTCAACATAGTGTTGGAAGTTCTGGCCAGGGCAATTAGGCAGGAGAAGGAAATAAAGGGTATTCGATTAGGAAAAGAGGAAGTCAAATTGTCCCTGTTTGCAGATGACATGATTGTATATCTAGAAAACCCCATTGTCTCAGCCCAAAATCTCCTTAAGCTGATAAGCAACTTCAGCAAACTCTCAGGATACAAAATCAATGTACAAAAATCACAAGCATTCTTATACACCAATAACAGACAAACAGAGAGCCAAATCATGAGTGAACTCCCATTCACAATTGCTTCAAAGAGAGTAAAATACCTAGGAATCCAACTTACAAGGGATGTGAAGGACCTCTTCAAGGAGAACTACAAACCACTGCTCAGTGAAATAAAAGAGGATACAAACAAATGGAAGAACATTCCATGCTCATGGGTAGGAAGAATCAATATCGTGAAAATGGCCATGCTGCCCAAGGTAATTTATAGATTCAATGCCATCCCCATCAAACTACCAATGACTTTCTTCACAGAATTGGAAAAAACTACTTTAAAGTTCATGTGGAACCAAAAAAGAGCCCACATCGCCAAGTCAGTCCTAAGCCAAAAGAACAAAGCTGGAGGCATCACGCTACCTGACTTCAAACTATACTACAAAGCTACAGTAACCAAAACAGCATGGTACTGGTACCAAAACAGAGATATAGATCAATGGAACAGAACAGAGCCCTCAGAAATAACGCCGCATATCTACAACTATCTGATCTTTGACAAACCTGAGAAAAACAAGCAATGGGGAAAGGATTCCCTATTTAATAAATGGTGCTGGGAAAACTGGCTAGCCATATGTAGAAAGCTGAAACTGGATCCCTTCCTTACACCTTATACAAAAATTAATTCAACATGGATTAAAGACTTAAACGTTAGACCTAAAATCATAAAAACCCTAGAAGAAAACCTAGGCATTACCATTCAGGACATAGGCATGGGCAAGGACTTCATGTCTAAAACACCAAAAGCAATGGCAACAAAAGCCAAAATTGACAAATGGGATCTAATTAAACTAAAGAGCTTCTGCACAGCAAAAGAAACTACCATCAGAGTGAACAGGCAACTGACAAAATGGGAGAAAATTTTCACAACCTACTCATCTGACAAAGGGCTAATATCCAGAATCTACAATGAACTCAAACAAATTTACAAGAAAAAAACAAACAACCCCCATCAAAAAGTGGGCAAAGGACATGAACAGACACTTCTCAAAAGAAGACATTTATGCAGCCAAAAGACACATGAAAAAATGCTCACCATCACTGGCCATCAGAGAAATGCAAATCAAAACCACAATGAGATACCATCTCACACCAGTTAGAATGGCAATCATTAAAAAGTCAGGAAACAACAGGTGCTGGAGAGGATGTGGAGAAATAGGAACACTCTTACACTGTTGGTGGGACTATAAACTAGTTCAACCATTGTGGAAGTCAGTGTGGCGATTCCTCAAGGATCTAGAACTAGAAATACCATTTGACCCAGCCATCCCATTACTGGGTATAACCCAAAGGACTATAAATCATGCTGCTATAAAGACACATGCACACGTATGTTTATTGCGGCATTATTCACAACAGCAAAGACTTGGAACCAACCCAAATGTCCAACAATGGTAGACTGGACTAAGAAAATGTGGCACATATACACCATGGAATACTATGCAGCCATAAAAAATGATGAGTTCGTGTCCTTTGTAGGGACATGGATGAAATTGGAAATCATCATTCTCAGTAAACTATCGCAAGAACAAAAAACCAAACACCACATATTCTCACTCATAGGTGGGAATTGAACAATGAGAACACATGGACACAGGAAGGGGAACATCACACTCTGGGGACTGTTGTGGGGTGGGCGTGGCGGGGGGAGGGATAGCTTTAGGAGATATACCTAATGCTAAATGACGAGTTAATGGGTGCAGCACACCAGCATGGCACAGGTATACATATGTAACTAACCTGCACATTGTACACATGTACCCTAAAACTTAAAGTATAATAATAATAAAATAAAAAAATAAAAACAAACAAACAAACAAAAAGCACTGTACAAATATATAAAGGTACTGCTATTCCACAGTTACCCAGAATAGACAGGACCCAAAAGTAGTAGAGAATACCTGGACTACTAAAATTACATCATCTTCTCCATCGCAATAAGCTTGGAGGAAGAGAAGAGAAATAGACCAGTATTCCAAGAGGCCAGCTTTCAGTCAATCCAATGAAGAGGCAGCAGAGGAAAGAAGAGCCTTTATCAGGTAGCATTTCCAGCAACTCACCAGAGCTGGCTTTATGGAACTCAAGCCAGATTTGGTTGCCACAAGATACAAAGTAACTTGACAGCTGCCCTCCTGGAAACAATTAACTTAGTAGTTTTTACTTTGACAGAATCTTGGGCCTGAAAGAAATATTTTGAAATCACTCTAGACAAAACCTCTACTTTATTGACAATAACAGGCCCTAAGAGAGCCTACATTTGTCCCCACTTGAGCAGGATATGGGAGAAAAACAGATTAGACAGTGATAATTATAATGGTTAACACTTAATGAGAGCTTATTATGTGTCAAGCTGGCTGCTAATTATTCAACATAGATTATCTCATCTTAATCTTCGCACAGCTCTATGAGATTGATTTTATAATAATTTCCATGTTATAGATGAGGAAGCAGGCTCAGAGACATTAAGTAACTTCCCCAAAGCACTATAGCTAGCATATAGTACTATAGTGATGAGACCCAGGCAAGCTGACCCCAAGGACCCATGCTCTTTATCGCTAGAGAAGCTAAGGTACCAACTTTTCTGGAAAGCCTTCTCTGACAATTTCCCCCACCACCAATTATTTGGGGGGCTCCCTAAACTCCCACTGCCCCATGTCTCTATCTATCCCTATGCACCATTGTCTCTGCCATAGCAGTATCACCAAATTACGTATTCCATGAGGGAAGAAATTACTAAATCTTATGCTTCCTTGCATCCCTTGTGACACTACCTAGTGTTGCATCGGCAGCTCAATCAAGATGTTTCAGAATAAACAACTATCGAGGAATATAGTATAATGATGAAAAGACATGGGTTCTGAAGTCAAATAGACTTAGATCTGAATCCAGGCTCAGCCACTTAGCTCTATGATCGTGAGTAAGTCAACTACTCTGAAGCTCAGCTTCCCTAACATTAAAATAGAGATTAAAAAATAAATTACCACAAAATGTGAGAAAACTAAACTAAGCACCTTACCCATTGCCTAGTACATAAAATAACTGTATTTACCATTCTCCTTTCCCCTTGTCCCACATATAATGGTAGAGAGAGAGCACTATTCCGGCCAGGTGCAGTGGCTCACGCCTGTAATCCCAGCACTTTGGAAGGCCGAGGTGGGCGGATCACGAGATCAGGAGATCAAGACCGTCCTGGCTAACATGGTGAAACCCCGTCTCTACTAAAAATACAAAAAATTAGCCGGGTGTGGTGGTGGGCGCCTGTAGTCCCAGGTACTCGGGAGGCTGAGGCAGGAGAATGGCGTGAACCCGGGAGGCGGAGCTTGCAGTGAGCCGAGATCGCGCCACTACACTCCAGCCTGGGCAACAGAGCAAGACTCCATCTCAAAAAAAAAGAAAGAAGAAAGAAAGAAAGAAAGAAAAGAAAGAAAAGAAAAGAAAGAGAGAGAGAGAGAAAGAAAGAAAGAGAAAGAAAGAAAGAAAAGAAAGAAGGAAGGAAAGAAAGGAAGGAAGGAAGGAAGGAAGGAAGGAAGGAAGGAAGGAAGGAAGGAAGGAAGGAAGGAAGAAAGAAAAAGAAAGAAAGAAAGAAAGAAAGAAAGAAAGAAAGAAAGAAAGAAAGAAAGAAGGAAGGAAGGAAAGAAAGAAAGAAAGAAAGAAAGAAAGAAAGAAAGAAAGAAAGAAAGAAAGAAAGAAAGAAAGAGAGAGAAAGAAAGAACACTATTCCCGGAACCCAGAGCCGAATTAGCTATATAAACTTGGTTAAGTGCATCTCCTTTCTGGGCTTTAATCTCTTCATTTACAACTCACAGGACCGTTGGTTTGAAACTAAATAAAATGTGGGTAAGTGACCAAAAAGTGCTACACAGATGGAAGGAATTTTTGTCATTCCACCTATCCGGCTTTTAAAATCAGCCCTGAACCACACTGCATAGAAATGTCTTGAAGCTCAAGGAAGAAGACCAATCTCTTGGAGGTTTAAAAGCTATAAAGGGAAGGAGTATTTGCACTGTCACTAGGAGAAGGAGCCAGTCCCACCAAGAAGCTGAGACACTGCCAAGTGGCTTTGCTCCAGGAGTCCCTAAGTAATTAAGGCCTTGCTCCCCTGCCCTGTTTGCCTGTGACCTCCACAAAGGCTAGAGAACACCAAGTGCTCCACAGCAGCTCTTCTCTTGGCCAGAGTGACAAATGTATTGCTGGCCAAGGATCAGCCAAAGCTATTGCTAAGAGGTTCCTGCCCTTGGCCTTCCTTAGAACAGGGTCGGCCGGGCGCGGTGGCTCACGCCTGTAATCCCAGCACTTTGGGAGGCCGAAGCGGGTGGATCACCTGAGGTCAGGAGTTTGAGACCAGCCTGGCCAACATGGCAAAACCCTGTCTCTACTAAAAAAAAAAAAAAAAAAAAAAATTAGCCAGGCGTGGTGGCACATGCCTGTAATGCCAGATACTTGGGAGGCTGAGGCAGGAGAATTGCTTGAACCCGGAAGGCGGAGGTTGCAGTGAGCTGAGACTGTGCCACTGTACTCCAGCCTGGGCAACAAATCGAGACCCTGTCTCAAAAAAAAGAAAAGAAAAAAGAACACGGTTAAAAACAAGATACCCTTCATTCTTTGTCCTGAGGTTATCAGCTCATGATTCCTAGGAATCAGCCCTAAACACAGCTACCAGGACCCTGGGTCTGGAACATGTCGGATGTGACTCAACTAAAGCCTGACCAGCCAGGCCCTTTGGACAACTGAAAGAGAACCTGTAGGCTATGGAATAAGGGGTAAGGAAAAGGGACCCATGCTCTGCTAAGAGCGTCTAGTCTTAGATGCTCCCAAGGTCACTTTTGGGCTCTTGTTCAGGCTGCACAGGCCCCAGGGACTTAACCACTTCCTTTGCTCATCAAAGCAGAACCCCCCACTCCACCCCTTGGGACTCCCGCCCCCAAGCCTGAAGCCTGGCTCTAGGGTAAGACAGTCCACCAATCTCTCCCTTCAAAAGTGAAAACATACGGGGCCCTTTTTGTTGTAAGAGTTTAACTGTTGGGTTGAGAAAGAATGTAAGCCAAAAACAACAAATATGAGGAAGTAAAAAAAAGTTTAAAACATATTACAAGTTAGTCACAGTCACTGTCCCCACTTCATAGTTCCTGGTTCCTGTCATAATTGGTGCTGTTAGAGAACAGCTACAATACTATAGTTTCCAAGACTTATTTTTAAACAATGGAACCCTCTTTTTCAAATATAGTTCAAATTGGCCTGGCGTGGTGGCTCACACCTCTAGTCCCAACATTTCGGGAGGTGGGCAGATCGCTTGAGCTCCGGAGTTCAAGACCATCCTAGGCAACATGGCAAAACCCCATCTCTACAAAAAATACAAAAGTTAGCTAGGCATGGTGGTACGTGCCTGTAGTCCCAGAAGAGACTGAAGGTTTAGATCAATCAACATGATGTAGACCTTATTTGGATATTGATATTGACCCCATCTCTACAAAAAATAAAAATATTAGCCAGGCATGGTGGCACATGCCTGTAATCCCAGCTACTTGGGAGGCTGAGGCAGGAGAATCACTTGAACCCGGGAGGCAGAGGTTGCAGTGAGCTGCGATTGCGCCACTGCACTCCAGCCTGGGTGACTGGGCTACAGAGCGAGACTCTGTCTCAAAAAAAAAAAAAAATGTTGACCCAGATTTTAACCAACCATATACAATTATCAACCATATACAAATAATATTGCTAATGAGCAAGAAAGTGGAAGTAAACATGTAGATATTCATGCACCAGGCTCTGCTACCAGTTGGTTATTTTGGCTGTGTACTTGTGTCCAAGGTCATTCACTCACTGGGTAGGTTTATGTCCTATGATGCCATCAACTGCCAGTCAAAGAACTAATCGGCATGAGCAAACTAGTGTTCACACAAAACTTGTATAATTGAAACCAAAATCAAAGACACTTTTATTGTAGGTAAATGTACAATTTCCATTAGGCTTGTTAAAATACTGAAAGCAATTTAAATTCATTTATTCATTCAAAAACAAATATTTACTGAGCATCCCTGTCCATCTATGCTGGCTAGGCACCAAGGACAAAATAAATAACACATAATAGCCTTAGGGGATTCATACAAACATCCCTCTATATTGTTTTCATGGATCCCAAATATTCTGAAGACCTTGCACCAACAAAATTGGGAGAGTACTGGAAGGGATGACATTTTTATTCCCTTATGAACACAAACAACTTATCAAAAGGCAGCCTGTTCCACAAAGAACCTCTCAACATTATAGCCCTAGCATTTTGGGAGGACGAAGTGGGTGGATTGCTTGAGCTCAGGAGTTCAAGACCAGCCTGGGCAACATGGCAAAACCCCATCTCTATTAAAAATAAAACATAAAAGTCTTTGCAGATGCTGCTGCTGCCGGGAGCCCCGTACTATCAGCCGTGGTTAACCCCACCGTGTTCTTCGACATTGCTGTCAACAGCGAGCCCTTGGGCCATGTCTCCTTCAAGCTATTTGCAGACAAGGTTCCAAAGACAGCAGAAAACTTTCGTGCTCTGAGCACTGGAGAGAAAGGATTTGGTTATAAGGGTTCCTGCTTTCACAGAATTATTCCAGGGTTTATGTGTCAGGGTGGTGACTTCACACACCATAATGGCACTAGCAGCAAGTCCATCTACGGGGAGAAATTTGATGATGAGAACTTCATCCTAAAGCATACAGGTCCTGGCATCTTGTCCATGGCAAATGCTGGACCCAACACAAACAGTTCCCAGTTTTTCATCTGCACTGCCAAGACTGAGTGGTTGGATGGCAAGCATGTGGTCTTTGGCAAGGCGAAAGAAGGCATGAATATTGTGGAGGCCATAGAGCACTTTGGGTCCAGGAATGGCAAGACCAGCAAGAAGATCACCACTGCTGACTGTGGACAACTCTTAATAAGTTTGACTTGTGTTTTATCTTAGCCACCAGACCATTCCTTCTGTAGGTCAGGAGAGCACCCCTCCACCCCATTTGCTCGCAGTATCCTTGAATCTTTGTGCTCTTGCTGCAGTTCCCTTTGGGCTCCATGTTTTCTCTGTTTTCTTCCATGACTAGCTGGATTGCAGAGTTAAGTTTATGATTATGAAATAAACACTAAATAACAAAAATAAATAAATAAAACATAAAAAATAAATAAAAACAAAGTACAGCCCTACCATGGAGATACAAGCTGCCCCACTGCTAGAAAATCAAGAAGAGATTTCTGAAATCAAGGTCTTTGTCTACAATTCAACAAACATTTACCAAATTTCTATTTTGTCCTTAGACACTCTGCTAGACAAGGGATCAGCAAACTGAGGCCCTCAGGCCAAATCTAGCCCAAACACCTTGTTTTTGTAAACAAAGTTTTCTTAGACACAGCTACACATGTCCATTTAAATATTATCTATGGCTGTTTTCCTGCTACAACTTGCGGTATAGCCCATCAAGCCTAAAATATTCACTCTCTGGCCCTCCACAGAAAATGTTTGCTCATCTCTATGCTACACTCTAGAAAGATGCAGAAATGTATCTTGATCTAGGTGGTGGTTACATAGATAAACACATTGGTAAAAATTCATCAAGCATTTAATTCATTTTATTGTATGTAAGCCATAACTCAATACTTCTTTTTTTAATGAAATGAAGAGTAACAGCCCCTGCCTTCTGGCAATTTAAAATCTGGTAGGAGGATATCAAAGTAAATAATTAAAATACAATAGTGAGCCTGCACAGTGGCTCACACCTGTAATCCTAGCACTTTGGGTGGCTGAGGTGAGAAGATCGCCTGAAGTCAGGAGTTTGAGACCAGCCTGGCCAACATGTTGAAACCCTGTCTCCACTAAAAATTAGCCGGATATGGTGGCATGTGCCTGTAGTAGTCCCAGTTACTGAGGAGGCTGAGGCAGGAGAATCACTTGAACCCAGGAGGCAGAGGTTGCAGTGAGCCGAGATCGTGCCACTGCACTCCAGCCTGGGCAACACAGCGAGACTCTGTCTCAAAAAAAAAACATGAAAAATAAAATTTTTTTTATTTAAAACAATAAAAAAAATAGAGTTTGGAATTAGAACATGAAATTTCTAATTAGGTTTAAGTCCTACTTGCACCAATTACTAGACACATGACTTTAGATTCTTCATCTACAAAATGAGAATAATAACAATATCTATGTCATTGACTGCTGTGAGAATTAAATAAATATGTAATTGTACCTGACATATAAGTATTCAACATACATTTCTTATCATAACAATTAGCATTATTATTAACTGTCTAATTAGTGGTGGACTTCGCTGTGGCTCAGAGTTCCTGTGACTTCCTGGTAGGTCCCATGGGACCCTAAGTCATATCAAAGTTGATTCTTTTACAAGTTTAGAGCTCAAGCTGGTATTGTACATAAACAGTATTTCATGGAGCTTTAGACTTCTGGCCCAATACCTGGAGAGGTGAAAGTCCTAAGGATGGGGTCCTATCCCACTGCTCAAAGAATGCCTTCTAGAAGCAAAATCAGGAAAGCACTACCTCTAGTTGACCTAGCTGATAATGAGATAAGCCATACTAGAAAATACACTTAAATACAATATGCTTTTCTTTTTTTTTGCAATAGAGTCTTGCTCCATCACCCAGGCTGGAGTGCAGTGGCGTGATCTCGGCTCACTGCAACCTCCACCTCCCAGGTTCAAGCGATTCTCCTGCCTCAGCCTCCTGAGTAGCTGGGATTACAGGCGTGTGCCACCATGCCCGGCCACAATATCCTTTTGAGCTTAAAACTTCAGTCAAATCTTCCATACCAGGCTGAGAAAACTGGTTCAGTCCAAGGGACTGGCCAGGAGAAGCCATGAGTCTCTGTCAGTGCTACTGGGTATGTAGCTCTAACAGGGGTGATACAGAAAAGTTCTTAAGACTTCTGAGGTACCATAAATTACCTTCAGCAATCTCTGTGACAAACTTAAAGCCTCTTGGATATCCAGCTCTATATAAGGACCAAAAGAGGATGATCACAGAAATCACAGATTTGGAAAAACTAGATGAACCTCCAGAGATCACCACTTGGACTGGCCCCTGCTCTCAGATTGCAAAACACCTATCATTAGGCTTGTTTTACAGATAATGCCACTAAGGTCCAGAGAGGGTAAGCGTGATGGCCTAGGTCAGATATCTAAGAGGCAGTAAGAAAGAAAAAAAGAATATCTAGTCTCAAGGAGTAAGCAATCTTGATGAAAAAGTAACACTCATGAAACTGTCGAAACACATGGTCAGGGAATAAGGGAGATCCCAATGAGGAGCTACAGGTATGGAAAGAAGGACAAGAGTTGAAGTCTCAGAGTAAAAGTCCCTGCCCAATGTACCTCTCACAAAGTAAAAAGGCCCGTCTTTGCTTAATATTTACTACCCTGTAATGCCTATTTACCTGTCTCCCCACTCAATAGTAATTCTTCCAGTTTATGTACCTTATATTATCCTTATCTATATTTTCAGCACCAAGCCTAGAA
Organism: Homo sapiens; assembly: GCF_000001405.40. Taxonomy (NCBI): domain Eukaryota; kingdom Metazoa; phylum Chordata; class Mammalia; order Primates; family Hominidae; genus Homo; species Homo sapiens. Next base: position 3,889,814 of record NC_000011.10, on the reverse strand, counting down.
AACTGCATCTCCTGCAACTTTGAAAAGACTCAGACTAGCCCCACTCACCCAACAATACTAAAAACAAGGTTACCCTGTTAGGCATCTACCAAACCTAGAGGCCAGACCCTCAAAAAAGCGCCTAGATACGGCTAATAGAAAGTGACTTTAACAAGTAATTTAACCTCTTATTTTGTCCATCTCAAAGATATCAATAACATTAACAATCTCAGAAGACCGTATTAAAAATTAAGTATCCACGGTGAAACTCCATCTCTACTAAAAAATAAAAATAAAAAAATTAGCCAGATGCGGTGGCGTGTGCCTGTAATCCCAGCTACTCTGGAGGCTGAGGTAAGAGAATCGCTTGGACCCAGGAGGTGAAGGTTGCAGTGAGCCAAAATCGTGCCATTGCTCTCCAGCCTGGGCGACAAAGCGAGACTCTATCTCAAAAAAAAAAAAAAAAATTAAATATCTGTGAAAGCACTTAACACAGTACTTGGCACATAGTAGGCATTCAATGACTGCTAGCTTCCTTCTCACACCCCCTGTGTCTGGGTTCCTTTAAAATATAGTTTATTCCTTGGATCAACATTTATTAAACAACAAATATTTATTTGTTGGGCCTCAGGGATAAGATAATGATCTTGCCTTAGGTATCTCTGATAAAACCTCAGCATCTAGTATGATGACTGCTGTTGCCACAGCTGCCTGGCACATAGTAAGCACTCACTAAACAGGGAACTCCCAAGAACACTCCTGGATACAGACCACTGATGCATCACCTCTTTGTACAGGCCACTCCATCTGCTTTGTTAGCCCTAGAGGTGTGCAAGCACAAAAGAGATCAAGTCTCTGGACAGCAGCAGATCTATACATTTACAGAGCTCCACCCCCATAGTAAAGCCTGGCAGTCAAGATGACAAGAAAAACACAAGAACAATTCAGATGAGTCCCTCAAAACTGCATTAAAGACTACACGGCGGCCGGGCATGGTGGCTAACACCTGTAATCCCAGCACTTTGGGAAGCCGACACGGGCGGATCACTTGAGGTCAGGAGTTCAAGACCAGCCTGGCCAACATGGTGAAACCCCGTCTCTACTAAAAATACAAAAAGTCAGCTGGGTATGGTGGTGCACACCTGTAATCCCAGGTGGTGTGCACCTGTAATCTCCAGGCTTAGGCAGGAAAATCCCTTGAATCTGGGAGGTGGAGGCTGCAGTGAGCAGAAAGCACACCACTGCACACTAGCCTGGGCAACAGAGGGAGACTCTGTCTCAAAAATTCAAAAAAAAAGACTATATGGCAATGTTCCAAACTATACAGCCTCTCTACTTAAAACCTGGGTTATAATATTAAACTGACCACCCACCCTCACATTTCCTATACTGCCCCCTGAAAGAAAAGGGAAGTGCTTCTTCCTTTCAGTGCTGCTTGTTCAGAAAAGCTGATGTCCTGGAAAATGGCTGAGCACCTATCCTGGCAAATAGGATCTAGCAAAAGCTTGAACCCCATAAAAGCATCTCAATCATTCACCTTGCTGGCCTCCAAGGCTGAAAATAGCCCCAAATGAAAAACAAGCTATGTGAATACTTATCTAGTTTCATAGCAGAGACCTTAAGCTAGCTGAAGAGGACAAACCCCTCACTCCTTAACTCAAGCAGACCTAAAAGCCTCACCTGTTTCTGGCCCCATAGCAGCTGGCATAGCTCTGGCACCTCCCAGGCTTCATCTTTCAAAAACAGAAATGGAACAAGTGCAGAACAGGGAAGAGCCTTCTGCAGTCAGCCCAGCACTGCTTGAGGGGTGGTGGGGAGATAAAAAGATTCCTGGACACAGATGTCCTATTTTTTTTTTTTTTTTTTGAGACAGAGTCTCACTCTGTCACCCAGGCTGGAGTGCAGTGGTGCGATCTCCACTCATTGCAACCTCCGTGCCTCCCGGGTTGAAGCGATTCTCCTGCCTCAGCCTCTCAAGTAGCTGGGACTACAGGTGCATGCCACCACGTCCGGCTAATTTTTTGTATTTTTAGTAGAGGCAGGGTTTCACCATGTTAGCCAGGATGGTCTCAATCTCCTGACCTCGTGATCCGCCCGTCTCGGCCTCCCAAAGTGCTAGGATTACTGGTGTGAGCCATTGCGCCTGGCCACAGATGCCCTATTCTTTCATCAAATCTGAAAACGAAATGAAAGGCCCTAAAGCAGCCATACCCCAAAAGTAGCATTCTGTACCTCCGCTTCATCTTCTGGCAATAACCTTAACAGGTTTCTCTAACCAGGCCCTGTCTCAATGCCTTTTTAAAGGTAGGTTTACCTAATCCCAAGACAGAGTCAGTAGGTCGGCACTCTGATATATCAAATCCATCTCTGTCTATTACATACCTTGACCCATGCCATTACAGTCCATTGTTTCCAGGTTCACCTCTCACAATATATTAAGCACTTCTAGATGTATGGCCCAGGTTTCATAATGCCCATGTTTCCAGTTTTGCCCAGTGCAAGGCCAGGCTGAGAACAGATGCTTAAAGGTTTATTTGTTGCAGGGCAAAAGTGAGCAGGTACAGAAACAGGGAAGGAAGTATAAGGACAAGAATGTATCCTGCTTTACTCTCCCTAGAGGCCCTCACCCAGTGCATGCTGCCCTCTGGACCTAGACTCAGGCTGGGTTTCCCAAGCCTCCTCTCTTATTACCAAACTCACAGCCCTCTACCTCCTCTGACTGTGTACAATACTAGTCCCTGGACCCTTTTCATCCTAGATGTTTGTTTCACCTCTGGATATATTTGGAAACTCCTTGAGTATATGGCCCGTCTCTCTTCTTTTTTTTTTTCTTTGAGACAGAGTCTTGCTCTGTCGCCAGGCTGGAGTGCAGTGGTGCGATCTCGGCTCACTGCAACCTCCGCCTCCTGAGTGAAAAGTGATTCTACTGCCTCAGCCTCCTGAGTAGCTAGGATTACAGGCACCCGCCACCACACCTGGCTAATTTTTTGTATTTTAGTAAAGACGGGGTTTCACCATGTTATCCAGGATGATCTCGATCTCCTGACCTCGTAATCCGCCCGCCTCGGCCTCCCAAAGTGCTGGAATTACAGGCATGAGCCACCGCACCCGGCCAAATAAGACCTTTTTTTTTTTTTTTTTTTTTTTTGACACAGAGTCTCGCTCTGTCACCCAGGCTGGAGTGAGGTGGCGTGATGTCTGCTCACTGCAAGCTCCACTTCCCAGGTTCACGCCATTCTCCTGCCTCAGCCTCCCGAGTAGCTGGGACTACAGGTGCCTGCCACCACACCCGGCTAATTTCTTGTATTTTTAGTAGAGACAGGGTTTCACCATGTTATCCAGGGTGGTCTCGATCTCCTGACCTCGTGATCTGCCTGCCTTGGCCTCCCAAAGTGCTGGGATGACAGGCGTGAGCCACCGCGCCCAGCCAAGTCTCTCTTCTTATAGCACAAAATACAATACCAGCCTCAAGGAATTATACCAGTAGCTATTTACAGAGTTAAAAAAAAAATCAACTTCCCTCAAGTTTTTAATTGCTCATGTGTGAAAAGGTGAAAAGAATGTCTCACCAGATTGCTCCTCCCTCTTAGGTTATCCGTCTTTCTCTATTTTATCATTGGGTTCCCAGTGAATTTTCTATAAAGAATTCAAGCCAAATGGTTTAGCACCTATATTTGGCCTATAATGTGTGATATTCAAGATATCATCGGAGATAACAATTCATTCTTTATATCCCACATCCCTCAGACTATGGGAAATGACTCACCCATGCCAATCCTTAATCAAAGGCAGGAAAAGTCCCCTTGAGCCAAAGCAGGACAATGCTATATCCTCAACACCTTCATTGATGGGCCCTTGCCTACGATCATGCTCAAACTCACATCGAAAACTGGAATGGGGCCACGCACAGTGGCTCACGCCTGTAATCCCAACACTTACAGAGGCTGAGGCGGGAGGACTGCTTGAGCCCAGGAGTTTGACACCAGCGTGGGCAACACAGTAAGACTTTGTCTACACAAAAAATAGAGAAATTAGCCAGGTGTGGTTGCTCATGCCTGCAGTCCCAGCTACTCAGCAGGCTGACGTGAGAGAATCACTTGAGCCAAGGAGGTCAAGGCTACAGTGAGCCATGATTGTGCCACCATATTTCAGCCTCCTATACAACAGAGCGAGTCCCTGTCTCAAAAATAAAATGATAAAATAAATAAAATAAAATAAAATAAAACTGGAATGTGTCCACCTTTGTGAGCTGAAGTACCGGGAGAAGACTTCCAATCAGAAAAGAAAATTATAATTATCTACAATTGTGTTAAACCAATAGTTCTCAGCAAACTCAAATTATGTATGTTTGGCAGAGCACTATGGGTCATGCCTGTAATCCCAAACTTTGGGAGGCCAAGGCAGGCAGATCACTTGAGCCCAGGGGTTCAAGACCAGCCTAGGCAACATGGCAAAACCCTGTCTCTACAAAAAATAATAATAATAATACAAAAATTGGCCAGGCTAGCACACGTCTATAGCCCCAGCTACTTGGGAGGCTGAAGTGGAAGGATTGGTTGAGCCCGGGAGGTCAAGGCTGCAGTGAGCCATGACTGCACCACTGCACTCCAGTCTAGATGACAGAGTGAGATACTGTCTCAAAAAAAAAAAAATTATCTATGTTTATATTGAAATATAATTCACATGACATATAATTAATCCTCTTAGATTTTATAATTCAGTGATTTTTAATATATCTATAAGGTTGTCCCATCATCACCACAATCTAATTTTTCAGAATATTTTCATTACCCCAAAAAGAAACCCCATATCCATTAGAAGTAACTTCTCATTACCCTCTCCCCCCACACCCTGGCAACCACTAATCTACTTTCTGTCTCTATAGATTTGCCTATTCTGGACATTTCATGTAAATGGAATCATACAATATGTAGCCTTTTCACTTAGCATAATGTTTTCAAGGTTTATCCATGTTGTGGCATCTATCAACACTTAACTCCATTTAATGGCTAAATAAGATTCCATTATACAAACATACCCCTTTTTTTTTTTTTGAGATGGGGTCTGGCTCTGTCACCCATGGTGGAGTGCAGTGGCGCAATCTCAGCTCACCACAACCTCCACCTCCCAAGCTTCTTGGGGACTGCTAATTATTACTCCCTTGGGTTAGGTTCAGACATAGCAAGAAATAAGGCTGAACTGAGAGAAAGAGTGGTCTCCACAGTCTACCTCCTGGAGGGCTAAACAGAACAGGCCCCAAGTTCCCAAGGCTATTCCCTTTTGCCAGTGTACATGGAGAACCACTTGGGGCATGGGTTTCACTCTCAGCCCCTGGATCAGGACTGCATAAGTCAGTGTCCCAGGCAAGCTAGCATGACAGCTCCCAGCAGAAACCAGTTCCTTTTGTCTTCAAAGTGCTGGAAACATCTGGCTGGCTCCCACACTGCTCACTCATCCTCTCAACTTGGGAAAGGGAAAGCCAAACATCATGCTGTTCACCATACAACAAAGCACTTTCAATGTCCATTAACTCACTGAATCCTTACAACACTCCCACAATACCAGGGCAGGGACTCTTGTACCCATTTTATAGACAAAGAAACTCCAACCTTGAAATGTTAAGTAATTTTGCTAAGTAACAAAGCACAGAGATAGAAGAAGAACCCAAGACTTCTGATTCCTGATCCAGACCCTTGTGAGGTGATTTTAAGGGCCATCCAATGAGAGGCCTTCCCCACCCCTCTACCTAAAATAGCACCCCCATCACTCTCTAATCCTTTGCCCTGCTTACTTTGTTTTTTAGCACTTATGATTACCAAGCATTATATTACTTATCTCCTTGTTTATTGCCTATCTTCCTACCTGAATATAAAACAATAGGGACTATTATTCTTTACTGCATACCAAGCAGAGTTTCTGGCACACAGTAGGGTCTTAAATATTTATTATATGAATACATCTAGTACAGCCCGCAACTGATCCCTCCTACAGTGATGGTGTCTGGTGTCATTACTATCAAGTAAGTCTTCAGTCTATACTCAAGTTTCATTTAGCATTTATTAACATCCACTAAATGTCAGGTCATATGCTAAATGCTAAAGACAGAAATGAATCAAATATAATCCCTGACTCTAGAAAATATAACTTAGTGGTTTGAAGCAGACAATAAAAAATTGTCCCATTGGCTGGGTGTGGTGCCTCATGCCTGTAATCCCAACACTTTGGGAGGCTGAGGCAGGTGGATCACCTGAGGTCAGGAGTTCGAGACCAGCCTGACCAACATGGTAAAACCCCATCGCTACTAAAAATACAAAATTAGCTGGGCGTGGTGGCGCATGCCTGTAATCCCAGCTACTCGGGAGGCTGAGGCAGGAGAACTGCTTGAACGGAAGGCAGAGGTTGCAGTGAGCCAAGATCATGCCATTGCACTCCAGCCTGGGCAACAAGAGTGAAACTCTGTCTCAAAAAACAAAAACAAACAAACAAAAAAAATGGTGTCCCATTATAGAGATGTTCATAGAAGGGAGCACCTAACTAGTGGAAGAAGGAGGAGAAACCAATTAAGAGAGCTTCTCGGAGGAAGTGACATTTGAGCTGAGTCTTGAGGAACAATTATAATTTCAACCACCAGAGAAAAGAAGGATATTCTAGACAAAGAGAAAAGCATGAGCACAGGCTGAGACATGAAAGAGCTAGGTATATTTAAAGGCTAGTGGGTGATTTTTAAGTCAAGAAAGGTTTGCCCCAAAATGTTTTTAAAAAAGATAAATGTCTAGTATCCAGAATATATAAAGAACTCTTACAATAACAAAAAAACAAACAACTTAGTTTTAAAAAATAGACAAAGAACTTAGACATTTCTCCAAAGAAGATATACAACTAACCAACAAGTACATGAAAAGATGATCAATATCATTAGAGATTAGAGAAATGCATGTCAAAACCACAATGAGGTACTATTTCATAACCACAGTGAGGCACTATTTCATATCCACAAGAATGGTTATAATAAAAAAAATAACAAACTTTGGTGAAGATGTAGAGAAACTAGAACTTTAGTCCATTGCTGGTATAAGTAAAAAGTGGTTCAGCTGCTGTGAAAAAGAGTTTGTTGGTTCCTCAAAAACTAAACAGAATTACCATATAACCTAGCAATTCCACTCCTAGGTATGTACCCAAAAGAACTGGAAACAGGTACTCAAACAGGTACATGTACACACATATTCTTTTTTCTTTTTATTTTAAGTTCCGGGGTACATATGCAGGATGTGTAGGTTTGGTACATAGGTAAACGGTGCACACAAATTCTTAACAGCACTATCCACAAGAGCCAAAAGGTGGAAACAGCCCAAATTGCCCACGTGTGGATGAATAGATAAACAAATTATTGTATAAACATACAATGAAATATTACACAGCCATAAAAAGGAATGGAGTGGCCAGGCATGGTGGCTCACACCTGTAATCCCAGCACTTTGGGAGGCTGAGGTGGGCGAATCACCTGAGGTCGGGAGTTCAAGACCAGCCTGGCCAACATGGAGAAACCCCGTCTCTACTAAAACTGCAAAATTAGCTGGGCGTGGTGGCGCACGCCTGTAATCCCAGCTACTCGGGAGGCTGAGGTAGGAGAATCGCTTGAACCCAGGAGACAGAGGTTGCGGTGAGCCAAGATCGCACCATTGCACTCCAGCCTGGGCAACAAGAGCGAAACTCTGTCTCAAAAAAAAAAAAAAAAAAAAAAAAGGAATGAAGTGCTGATACATGCTACAATATAGATGAACCTCTAAAACTTACTTTCCCTTATGCTAAGTGAAAGAAGCCAGACACAATACATCATATGATCCCATTATAATCATATGATCAAGGCCGGGCGCCGTGGCTCACATCTGTAATCCCAGCACTTTGGGAGGCTAAGGCAGGTGGATCACCTGAGGTCAGGAGTTCGAGACCAGCTTGGCCAACATGGCGAACCCCGTCTCTAGTAAAAATACAAAAATTAGCCAGGTGTGGTAGTACATGCCTGCAATCCCAGCTACAGGCAGGAGAATCACTTCAACCCAGGAGTCGGAGGCTGCAGTGAGCAGAAAGCACACCACTGCACTCCAGCCTGGGCTACAGAGCGAGATTCCATCTCAAAAAAATAAATAAATAAAAATAAAATAATCGGCCGGGCACGGTGGCTCACGCCTGTAATCCCAGCACTTTGGGAGGCTGAGATGGGCAGATCATGAGGTCAGGAGATGGAGACCATCCTGGCTAACAGGGTGAAACCCCATCTCCACTAAAAATACAAAAAAATTAGCCGGGTGCTGTGGCGGGCACCTGTAGTCCCAGCTAATCGGGAGGCTCAGGCAGGAGAATGGCATGAACCCGGGAGGCGGAGCTGGCAGTGAGCCGAGATCATGCCACTGCACTCCAGCCTGGGCAACAGAGAGAGACTCCATCTTGAAAAAATAAATAAATAAAATAAAATAATCATATGATCAATAGATCATATGATTCCATTTATATGAAATATCCAGAATAGGTAAATCTATACAGACAAAACACAGATACACAGATTGATGGCTGCCAGGGGAAAGGGAGAGGGGGAATTAGGAACAACTGCTTAACAGGTATGGATTTCCTTAGGGTTGATGAAATAGTTTTGAACTACATTTATGATAGTACTAAATCCCACTGAATTGTACACTTTAAAATGATTAATTTTATGTTATGTGATTTTCCTTTTTTTTTTTTTTTTTAATAAACGGCCTACGTCACCATACTCTAAAAGGAAAAACTCAAAAGTCACTGTTTTCCCATCCAGCTGCCCCTTCCTGCCTCTTCAGGAAGCCTGCTCTCCCATCCTGCAGCCGTCCAAACCTGCCATTTTAGCAATGAGTTATGCTCCACTGGTCAGATTTTCTAGTCATTTCCTGTGTGTCAGGCAGTCTAAAGTCCCTAGTGAGAAAGCAAGCTCCCTTTTAAATAGGATGTATTGGTCCATGTATCTCATCCTCTTTCCAGACAGACCAGGTCATGGTTGAGGAGTAAGGGAAAGGGGCTGACTGACCTCTTTTGAAGCAGCAATTTGGAGTGGTGCTAGCAGAGAGCTAGAGGCTGGGTGACCAGGGAGGCCAGAGATATAACCATCGCACGATGGTCTGAATATGATTTATTTTTCTTTTGGGGAGGGGCAGGGGTTTAGGAAGAGTAGGGAAGTATTTAACAAACAGCTTTGGAGCAATATCTGGTTTCAGAAATAACTAAAATCTCTCAATAACAACTGTGTTCTTGACTTTCCAGAACCAACAATTCTAATGCCAAAGTTCTTCAGAAAAACATGAAAGATTTTACTCCCAAAGTTTGACACTGAAACCATCCCCCAGCTGTCCACAAACTATTTTCATTGCCCTGAGAAGGCACTGGAAACTTGGGAGACGGGAGACTTTGGGAACAGCATTCAAGCTCATCCTCTATCAGCCAATAGCTTCCAAGGTAGTCATCACTAATGCTTGGAAATCAAGACACGAGAAGTAACCTGCAAGGGTCACAGGTGCTAGCAGGCTTCTAATGCCCTTCAGGCACCTTAAACTTAAAGTAGTATTGGCAATAAAAACCAACAACAAATACTGTTTTCACAGGCCATTATGTGGCCCTTAAATACATTCTCTCAGTGGCCCTAAGGCTCAGAGAGATTAATGATTTACTAAGGGTCATGAGGCCAGCAAACAACAGCAAAGCCAGATTTCAAACTCTGGCCTGACTGCTTGCAAACTCATGCCATTGCCACAACACAAAAGTGCCCAGCACCACACATCCTGTCCTGCTTCCTGGATCTCCATGAGAGTGTGTTCTGACCATTCATAATAATCTAATGCTTCTTAGTTCAACATTAATCCTAATAGCCACAGAAAGAGAATTCTCTCGGCAATAGCAACCCAGAACACTGATGCCACTGAGAAGTACCTAAGATTGATATCTGGGCTACTTTACCATTCACTGGGTCACCAACCAAACCTCCTAAAAACCCACAAGGTAGATGTTCTGCCTTGAGTGACCCTTGAAGGCAAGAGGGGAAATGGTAAGGAAAAAAACAAATGTAGAAGAGCCTGCAGATAAAATTCTAAGCCAGAAATTAGTAAACCTGAGATATAGTTTCTGTTCTGCCCCTAATTACATATATGACATTGGGAAGTCACCTGCTTTCTTTGAATTTGTTTACAATAATATGGAGATAACAATCCCCTCCTGTCCCACCTCACAGAGCAGCTGTGGGCATGATAAGCAAAAAGACAGGTCTTAAACAGTGGAGTGATTTGTAAAGTGCAGAGCACAAACCAATCTGGGGAGTTATTATAATATGACTACCATCAGTTGGCTGGGGAGAAGATTAATGTCCACGAAACCAACAGAAAGTGAAACAGTAGATAATTAGGTGACAAATTATATGGTACAGACTAAGAAGATTATAATCTAGAAAGGGAAGTCCCTGGAATAAGTCAGAAAAACTACAGAGAAAAGAATGAACAGGATTGGAGGGTTTTGGAAAGCCATAGCCAGAGGAAAATGTATAGCTAGGGAAAAGAGGTATGAAACGCTGGACGCAGTGGCTCATTCCTGTAATCCCAGCACTTTGGGAGGCTGAGGCATGTGGATCACCTGAGGTCAGGAGTTCGAGACCAGCCTGGCCAACATGGTGAAACCCCGTCTCTACTAAAAATACAAAAATTAGCTGGGTGTGGCGGTGTGCACCTGTAGTCCCAGCTACTCGGGAGGCTGAGGCAGGAGAATTGCTTGAACCCGGGAGGCGGAGGTTGCAGTGAGCCAAGATCACGCCACTGCACTCCAGCCTGGGTGACAGGGCGAGACTCCGTCTCAAAAAAAAAAAGAGGTATGAAGAAGAGGAAAGCAACAGTACTAGAGGAGATGCTGTGTGTTGGGATGTCAAGGAGGCCACAATGGGTAGGCACGATAAGGCCAAACTGTCGGGGGAAGATAGGCAGCCGAGCAGCTGGGGCAGGACGCAGCTAGCAATAGGAACCCACTGCAGCTAACATGAGCTATGGGGAGGGCAGAGCTAGATTTTACAGCAAGCATTTATTGGGCACTAACAACATGGTAAGCACTGTCATAGGGAATGGTGACACAAAGATAGGTAAGACATAAGCCCTGCTCTCATGACTCTGCATTTGAATCCCAGCTCTTCCATTTGCAGAGCAACATGGACATCAAGGGAACACATTCTGTAATGAGACAGACCTGGTTTCAAATCCCTGCACTGACACTGCCAGATGAGTGACCTTCCACAAGTAACCAAAGCTCTTTAATTCCCAGTTTCCTCATTTGCATTGAAGAAGTAATAATTATCTTTCATAGGATCAAAAAAAAAAAGAAACTTCATATGTGCTTTTCAGGCACATGATAAATAATAACTTATTATCATTAACTAGCTTTGTGACCTTGGGTAAGTTGCTTAACCTCTCTGGGCCTCAGTTTCATCATATGTAAAACAAGACTAATTATAGCTACCTCACAAAGTTGTTGTGAAGATTAAAGAAAATTATTGGTGTAAAGCACCTAGCCTAGAGAAACAGCTCAGCAAAAGTTCCCTTTTCTTCCCTCTGTCTCTTCGTTCCTTAACCCTCCTCCTTTCCCTTCTCCCCAGACCATATGTGAGATCTCCCCTACAGCAATGCTCAGCTCCCGAAGGAGGGCAATGAGGACACAGCCAGGACCCTTACTGATTCCACTCCTAGAGAGCACCAGGCCCATTTAACCCCAAACCAAGTCTAACTTACCAACGCTTGACCACTCCTATCCAGGAACATGTTCTTTACTCACTTCTCGCCTAGTGACTTCAATTCACAAGCAAGAAGTCCTTTTTACCTGAAAGCCAAACAATTCCTCCCTGCTTACTCATTCTCCCAAGAAACTAACTAGAAGAGAAAGCATCAGTGTCTAAAATGCTGATCAGAGAGAGGAGACTGGTATTCCCAGTGCTTTAGAATGATAGGATAAAAGGAGAGGTCCTGGGCACCCTTGCTGGGAGACAGATAAATCCTACTGGCCCTTGTGCATATATGACAAGGGCAGGCAAACCTGCTGCAACTCCCAACAGTTCTGGGAATGCCTGAGAACAAGGCCCTCGGCCTGCTAGAGTTACTTAGGCATGAGGGAAAAATTAGGTATTCACTAGTAAAGGTCAACTTATAAATACCTGATTAACCCAAGCAAACACACTCTGCTCTACCTTATGTGAGAATTTACAACTGATCCGGAACAGAAGTCAAGCTGAGTACACGTTTTCAAAGCTATAACTAACAATTATTGAGGTATTTGGCAGGGTGGGGATAGGGGATTGACGGCTGGCTACAAAAGCCCATGCAAATCAGCTAAGTCCAGAGTCTCCACTGAAAGCTGCTTCTTCTGGAACAACAACCTCTGAACAAACCTACAGTGTAAATGTGACCTTGCTAGAAAGACAAGAGCCAGCCCTCCCATGAAGACCATGGGAAATGTAGAGAAGCAAGGCATACCAATTCCAAGATGCTTGCTTAATCCCAGGGAGTTCCTTTTGTGAGGAAATAATAATAATAATAATAATAATGTTGTTCTGTAGGAAGACACTAACAGATCAAGCCTGTGAAGCCATTGTCTAGACTCCCCCAGGTAGCTCTAACTGCTTTTTCCCCTGCACTCCCATCACACTTTGCAAACCATCAAGGGGAAATGAAAGAAACTATCTTTCCTTAAGCGCTTACTGTAAAGCCTTATAGAAAAGGTTTTAATCTTTTTTTTAAACAACTCTCCCAATAACCAGCTAATCCTAGTCCTATTTTATTTATAAATGAAGAAACTGAGCAACGCACTCAGTAAAGGGGCTGGGCAGAACCCAAATATGAACCTGGTCTGTCTGATTCCAAATCGTAAACTTTCTTTCAACAAATATTTTTTGAGAGCCTACTACATGCCAGGCACTACTCCTGGTGAATACATAACAGTGCATGAGACAGACAAGAACCCTATCTTTATGGGGTTTTCATTCTAAACCAAACTGCCTCCATATTTTACCACATCATGTATTTAGTAGGTAGATATCAGTATTTCTTTATCTTCAACCAGGCAGGACTCAATAAACATGTATTGAAGGCCAGACCCAGTGGCCCATAATTCCATCACTTTGGGAGATGGAGGCAGGAGGATCACTTGAGCCCAGGAGTTCGAGACCAGCCTGGGCAACACAGTGAAACCCTGCCTCTACAAAAAATAAAAATAAAATCAGTCAGGTGTAGTGGCATGTGCCTGTAGTCCCAACTAATCAGGAGGCTGAAGCAGGAGGATTGCTTGAGCCCAAGAGCTCAAGGTTGCAGTGAACCACGATCATACCATAGCACTCTAGCTGGAGTAACAGAGTGAGACCCTGTCTCCCAAAAACAAAAGAAATGAATGTAGTCCTTTCCCTCAACTCACAGGAATTCCTCTCAGCTGCTACCCAAACAGCATTCAACTGTTTATCCATTAATTTTGCATCCTTCTTCCTACCTAGGTCTGTTTATCCATTAATTTTGCATCCTTCTTCCTACCTAGGTCTAGCCATATCTTAAACCAAAAGCTTCCTTACAGTGCTAGCAAATTGGCTCCAGCCACCCACTAAGTATGACAATAATAGTATTTCATAGTTTACAAAAGACTTTCACATACATTATCTTACTTAACCCTCATAAAATTAAACAAGATAGGTATTATTCCCTTTAACACATAGGGGAACAGACAACCAGAAAGCTTAGTTTCACCACTGAGTAGAGGAACTGAGCCACAGCACAGTTCTTCCTAGTCCCAGAATGCATTATTTGCCCCTTCTCCTAAGAACATTTCATATCTATTCTCCATAGCACAGAAACCAAAAGGAATGTTGCGTCCTTATTTAGTTCAATATATTTGACTAAGCTATTTCAGGTTGCCTATGTTATCAAAACAATACAAAGCAAAAATGCATGTTTCATCCTATTGCAGTATTTATTTTGATTATTAATATTTTATGAGTTCTTCCACTAAAGGCGTTTTAACTATATTTTGTTGTTGGTTTGATTTTTTTGTTGTTGTTTTTAGGGGTTTTTTTTTTTTTGAGACAGGGTCTCACTTTGTCACCCAGGCTGGAGTGCAGTGGCATGATCTTGGCTCAATTTAGCCTCGGCCTCCCAGGCTCAAGCAATCCTCCTGCCTCTACCCCCAAGTAGCTGGGATTACAAGCACACACTACCACTCCTGGCTAATTTTTTGTATTTTTTGTAGAGACAGGGTTTCACCATGTTGCCCAGGCTGGTCTCAAGCTCCTGAGCTCAAGCGATCTGCCTGCCTCGGCCTCCCAAAGTGCTGGGATTACAAGCATGAGCCACTGTGCCTGGCCTATATTTTGTTATGTTCCAATTTGCCATTGAAGTTTAACTTTTTATGTTAAACACGAAGTATACACTATATGCACAGAAAAAGGTCTGAGATAGTTTTTCAATTGTTTTCAAGTCAGTGAGAAAAATAATTCAACTTATAGGGATGCCTTTACATGTGTTTGCCTTTGCCAGGAAAGCCTTTATCCTGTGAAGTGACATACACTGGTAGGCAGAGGTTGCAGAAAGTATAAGCCCCAAATGCAAGGTTAGTATCTTGGCATGCTCTTTGCAAAAAACCAACCAAACAAACAAAATCCAAGCACCATGGTCAACAGGCATATTCCAGCAACCAAGACGAAGCTGAGGGTTTGTCATATCACTCCAGTCCAGGGAGCATTAAGCCTAGCTCTGTAGGTTGCAAACCAACTACAAGAAAAACACAAACAAACAAACAAACAATAAAAGAAGAGGAAGAGGAGGAGAAAATAAAAATTAAAAAAAAAAAAAGATACAAACTCTAAAGCCAGATGTCCAGGAAAATAACAGCACATTCTGGGCAAATCAGAAAGACACAGGGGGCCTTATTTGAAAAACTAGCCAAGGCTTTGCCCAAAACCCTTACCCTTGCCAGTCTATCATAACACCTGAAATTCCAGCACTATAACTTCATTCTGTTCTTTAACAAATACACCCTGAGTACCAAATCTTGCAGGAGCGGGAATAGTCAGATGAGGGAGGTAGATTCATGCCTCAGTGACTTAAATATCAGACAGATTAGCGAGAGGCAGAGTAGTCTGAAAAAGCAGGGCAAGAAGTCATTCTGGCTAAAGGAACCGAAGAAGACTCTCTGGATATGAGAACTTAGCGGCTTAAAAGGATAAGAGGACATGAAATCATTTGTGCTACCTTAGGAAAGTAACCTGAAGCTAGGGAGAGACCTGGATTTGAATACTGATTTAGTTGCTTACAGCCTGTAATGACAATCAAGCAAATTATTTTCCTTTTCTGAATCTATTTCTTCACCTGCAAAATGGGCATTATGAAGCATACCTCAAAAGATAGGTGTGTAAAACACTAGCCCTGATCTGGCAAATGGTGGGACTTAAATATCTTTTCCTTATCCCTTTTTCTGGTTAGAAGAGGAACACATACCAGAGAAGGATACTCCAGGGCAATAGAAATGACTTGCCAGCTCACAGAGCAAGGCCATTTGAGGGCTACTAGAACAGACAATCAACCTGAAAAGACACCTTAAGAAGTGCAGAAACCCAGGCCACATCCAAGTCCCAGCCTAAATTTCTCCCCACCATAAAATGTTTGGCAGTCCATTTTGGACAAACATTACATCACTGTAGATTTAGTAGATTAGGAAATGGAAACCCACTCCTCAGCTCCCCAGGAAAAATAGCTCTGTGCCAACTTCTGGTACTCTAGGAGGCCGGAGCAGGACCTAGTGCAAGGAAAGTAGTGAGTCCAACTGTCAACACATTTTAATTAGTCCAACCTTAAAAGACTATAACCACAGAGATTAAAAGGAGCCCCCAGGGAAAGCCTCTGCCCTTCACACAGTTCAGCCAATTAGATATGCTCAAGTGCCCTAATTTTTATCACTGAATTCTTTGGGGAATCAGGCCTCACCAAGCTCTGACTTCTGGCTAAGAGTACAAGCATACGCTCAGCTCAGGAGGAGCAGTTAGGTGTCAGCTATAACAGAAGCAGCATAAGTATGCCTGGAGGCCCTAACACCCTTCCTGCGTAGGTAAACTGAGCTAACAGAACTGCCCTCTTGCCAGGCTCCACCCCTCACTCCAGAATGCAATCCATTCCCCAGTGGCTATACTGAACCTAATCCATACTAAAAAGCTAGTTTTGGTCCTCAGTTCAGAGGTAAACACATGGCCAGACACAGTAGCTCACACCTGTAATCCTAGCACTTTGGGAGGCCGAGGTGCGAGGATCGCTTCAGGCCAAGAGTTCAAGAACAGCCTGGGCAAATCCATCTCCACAAAAAAAAAAAAGTTTTTAATTTTTTTTTTTTTTTTTTTGAAATGGAGCTTTGCTCTTGTTGCCCAGGCTGGAGTGCAATGGCGCAATCTCGGCTCACTGCAACCTACGCCTCCCGGGTTCAAGCGATTCTCCTGCCTCAGCCTCCCAAGTAGCTGGGATTACAGACATGCGCCACCACGCTCAGCTAATTTTTTTGTATTTTTAGTAAAGACGGGGTTTCTCCATGTTGGTCAGGCTGCTCTCGAACTCCCTACCTCAGGTGATCCACCCGCCTTGGCCTCCCAAAGTGCCGGGATTACAGACGTGAGCCACCGCACCCGGCCAAGTTTTTTAATTTTTAAAAATCAGTGGAGTGTGGTGGCACCTGCGTATAGTCCCAGCTTGGAAGGCTGAGGTAGGAGGATCATTTACGCCCAGGAGTTGGAGGTTACAGTGAACTATGATCATGCCACTGCACTCCTGCCTGGGCAACACAGTGAGATTCTGTCTCAAAAAAAAAAAAAAAGTGGGAGTAACATAAACACAGTAATACTTGTGCATTAAAGGGGAGTTTTCAGAAATGGAAGTGACTTTGAGAATCAAAAGAATTGAGCTATAATGGTAAACCAGATGGCACATATGAAAATGGAGGTAAAGAGCCAGACACGGTGGCTCACGCCTGTAATCCTAGCACTTTGAGAGGCTGAGGTGGGAGGATCATGAGGTCAGGAGATAGAGACCATCCTGGCTAACACAGTGAAACACTGTCTCTACTAAAAATACAAAAAATTAGCCGGGCGTGGTGGTGGGCGCCTATAGTCCCAGCTACTCGGGAGGCTGAGGCAGGAGAATGGCATGAACCCGGGAGCCGGAGCTTGCAGTGAGCCGAGATTGCGCCACTGCACTCCAGCCTGGGCAACAGAGTGAGACTCCATCTCAAAAAAAAAAAAAAAAGAAAAAAAGAAAATGGAGGCAAAGAGACTTGTTCAAGTTAATGACAACATATTGTACTCAAAAGCCAATGAACTTTTACATTTCCCCAAGAGCTCAGACCCACTCCCTTCCAACTGGTGTAATGCCAGTGTAGCCACACTTTTCCTGTTGTCATTAAGAGTTAGAAAACAAGGCCGGGTGCAGTGGATCACGTCTGTAATCCCAGCACTTTGGGAGGCCAAGGCGGGCAGATCACCTGAGGTCAGGAGTTCAACATGAGCCTGGCCAACATGGTGAAACCCTGTCTCTACTAAAAATACAAAACTTAGCCGGGCGTGGTGGCACACGCCTATAGTCCCAGCTACTTGGGAGGCTGAGGTACAGGAATCGCTTGAACCCAGGAGGCGGAGGTTGCAATGGGCCGAGATCACACCACTGTGCTTCAGCCTGGGCGACAGAGGTAGACTCTGTTTCAAAAAAAAACGAGAGTTAGAAAACAAGATTATAAGGAAGAGTGAGAACCTAGGAGAACAGGGTACTAAAGAGAGAGGGATAAACCAAAGAATTGCAAAGAACAGATCATCAGACAATTCAGAGGAGAAAAACCAATACAGTAATGATAAATTACTCAAATTTGTGTATGAATAAATGCCTATCACATTATTTCATAAGATCTGCACACATCAACCTTGTAAGATAGATTCTGTTATCCCCACAATACCTGGGATGAGGAAATTTAAGCCCAGAAAAGTCAAGAGTAACAGAACCCAGGCTAAACTAAGCCTACCTAATTCTTAGTCTCATGGTCTTTTTATTAAACCAGATTTTCCCTAAAGAAAGCTGTGAACACTCAAGAGAACCAACCTAGGAAGAGGGAAGAAAATGAAAAAAGTTTCAAGAAAACAATGGAAAGAAAAGGCATTAAGACAGAAGCTACAAAATAGTAACCAGTTGTTTTTTAAAATTAGAAAATCTTGTATTCCTCCTCCACTCACTCAGAGTATGTGACTAGATATTGGACAAAACAGCTAGTTTCAGGCCTGCCCCCATGACACAGAGCTGACATAACCACAGCCCTACTACCTAACAATACCCCTACTAGAGCAGCTGACTTCCCCTCTGAGAAGAACTTAGGAACTTGTGTACTAAACCAAAGAGACGACCAGATAAGGACTCCAAGCACTCTGATCAGCAAGTCCACCCTGGTTCCTCTGTCCCAAGCCAGGACTTACCCTAGTCTAGAGGAAGTTCTCACCAAGCATAGCCTAAATTCAGCTATCACTTTGCCTCCACTTTGAGCCCACATGAAGGTTGGCAGAAGACCCTGAGGGAAGGGGATATTAATCATCTTCTCTCTGGTCAGGAGTAGCTGATAGGAGGCCGGGCGTCGTGGCTCACGCCTGTAATCCCAACACTTTGGGAGGCCGAAGCAAGCAGATCATGAGGTCAAGAGATACCATCCTAGCTAACATGGTGAAACCCCGTCTCTACTAAAAATACAAAAATTAGTTGGGAGTGGTGGCAGGCGCCTGTAATCCCAGCTACTTGGGAGGCTGAGGTGGGAGAATCGCTTGAACCCAGGAGGCAGAGGTTGCAGTGAGCCGAGATCGCACCACTGCACTCCAGCCTGGCGACAGAGCAAGACTTCATCTCAAAAAAAAAAAAAAAAAAAAAAGAGTAGCTGATAGGATATGGTCACTCGGTGTTCTGTCAGCCACTCCATATCCCACTAGAAAATCGGAGATGTAGCCAGGCACAGTGGCTGATGCCTATAATCCCAGCACTTTGGGAGGCTGAGGTGGGTGGATTGCTTGAGCTCAGGAGTTCCAGACCAGCCTGGGCAACATGGTGAGACCCCCATCTCTACAAAAAATATAAAAACTAGCCAGGCATGGTGGTACACACCTGTAGTACCAGCTACTTGTTGGGCCGAGATGGGAGGATCGCCTGAGCCTGGGAGGTGGAGGCTGCAGTGGGCTGTGATGGTGCCACTGCACTCCAGTGTGGGCGACAGAATGAGACCCTGTCTCAGAACAAAACCAAAAAAAAGTAAAAAGAGTATTATAGAAAGCATATTTACTTCCAATGCCTCCATGAGGTAAAAATTAATATTCCCTTTTTTGCAAATGTGGACAAAAGGGAATATGAGGCTCAGAGAGGAAAAGCAATCTTGTTACGATCTTACAAACAGAAAACTGGCAAGATCTGGAATTGAAGTCAGGTTTGTCTGTCTCCAAGACTGTCTCTGATTTTCCTAGAGTCAAGGCTCAGCTTTGTTAGGAAGTTTAATAGCTAAAAAGCAAAGAGACTTGGGTTCTCAGACTTAGATTCCACCATGGAGTTACTGTATGACTTTAGGCAAATCATTTCATTTCTTTGGACCCCAGAAAACTCATTTGTAAAATGTAGCAATGTGAAATAAGCATAGAAAGAATTATTTGGTTCCTGAAGTCCTGTGGAGTGTAGCCCCTTGCCCAGCACTTCAAATAAGTTCAGCTACCCCACCACTAATCATCCCCTAGCACTGACCCTCCTTCTGACTGCCATATATTTTCTGCTAATGGCACCACCAGTCTCTTCATGACCCACACTCAAAACACTGGTGTATCTTTGACTCTTTTCTTTCTTTCCTTCCCTTCCTACATTTAAACTCTGAGTCCTACTGATTTTACCTCCACAATGCAGACCCTGATGTCTTCTGCTCATGAACAGTTGCAAAGTCTCCTATCTAGGCTCATTGCCTCCAATCTCACCTTTACCAATGTACTGTGCATATTCTGTGAGATTAACCTTGCTAAAGCAAAACTCAGGTCAGGTCTCTCCCCTTGTCAAAACGTGCAAGGACTATTTATTCCCTATGGAATCAAGTAGCCTGACAATTTAGGCCCTCCTTGATCTTTTTATGGTACTCTCTGGCACAGCTACCACTCTCCAGCCAATCTAAACTACTGCCCCCCAAAGACTCTTTACTTTTTCCCACTCCAGACCTTTACTCATAACATTTCCTATGACTGGAATACTTCCCACAAATTCCCTTATATTTCTACCTGAAGTATCTGAAGACCCACTAAGCTGCTACCTCCTCTACAAAGCTTCTCTGATCTCCCTCAGCAGAGAAGATCACAACTGCCAACAAGACTATCAGTATCAATCACAGGGCACTGAACCAAGATTGCCTTGTACAAAAAGCTATAAAGTGAGAGACCCGATGTGAGGATTAACTAAAATAATGCATGTGAAAGTACCTAGCCCAGTCCTGATAAAGAATAGTACTCAGGCCAGGTGCGGTGGCTCACGCCTATAAACCTAGCACTTTGGGAAGTGGAGGCGGGCGGATCACGAGGTCAGGAGATCAAGACCATTCTGGCTAACACGGTGAAAACCCATCTCTACTAAAAATACAAAAAAATTAACCGAGCATGGTGGCTGGCGCCTGTAGTCCCCGCTACTCGGGAGGCTGAGGCAGGAGAATGGCATGAACCCGGGAGGCAGGGCTTGCAATGAGCCAAGATGGCGCCACTGCACTCCAGCCTGGGCGACAGAGTGAGACTCGGTCAAAAAAAAAAAGAGAGAGAAAAGAATAGGTACTCAATAAATAGAAGCTCTTATTATAATATAAAATGTGACCATACATCTTAATTCTCCTGCTATATTGAGTCCTTCTACTGGGCAGGGATTGTCTTATAACACATAATAAACATGCTAAATGTTGACTGAAGAGATAAAGAACACTAACTACAAAGACACAGCCCCTACCCCAAGGCTTAAATTCAGAACAGTTGAACCAGGGTGATAGTTTTGGAAAATATAAACTGAATATACACCACTCTGTAGCTAGGTACTACCTACTCAGAATTCATAAGTAAAATACAGCCTCTCTTTCCATCTCCCATCCCACCTCTAATCCTAGTTTCCCAGGCCACTTGGGTGATAGAATAAACTAACACCACTTAACAGTCCTATAAATTGTATAATTTTTAATCAAAATGCCTATCTCCACCTAAATTCTAAACTCAGATAGCTGTTTCTTCCCCGCCACCCCACCCCACACCAAGTTATTAAACAAAAATAGAAACAATTTTGGTCTTGGGATCAGATAAAGCTAATTTCAAATCCTGGCTCCGCCACCTTGGGAAAATGACCTTAAGTTCTCAGTTACAATTTCTTCATCAGTAAAATGAGAGCTATATCCACCCTTAAGAGTTGTTTTGCAGATGTAAAACACCTACAAAGGTGCTCAATAAATAGTAGCTGTCATCATCATTCTTACCATCGAAGTTATTTCAGTTGTCTTAATTACATATTTATCTCTTCAGAGATATGAAGTGTGAGTTCCAGTGACCTTTGCTCTTGTCAGCAAAAGTTTCTTGAAACAAGACCTCCACAAATTCGACCACCCAGCAACAAATACACACACAGACACACACTGCTTTCTAACCTGTGTGTGTGTGTTACACCTGAAGGCCACCCATCTCCCCTGGCTGCTGTATTTCAGAAGCCAGCTCTGGGAACTTGGCAAGCACAGACACATTTGTTCGAACATACACTGTAGTGACGAGAGTTCTGAGAGCTTCCTGAGAGGCCTGAGATAACCCAGAGAGGCCAAACAGGAGCAGAGCTACTGAATCACACTGAGAAAATTAGAGGCACATGAGATTTGAAAGCCTGCCTGCTTGCCTGCCTGCCTGCCTGCCTGCCTGCCAGTGAGATTTCTGGTCATTACCTAGGCCAGAGATCAACACAAGGCAGCCAGGGGCTCTGTGTATATGGCCAACCGAGGAAAGGGTCAGATAAGCCCTTACTGGGCCGTGCTGACAGCACAGTTACTTTTATTCTTTTGTCTCCTCCATCACATCTCCCAAGAGGCCCCTCCCCAGCGTCTTGAAGGAAAGCTGATGTGATGCCTGCTCAGGCTGGAGTTCTCAGCATCAGAGATAACATTTAAAAAGCCAGCAATCTTCACAGGACTATCCTATCTCTCTGCTGCACAACAAGCCCAGGAGTGGGAACCATGAAAGGTTTCCTCCTCCGTTCCACAAGCTAGTCTCAGCAAAGTAGTGAAAGTTCATTCTGTTCATTCAGCTGCCTCAAATTTGACCTGAGGTAAACCCATGTGGGCCATGGAACCAAAGACAGGGAGCAGGAAGACCCAAGAAGGCCTTGCCTACAGGTTTCATGTCCTCTTCAAGCACAGTTCTCCACTCCTACTGCAGCCACCTGCTCAGGGTAGTCATTGCTGTGGCAAACAAAAACTGCCAACCAAAGTCAATAGCCAAACCATCCCTCATTATGACTGATAACTGTCACTGAGCACAGCTTCAGTAGGTGCTTAGTAAATAGGGATGAAGTACTAGGTCAGGCAGAAAAATAATCCCTACAGAACTCCTCAGAAAACTCACCATGTGAATTCTATCCCAATCCCAGGGCATGCTCATCTAACAGTTTTACAGGAACTGATGTCAAGTACTTGGTATTCTCCCTCCCCACCTACTCAATCCAAAGATCAATTCATTGTTATTCATTTGGTCAACAAATATCTACTGGGCACATACTCTCTGACCAGCACTCTCATAGGTACTGAGGATATGTACTACAGCCAACAAACCAGACATGGCTCTTGCCCTTAAGAGACAAGGAAATATTCAAAAATAATAATAATAATAAATAAAGCACAGTTTTAATTTCTTTTTTACTTTTCTTTTCTTTCTTTCTTTACCCTCTCTTATGGTGCTGATAACTCCATTTTTCAAGTGAGGAAACTGTCATTTGACAGTTTGGATCACACTGTCATACTGTCACCAAGAACTCAAACCAATGCCCAGTGCTCTTAGGTACTGGCTTGCTGTAAAAGACATATCTTGAGAGGCCGAGGCAGGCGGATCGCAAGGTCAGGAGTTCAAGACCAGCCTGATCAACATGGTGAAACCCCGTCTCTACTAAATATACAAAAATTAGCTGGGCATGGTGGCACGCACCTGTAATCCCAGCTACTCAGGAGGCTGATGCAGGAGAATCACCGGAACCCAGGAGGCGGAAGTTGCAGTGAGCCAAGATTACGCCACTGCACTCCAGCCAGGGGACAGAGCAAGACTCTGTCACAAAAAAAAAAAAAAAAGACATAGCAAGCTGCCTCTTGTGGCGTAAGCAGGGTGTGAAGTGCACAGAGAGCACTGCAGATAGTAAGTGCTACCAGAGTTTGTTCACAGGTCAGCAGTATCTCACAGCTAGAATTAGTGTCAGGAAAGACTTCATAGAGGACTGGAAGTAGAAATAAAGAAGGACAGGTAATAAAGACATTCTGAAGGAAGTTAAATGACATAAGTAAAAACAAAAGTGAAGCAGTATAAATAAAAGTTTGTTCTGCAGATCAGAACAAAGAAAAATGCTTGGCTTGCCAAGAATGCAGCAAGGGGAACAGAGGGAGATGAAGTGAGTAAAGTGGTCTGGGGCTGGAACTCTGTGTCAGGAAAGCAACCACCACCCATACAGAAATTTTAGAACCTGCACCTTCTCTATTCCATGCTCCCCAGCAGAAAACAAAAGTTTAAGTGCTGTTGGCTCATTTCCGGATTTTTCTTGCATGACTTCTCACACAAAAGAAATCTGCTCCACTCTGATAAACATGACAGGACCACAGCCATCCCTCTTCAAGTCTTGCCTGCTCTAGCAAGTTGTATCAACACAGGCAAAGTTGTCAAATTCTCAATGCCCAGAGAACCTCCCCTTGGCACTTTCCAGGTGGCCACGAGTAACCCCACAAAGTTTTTAATACATTTACCCTGCCTGTGGAGGCCCCAAATCCATAATGGAGCCAGCTGAACAGCTCAGTGGTGAGACATACAACATAAGGCTCTGACCTGTCTCCTTCAGATGCCTATACTGTACATCCCAGCAAACAGATTCCTCATTGCTCTGAACAGATATTGTCAAGAGAGTGGTATAGGGTGCATATATTAGGCACCATAGGAAACAGATATTGCTGGGCTTCTTTTTCTGTGCCTAATAAAAAAGCTTTCTAGCTGGATAGGTCCAAAGAAGCAGCACTTGACATTTGACTTTGTATATCCCTAATTGTACCCAGACCAATTTCGGTGAACATAATATAATATTGTGAACTGCTTCCTGGTTCTCCTCTGTGTAGGTCCCAGACCTCCTAACAACCCAAACAGGCTCCATTAGGGTAGACAGGCTCCACAACAGAGTGAGAACAACATATGAATGAGAATCAGAGAAAATTATATTCTAGCCCTGGCTTACCAAAACCTTGGGTAAGTTTGTTCTTCTGATATGTAAATAAGAAGTTTGGGAGAGATGGTCTCTAAAACCCCTTCCAGCTTTCACATACTAGGATTTCAGTCCTAGCACCTAACACCAATGGCCTAAAAAGTCAGAATGAAGTTTTTCATCTGTCATTGTGAGTCCCAATTCAATGCCATCTACAAATCTAACTCTCAGAAGCCAAGTTGGAGTAGTAAAGGCTCCAAAGTCAGTGGCTGTACAATGGGCTCCAGAATAGAAGGTATGAAACAAAAAAAGTTGGTAGGCAGGACTGCAGCCTAGGATAAAAAGCTAGTTTCTAATTGGAGCCCAGGAGTCCGGGGAGAAGGAAAAAAGGATAGGTCATGTCAAAGCAATGAAGTAATGCATGAACCAAGAGACACAACATAAAAGGGAGTATAAAAAGACTCCACAAGACTCTAGGTCATAAGCAAAGGAAGTCAAAGAAAAACTAAAAGGCCACAGAACCTAGAAGTGATTGTTCCCCAGAGCATGGCCCTTGGGCAATCTCAGAGGCATCCTTTAAGATGATCCCTAGCGGTCCTTGCCCTCCTAGTGTTCATGCCCTTATGTAATTCCCTCACCTTGAGGATGGGCTGGACTTACTAACAAACACAATATAGAAGAAGTGATGGCCTATCAATTCCAAGATTAGATGATAAAAAGATGGAGGTATCTATCTTAGGCACTCTCTCTTGCGCTCTCTTGGACCACTTGTTCTAGGGGAAACCAATCATCATGTCCAGTATAGCCCAGTGTAGAGGCCCATATGGCAAGGAACCAAGGCCTGCCAACAACCATGTGAATTAGCTTAAAAGCAAACACTCTCCCCCCAAATAGAGTCTTCAGCCCCAGCCAACAGTTTGACTGCCATCTCATGAGAGACTCTGAGCCAGAGGTACCCAGTCAAGCTATATCCAGACTCCCGATGCACAGAATCTATGAGATAATAAATACTTATTATTTTAGCCCTCTCTGTTTTGGCATAATTTGTTATACACCAATAAGTAACCAATACAGTGGGGACCAGGCCCATTTGCTCAGCCATTTCAAGACTGCAGGTGAAGCTAGGGAGGTGGTTATACTCAATAAGAGAGTACAGCTGGAGCTGAGGTCAAATATTAGCACCCAGACTTTATTAACAGTCTCCCCATGGCCCACAGTAAGCCTTGAATAAAAGCCTGGTTTGGCCACACCAGAGTTACGCATGATGGCTGGGTATAGCCGAAGTGAGACAATGAAACTACAGCAGCCCTCCTTTATTCTCGGGGGATGCATGCTAAGACTCCCAGCGGATAGCACCAAACCTATACCCACTATGTTTTTTCCTACACATACGTACCTATGATACAGTTTAACTCATAAATTAGTAAGATGTTAACAACAATAACTATTAATAAAGCGGAATAATTGTAACAATATGTCAGCAATCACTCTTGCACTTTGGGGCCATTATGAAGTAAAATAAGGATTACTTGAACGCAAGCACTGTGACACCAAGACAGTCGATCTGATCCCTAAGATGGCTACTAAGTGACTAAAGCACAGGTAGCCTATGGTACACGAATACGCTGGACAAAGGGGTTGATTAACATCCTGGGCAGGACAGAGCAGGACAGCATGAGATTTCATCATGCTACTCAAAATGGTGTGCAATTTAAAACTTATGAATTATTTCTGGAATTTTCCACTTAATATTTTCAGATTTGGCTGGGGCACAGTGGCTCATGCCTGTAATCCCAGCACTTTGGGAAGCCAAGCTGGGAAGATCCCTTGAGTCCAACAGTTCAAGACCAGCCTGGGCAACACGGAAAAACCTCGTCTCTTCAAAAAAATAGAAAAAGTAGCCAGGCATGGTGGCACATGCCTGCAGTCCCAGCTACTTGGGAGGCTGAGGTGGGAGGATCACCTGAGCCCAGGAAGGTCGAGGCAACAGTGAGCCATGATCACACCACTGCAATCCAGCCTAGGTGACAGAGAGACCCTGTCTCAAATACATACACACACACACACACACACACACACACACACACACACACACACACATGCATTGTCTCAAATATATACGTGTGTGGCCAGGCGTGGTGGCTCACGCCTGTAATCCCAACACTTTGGGAGGCTGAGACAGGTGGATTATCTGAGGTCAGGAGTTCAGGACCAGCCTGGCCAACACAGTGAAACCCTGTTTCTACTAAAAAATACAAAAATTAGCCAGGTGTGGTGGCGGGCACCTGTAATCCCAGCTACTTGGGAGGCTGAGACAGAAGAATTGCTTAAACCCAGGAGGTGGAGTTTGCAGTGAGCCGAGATGGCGCCATTGCACTCCAGCCTGGGTGACAAGAGCGAAACTCTACCTCAAAAAAATATGTGTGTGTGTGTGTGTGTGCGTGTGTGTGTGTGTACTTACAGATATACTTATATATGTATAAGTATGTATCTTATACACACATATATACTTTTTTTACCCCCAGACCTCAGTTGACCTCAGGTAACTGAAACCACAGATAAGAGGGGACTACTTGGCTGGGCACGGTGGCTCACGTCTGTAATCCAAACACTTTGGGAGGCCAAGGCGGACAGATCACGAGGTCAGGAGATCGAGACCATCCTGGCTAACACAGTGAAACCCTGCCTCTACTAAAAATACAAAAAATTAGCCGGGTGTGATGGCCAATATGCAGTACTTAAAGGAACCTGCTCGGTCATTCTGATGCATATGCAACTCTGGAGTACAGAAGAGGTAGCACCTCCTGGGATAACCCTTGGCGAGTGAAGGTGAGGTGGTGGATAAATACTCCCCTCCTCTATCACCTGTAGAATGCAATTCTACAGAGCATTCTACAAGGCTTCTCAGAGGGTCTCTAAGTGACACTGAGCCTCAGATGCTCACAGTGGTGTTAGCTCCATAGTACACCTGTCCATTCCCTGTTTCATTCTTCACAACTCCCACCCCTCATTTCTTGAAGTCACTTCTCCGAAATAAACTCTCTGCAAGTTCCTATCCCAGGTCTTACTTTTTAGGGGGAATTTAGGGTAAGACAAGGTCTTGGGATGATTTCCTGCTTTTAGTCCACAATTTTTTTCAAAGTCATTTCAGGGTATTCAATTTATTATTATTTATACTTTGTTGTATATCTTAATATTTCATGATTTTTTTAATCAACAGTAACAACAACAGCAACAACAAAGCTCTGGAGGCCCAGTTTGGTCTCTTTTTTTCTCCCTAAAAGCCTGACAACAACCAAACCTGCTGAGTTTCCCAAAGAATCATTTTCCACAAAGGGAAATGTACCACAGCATGCCCACAAAGCCACTCAGCAATGTATATCAAAGGTTACCCAGCAGGAAACCAGAGGGGCCCCTTGGGTCTGAAACTCAAGTCCTGTAGAGACCTAGGAAACTACTCCCCTCCACAAGATCTCATCACTTCCTTGCCAAAGAGCTGTTCTTAACACGAAGGCCCCATATCCCTAAGGGGCCCATAGATAGAATTCAGGAGGCCTGTGAATTTGGATGGGAATGAAATTACATCTTTGTTTTCAATATTCTCTTACTGAAAGTTAGCATTTCCTTCAATTACATATGGAGCAACCAACCACAATAATATTAGCAATAACTGTGATTTTGTCATCAATAGAAATCAACAGATGTTTTCATATCACATTACATTGCTACAGATATCTCAAAGTATTATTTACACTCATCATTACTTCTAAATTACGGTAAAAAATAGAGGCCAGGCGCGGTGGCTCACGCCTGTAATCCCACACTTTGGGAGGCCGAGGCAGGCAGATCACGAAGTCAGGAGATCAAGACCATCCTGGCTAACAAGGTGAAACCCTGTCTCTACTAAAAATACAAAACAATTAGCCAGGCGTGGTGGCGGATGCCTGTAGTCCCAGCCACTTGGGAGGCTGAGGCAGGAGAATGGCATGAACCTGGGAGGTGGAGCTTGCAGTGAGCTGAGATCGGGCCACTGCACTCCAGCCTGGGCAACAGAGCAAGACTCCATCTCAAAAAAAAAAAAAAAATAGAACCACTACTAGATCACACATGACTGCAATCTTCCTACCTATGGGTGCTCATGTGAGGTAGCTAGCCAACAATGAAGCAACTCTGCCTAATGATCATCCAGCTACCAAACAGTGAAACCAGATATTTACAATGCCTCCTTTCCTCCAACCTCCCCAAGTCAGACTACTCTCTCCTGTTCTCTTCTGCCTCCACCCAACCCCTCCTTTCCAGGAAGCCCTCTGCAGCCACCTAGTCTAGCCCAGCCCACACAGATCGCTTTTAACCCTTAGCCTACAATGTCTATACTGCCTGATTTTGCACATCATTAAGCCTGTACATTATGTTGTATTTAATATTCCCTAAATACATGTGGCCCTACAAAACGTAGACTTCTTCAGTAGCCCTAAGTTCCTTCCACAGTGAAAAGCAAGCAGTGAGCACCCATTATTTTCACTTATAAAATGAAAAACTGATTTAAGTTAAGGTCCCTGACTCAAATTTCCTAGTCTAGTTCTACTAATAACCCACCATGAAACCTCTAATGCCTCTCTGGATGCCAGTTTCCTCATATGTAAAAATAGGTGGGATGAACTAACTGATGTTTCTATCTCGTAACCTTTGAATTAGGCAGCCGCTTTTCATCTCAAGATCTGAGAAAAATTACAAAGAAACTGTAAGGCCTCCCCCAGCTCTCCCAGGCAGGGTTAGTCACTTACTCCTCTGGGCTTCCCACAGCTTTCTGCATGTATATATAATACCTCTATTGCAGATTTATCACAAAGTTTTGAGAGTGGCTAAAGTAGAGGTAGAGAGAAGAATCAGACTGCCTGGATTCAAACTCTGGCTTCCTTGTTATCTGTGTAAACATGGGCAAGTTATTTAACCTCTCTATGATTTAATTTTCTCATCTATAAAATGGGGACAATATAACACAGGATGGTAATAAGAATTTAATAAAACAAAATGTTTAAATAGTGCCTGACATATAGTAAGCTCTAAAAAAGTTAGTTGCTATTATTATCATTGATGTTATTGTATTAATCTGTCCTACAATTAGGTTCAGGCTTTAACTAGATCTCTGTTCCCCTCTCATTCTCCATGATAGCATCCTGTTTATTTCTTCCATGACATTTTCCACAAGATAATATATTTATTTATGTGTTTATTATCTGTCTCATCAACAAGACTGTAACTTCCATGAGGGAAGGAACATGTCTGTTTTGTTCATCCTTAAATCCCCACAGGAACATATGACCTAGCCCAGAGAAGGCACTCAAATATTAATACTTGTTTAATAAATACCACATGAGCTGGCATTGTTCAATGTTTGCTGAATCAATTAACCTAGCTAAGGGTGATTGTCAAAGCTGAGGCCTGGGAGCAGATTATATCCTGGCTACCCCAGGCTTAGTGTGTCCCTCTCCCCAGGCCCCAGTATTAGCTTCAGCCAAGCCCCACCTACCTGCTCTTGGCCCCAGCCCAGTTCCGGGAGCCACCCTCAGCTAAAATTAGCATAGCTACCAAGATGGCCAGGCCATTTATAGCCTTGGAGGCAGCAGCAACTAGCTGGGGGAGGGAGGCAGGGTTCTGGCCTGCCACTCCATCAGAGGTTGATTGAGAAGCCAGCCTGCACTCTGCACACTGCCTAGATGCCTATCCTCCAAGGCCCTGTCCTAGCTACACTGAACTAAACCACAGTTCCTGATTAGAGGCCCTCAATACCTCCAACACTGGCAGCCATAACTCCAGACTCCACCTGAGGTCCCTCATGCACATTCTACAGAAACCATTGTTGTTTTCTAGAGTCTAAGGACGGTTCCAAGCATCCGTATCAGGCCAGCTTCAGAAACGCAAGCCCCAGAGTAGCACAGGCAGGCACAGATCTTTACTGAGAAAGTGACCTAGCATGGCTGGGTGTACAGGTATTAAAGAGCCAAAGGGTGACAGGAATGGCCTCTCCACGGCCCAGTGAGAGATCCTCCTTGTAGAGCACCTGCCTTCACTGCAGGATCAGGCTTTCATAGTGTTTATTGTATGCATGCTAAAGCCATAAGCATTTTAACTAAATCAATCTTAGGATCAAATATTTTAACTAACTAAAAAGAGACAGATGGGTATATACATCCAAAAGAGAAAAAATCAAATTCTCTGGGCCCCTGCAAAAGACTCTCCAGAGCAGAAAAAAAGTACAGCCCTTTTCTTGGCTCTCAGCTACAGAGTCACCAAGGCCTGCCTAATTGTCAGAAGGAAAGCAACATTCTCCAGCCCTGCCTAGCACTCCTTTAACAGGGCAGGACCTGAGAAGATGGAAGAAATCCAAGACTTAAGCATCAGAAGACCTGCCTATAAGAAAGACCAAGCACAGGACCAGGTTTCTTCACCCATAAAAATGGGGACAATACCACTTGCCCTGCATTGTAACAGGGCTATTGTGAGACTCTGTTGGAAAAACAGCTATGTAATTGTAAAATACAAACTGCAGAGAACACACAAATTGACTGGGTATGTTGAATCTGATTTTTAAAAGTAGTAGTTTTAAGAGCAAGTAAAGCTCCTCCTGTGTTCTGGGGATACAGAGAGGCTGGAAAGGATGCAAGAGTTCCTAGTTGCATAGAAAGTTTCTCTCCAAACTCTTTTGCAGATCCCAGTCTATATGAACCACCTCTTTGCAAAAACAAGTCCCTGACTGAGTCAAAGACAAAACCCCAGGTAGACCCAAGGGGAAAACCTACCACAACAATAGTGCTAGAACCTCCAGGTTTCCACAAACCTTAGGCATTCACAGCACCTAGGGTCTCTCTGAGACTTTCCTCCCTGGAATTCACTATTATTGTGACAACAGAAACCAGTTTCTAAACTGAGCATGAGTAGGCCTAAGTGGTATAATCAGCATAGCCAGGCCTCTGAAATATATGTTGTGTGAAGAATTGTCTCCAAAAGCTCAAGTCATGGGGTGGTCCTGAGGAAGGCTAGAATGCCTTTTACTTCAGGCGAAAAACAAAAAACAAAAAAAAAAAAACCTTCCTAATAGCCAGCCAATGTCTACATTCAAAATTTCATCCCTTTAGCTTATGTCTAAAATATAGAACACCCACTCTCCAAAAAATATTCATCTTATGTCAGGCACTCATATTTTGGAGTGAAAAAAGACATATTATCAGTTATAAATAGGAATGTCACAGGGACAGGAAGAGATGATAATTAGGTCTACTTCACAGTTCAATCTACATTTGCCCACTAGTCTTTCCCTTCATAGCCCAATAAGAACCAAGCTTTCAGCCAGGTCTCAAAGGTCAAGGAGACTCTCTATGGAGAGACAGGATTAATAGGCAAAAAGGATCTATCTAGAAAGCAACAGCCAGGTATCCTACTTACACATGGGCAACCCTGGCCTCATTTGGAAACCAGACCTCTTGGAACATCTGGAACTTAAAAGGGTATTGCCCAATAAAGGGTCTACCACCAAAGCCAGCTTCTGGATCCATCCATGAAACTCCCCAGCCACCATGACCTATATTTCCTTTTCTGACTTGTATCAGCAGGTGCCCACTGAGCCATTCCCTCATTTGAACTTGCTTATGCTCAGAAACAACTCATCTATAAACTCTCCCCACACTGCAGGTCACAGCTTTGGGCAGATCACAGCCAAAGGGTGAGAGAAATGGGAAAAGAGAACTGATCTCGTAAGCCTTATGTAAAATGACTGGATTTTAATAGAGTTCCTTGATGGGTACAGTGGCTCACACCTGTAATCCCAGCACTTTGGGAGGGATCCCTGCACAACACAGAGAGACAGTGTCTGTTCAAAAAATTAAAAATAGAAAGAAAAAAAAAGTTAGCCAGGCCCAGTGGCTCTTGTGTTTAGTCCCAGCTACCGGGAGGCTGAGGCAGGAGGATCACTTGAACCCAGGAGTTTGAGGCTGTAGTGAGCTGTGATCACACTACTGCATTCCAGCTTGGACGACAGATCAAGACCCTGTCTCAAAAAAACAAAACAAAACATAAAAGTGTTCCTTTCTACTGCAAAAGTATACCAGGGCTCCTGCTGCCTGATAAGCCTTCACAACTGCATAGGAAAAACCATGACAGATCAAAAGTAGCATGGTTTCCCTAGCAAGCAGACTCAGGGAAAAAAAAAAAAAAACAAAAAAAAAAACCTGTAGCATGGAATTCCCACCCTCATCAGTCAGAAGAAACAGAATAAGTCAACAAGTGGTCCCAGGAATTATATCATGTCTATGTCAAGAAAAGGCCATTTAACACCCTAGTTGTAAATAGGATTCCATCTAAGAAACCGCCTGGATATTTCAAATGCGCACAGCAAAGAGACAAGACTACCTAAGGGAAGGGTGGGACTAGGGTTCCCACGGTTGTTGGAATAGGCACACCTGAACACCAGGCTTTCAGGCAACAGAGGTGGCCCAGCCTTAACTTTCCCTTTCCAACATAAGTGGCCCCAACCTCCCCCATGCTGCTCAGTACTAAAACCGAATAGGAGCAATGAACTTATCATCTCACCAGGCCATTCTTCCAGACAAGTAGGCCTAAGATGGGGTCTTTCCTTGCTGATCTAAAAGGTCAAGTTGCCCCAAAGGCTTCTTCTTACTGCCAACAAAAAAAATCCTGAGTGCGGGGGATGAGGAAAGTTGTTCAGGAAAGATACAGGCATTTGCCATGACTACTGACCAGAAAGAACTTCTTGAACTACTTGGAACAGGCAGTGCCATGTGTGAATCCTCCATGAACCTCACATGTACAAACCTAGATTTCAACTTGCC
The DNA here is from genome assembly GCF_000001405.40 of Homo sapiens. NCBI lineage: Eukaryota > Metazoa > Chordata > Mammalia > Primates > Hominidae > Homo > Homo sapiens. The sequence continues at coordinate 3,856,474 of NC_000011.10, read as the reverse complement.
CACTTCGGGCCACTCAGTCCTGAGCCAAAGCCTCCAGCCCAGTCCAGCCCGCAGCAAGGCCTTACCTGCTGCAGTGGACTCCTCAGAGTTGGCCCCCGAGCTGGTTCCTGTCGCCTTCTCACTGTGACTATGGCTGAGGCTCTGGCCCTGGTGCAGGAGGAGTCCCCAGAGGAGCCACAGGGCAAGACGGACGCATACATCCATGACTCTAGGTCTCAGTCAACATGCGTCTGATGTGGACACCTCGGGATCCCAGAGGCAAAGCCAGGAGCCCGGGAGTGCAGCCGACGGTCTCCAGGCAAGATGCCCTCGCGGCTCCGCAGCTGTCCAGCCACCCGCGAGCCTGCCCCCTCCAACAGCCAAAGGTCAAGTGCTCCAAGTTTGGGTGCGGGAGGAGGGCTGGCTCCTCAGGTCCAACAGTGGGTCCGCCGGGGCTGCGGCGGCCTGAGCTCGTGCCGCTTCCGGAGACTTCGGGCAGGGTGGCTGCGGGGCTGCTGTCAGCTCCGCAGATTACTACACCCCTGCGGAAGGGGGCGGCCGGAGTCTCCGCGGGCACAGAAGTGGAGGAGGAAGAGAAGAGAAGAGAAGAGAGGCGAGAAGGGGGCACCTGACCTCGCCCTGCCGAAGAGCGGCGAGCAGCAGAAGCTGGGGAGGGCGTGCGACCCGCAGGGTCCTGAGGGCGCGGGCGTCTCCGGGATCCTGGGCCTCCTAGGCCGAGGTCAGCGCCCCCGCCCAGTCCCGTGCCCAGGCGGCTGGCGGTGCCCAGGTCCAGCAGGCGGACGCACACCGGCCAGGCCCAGGACAGCGGCTTCCAGGCGGGCGGGCGGCGCGGGGCGGGCCCGGGGCGGGCGGGGGCGTGCGTCTCCGCGCCCGCCCCGCGCCGCCCGGTCCCCAGCGAAGCCCGGGCCAGCCCCAGCGCCCAGCTGGATCCCGGAATAACCGGTGAAGACGGCTCCCCGGAATCCCCGCCCCTAGCGGGCTCTCCCGGACCCCCGGCCCGCGCTAGTCTTTGCCAGGATCCCGCGCAAAGGATCAAGTCCCAGCTTCCCTTTCCCCACCGAGAGTCTCCAGCGCCAACCGCGGGCCGTCGGGCGGGTCCCTGACCCGCAGTTACTCAGGTAACTCAGGCCTGCGGCGGCGGCGACAGCAGCTGCCCTGCCCCGATCTCCGGGCCTTGGTGCTGCTCCACTCGCCTCAGTTCTAGAGCTGTCTAAACAGAGGCCCAGGACACGACGTTAGCCTCCCAGGAGCTGCCTGAGGCGACAACAGCCTGACCCGGCTCGGCCCGGGGGCGAGCTCCCAGCCCCCAACTCCCGGCCAGTTCCCAGGCTCCGCCCTCGCGCCTCGCCTGACAACCAATCGGCTTCCGCCTCTCTGCGGCTTGGGAACCCGCGCGCTTCGTCGCCCATGCGCAGCGGCCCCTGGTGGGAAAATCAGCAAACTGCAGACAGGACTCGGCGCTCCTGGGAGGGCCTGCTCTTTTGCAGAGGGTTGCCGAGTGAAGCTAAGACCCGCCCCGGGGGAGGCCCACGAGGGCCACTGGGGCCTGCGAGTGTTTTCTGAGGAAATGATGATGCCAGAAAGCAAAATGAAATGTCCAAACCACTCTAGCTAAAATTCCCCTACACATTCCTTGAGTCTGGGCTAAAGGGTGCCATCTGCTTTCCCGACCCCGCCTCCCTTCCCCTCCAAGCTAAGTGGGATGCCCTCCCTTAGCTCTCACAGCCCTTTTTCCTACCTGCCCTCAAGCTCTCAGCCCTTTAAGGTTTTTCGGTGGGGCCTGTAAATGCTTCCTCCCTGCATCTCATTCTCCCAGCTACCTCTCTGGTGGAGGAGGTGTCAGCGACTTGAGAATGAGTGCGCCAAAGAAGACAGAGCCACGCCTGAGCCTCCTTCAACAAAGCCTGCACTTCCTGTTCTCTTCTCAAGCGTGCTGTCAGCAGATCTTGACTGAAACCTCTGTGCCCTACCCTGTCCTTGGCACCAGACGCAGGGGAAAGGATCAGGCCCAGTCCCTCCTCTGACTGACAGTGCTAAACCAGCTACCTGTTCTGAGCAAGGCCCCTGAAGACTGGGAACACGAATTTGCCCAACAGCTGCCTGGCTTAAGGGTTAGGCCGTTGATATAAAAATACATGGCTAATGTAACCTACTACCACTCTCCCGGCTCTGTTAAGCTCCTGTCACACTAGCCTTCGTTAAGTTCCTAACCACGTCAAACTCAGCCACCTCACAGCCTTTGTATCTGCTGTTGCTTCTGCATGAAACACTCTCGCCTGCTCCCAGTTCCTCATGTAGCTGGTCTCTTACTCTTCCAGATACAGCTCAATGTGTCTCCTTAGAAACTTTTACTCTGCCCACCCCTTCAAAATCAGTCTGTGGCCAAAATTGGACCATTACATCTGTCTGCCCCTCCCCCAACAGATAGTGATTGCCACTTTTCAGGTCAGAGACTGTGCCTTATTCATCTCTGTGACACTAGGACCCAGCCATAGACCCTGCACATAGTAAGTTCTCTGTAAAAGCTGGATTACATGAGTTAATTCACTTGAACACTCAGATACTAAAAACTAATACCGGAATATTGGAAAATTGACCAGAACAGTTGAAACCCTACCTAGGTTCTCCTAGACCTATTCTCTGAGCCAGGGGTCTTAAATTCAAATGGCAAAATGGGCAGGTAGGTAATTCAATTAAGAAAAGTAGGTAGGAGTAATACGGAGTGGTGGGGACTGTGGAGAGCAGGCAGAAAGATGGGCCTAGTATTGCTGGAGTGTCATTAAGAGAAGATGGGGCTGGGTGCAGTGACTCATATCTCTAATCCCAGCACTCTGGGAGGCCAAAGTGGGAGGATTACTTGAGCCCATGAGTTCAAGACCAGCCTGGGAAACACAGTGGGACCCCCATCTCTACAAAAAAAATTTTTTTAATTAGCCATGAGTGGTATCTGGCTTCTGTGGTCCCAGCTACTCAGCAGGCTGAGGGGGGATGATCGCTTAAATCCAGGAGCTCAAGGCTGCAGTGAGCCATGATCACACCATTGCACTCCAGCCTGGGCAACAGAGCAAGACCCTGTCTCAATTAAAAAAAAAAAAAAAGAGAGAGAGAGAAGATGGAAATCTGGACTTTCATATGACATATCCTTTTTAAAAAAATATTAGCAATTCGTTTAAAAGGATAAAACCTTATATAGGCCACAGAAAACATGTCTGCAGCCCAGATTAATCACTCAGACTGACAGTTGATCATTTCTACCTAAGCCAGCTCTCCTGCCTGTGCACTCATTTGCCTAAGAGAACATGAAAGAAATGAGCAAAGTAAAGCATGTTTAACACAATTTCCTTCAAACTCGACTACAGCATTTCTTTTCACCACCATATGATTTCTTCGGGGTTATGGGTGCTTATCTATTTGGTACAACAAACAGATCTTGGAGGCAGGAAGCCAGGGTCTGTTACCAATTTACACCAAGACCTTAAACCTCTTGGAAGCTGTCGAATTTCCTGTGACGCTAAAATGGTGTCTAAGAACTAACAATAGTTACTATGATGCACCAATTTCAATGGTGGGTGTACACCCAGAAAATGTAAGCAGGGTCTTGAAAATTGTACACCCATGTTCATAACAGCATTATTCACAACAGCCACAAGGTGAAAGCAACCGAAGTTGTTCATGGATAGATGAATGGATAAACAAAATATGGTACATACGTACAATTAAATAGTACACAGCCTTAAGCAAGAAGGAAATCCTGACCATGCTACAACATGGATGAACCTTGAAGACAGCCAGCTAAGTGAAATAAGCCAGTCACAAAAGGATAAACACTGTGATTTCATTTATATGAATGTACCTAAAACAGTCAAATTCATAGAGACAGAAAGTAGAGTAGTGGTTGCCAGAGACTGGGGAGAGGGGAAAGCTGGGAATAGTTTCAATTTTACAAGATGAAAAAAGTTTTGGAGATTGGCTGCACAACAATGCGAATGTACCTAACATGACTAAACTGTACACTTAAAAATGATTAACATGAGGCCGGGCGCGGTGGCTCACGCCTGTAATCCCAGCACTTTAAGAGGCCAAGGCAGGCAGATCACGAGGTCAGGAGATCGAGACCATCCTGGCTAACACGGTGAAATCCTGTCTCTACTAAAAATACAAAAAATTAGCCGGGCATGGTGGCGGGCACCTGTAGTCCCAGCTAATCAGGAGGCTGAGGCAGGAGAATGGCATGAACTTGGAAGGTGGAGCTTGCAGTGAGCCGAGATCGCGCCACTGCACTCCAGCCTGGGCAACAGAGCAAGACTCTGTCTCAAAAAAAAAAAAAAAAAAATTAAGCTGGCAAAATGTATGTTATGTATTTTTTAACCACAATTAAAAATACAAATAAATGACCAGGCGCCGTGGCTCACACCTGTAATCCCAACACTTTGGGAGGCCAAGGCCGGCAGATCACTTGAGGTCAGTGATTTGAAAACAGCCTGGCCAACATGATGAAACCCCGTATCTACTAAGAATACAAAAATTAGCTGGGCGTGGTGGCGTGTGCCTGTAACCCCAGTTACTCAGGAGGCTGAGGCAGGAGAATCACTTGAATCTGGGAGGCAGAGGTTGCAGTGAGCCAAGATCACGCCACCGGACTCCAGCGTGGGTGACAAAGTGAGACTCCATCTCAAAAATAAAATAAAATAACAAATAAATGGTACCTGGGAGCCAAAGCCACAGCCTGGGCAACAGGAAGAAACTTCTGGTGTCTTCTCTGCCTCCAAGATCACGATGTGACACTAGAAAAGTCAGTTCCCCTCTGAATTTCAGTCTCCCCAACTATAAACTGGTCAGCTACCAGATTATTGACCCAGTGCAGCTTTAATATTCTACAAAATAAAAAAATTCTGAAACCTGATCAGAATCTGTGACCCTCATCTCTATAAGCCCCTATGCTTCGTCCTTCTAAAAGTGTGACCCTTGCAAGAACCCAGGTATGTACTAGGGCTCACACCTAAAATCCTAGCACTTTGGGAGGCTGAGATGGGAGGATCACTAGAGCCCAGGAGTTTGAGACCAGCCTAGGCAACATAGTGAGACTCTGTCTCTACAAAAAAATACAAACATTAACTTGGCATGGTGGTGTGTCCCCGTAGTCCCAGCTACTCAGGGGGCTGAGCCAGGAGGATGGCTTGAGCCCAGGAGGTCGAGGCTGCAGTGAGCTGTGATTGCCACTGCACTCCAGCCCAGGTGATAGAGCAAAAATCTGTTTAAAAAAAAAAAAAAAGAAAGGACCCCCTCAACATATTGTAAGCTTCAGGAGGAAACAGAGAGCTTTCTCCCCATCTCTCTTTTTATACCTATGCAGTATATCTCCCTTGCATTAATCTTAGGGCCTTGCTTAGATGTTCTGAAGATGTTGGCTAAATCAAATTGGATTAACTAATTCTTATGCCTCTATTCCACTGTTTGCAAGAGTTTTCACATGTATTATCTCATCTCTTCCTCACAGAAGCTCTGCTAGATAAAACAGGGGCTACACGGTGGTCCCCATGTTGACCTGAGGTCAACTTCTGTCCAAAAATAGGTGACTATGGGGTTCGGGTGCAGTGGCTCACACCTGTAATCCCAGCACTTTGGGATGCCGAGGAGGGCAGATCACCTGAGGTCAGGTGTTCAAGACCAGCCTGGCCAACATGGTGAAACCTGGTCTCTACTAAAAATATAAAAATCAGCAGGGTGTGGTGGCACGTGCCTGTAATCCCAGCTACTCGGGAGGCTGAGGCAGGAGAATCGCTTGAACCCAGAAGGCAGAGGTTGCAGAGAGCCAAGATTGCACCACTGCATTCCAGCCTTGGTGACAGAGCGAGCCATCTCAAAAAAAAAAAAAAAAAAAACCTGGGGGGTGAGTATGGTACAATAAGATATTTTGACAGAGAGAGGAGAGAGAGAGACCACAATTGATCTATTTTATTATTAGTTATTTTTGTTCATCTCTTACTGTGTACAATTTATAAATTAAGCTTTATCATAGGTATGTGTATAGGAAAACAATATATATAGAGTTTGATACTATATGCAGTTTCACGCATCCACTGGGGTCTTGGAATACATTCTCCATGGATAAGAGGGGACTACTTTACTCATTTTAAAGATGAAGAAACTGAGGCTCAGGAGATAAAGTGGTAGGTGAGAGCCAAGCTTGCTTTCTTCTTTGGGATTCCCTCCCCATCCTTCAAGTCTCAGCTCAAATGAAATAAAAGCATCCATGCCCTGACCAGTGATGTTACCTTACCATAAATCAAGGGTTATGATTTTTAGCAAAACTCAAAAGCTCCACCCCACTTTAACACCTTGCCTGACTTGCCCTGTCTCTTCAGTCTTCTTCTATACCTTAGAGTACTTATGTAATTTGATTATGATTTTTTTTTTTTTTTTTGAGACAGGGTCTTTCTCTGTTACTCAGGCTGGAGTGCAGTAGTATGATCATGGCTTACTACAGCCTTAACCTCCTGGACTTAAGTGAGTTTTATTTTTTGAATAGGAATATTCTTTTTTATTTATTTATTTATTTATTTATTTTTAGAGACAGGTTCTCACTCTGTTGCCCAGGCTAAAGTGCAGTGGTGCAATTATAGTTCACTGCAGCATTGAATTCCTGGACTCGAGAGATCCTCCCACCTCAGTCTCCCGAGTAGCTGCGTCTACAGGCACATGCCACCATGCGCAGCTGAATTATGATTATTTAATAAGCGTATATCTTCTACATTAGCCTCTGAGCTCATCAAGGGCTGCATTTTATCCATCTTTATATTTTCACAGTCTAGGTTGCCCATTACATAGCTGGTACTCAATAAACGTTTCGCTAAGTGAATAAATGAATGATGTGTGTTCTGTACAGCAGCATAACTGTCCTTTCTTCACACCGCAGAGTTTCTGGTTACCAATAGCTTTCATTCAGAAAATGAGGGAGACTTTGCTAGAAATAATAATTGAGAGTCCAAAATCTGCTCAGAAAAATTTAGGAATCCCCTAGTTTGGGTTGCATTATTAGTAGCGCTCCCTGGTGTCCAAAAATGGAAAGTATAGCTATCGCTGAGAAATTGCCCAAGGTCTGGGTGGGTAGAGAGTGAGGAGAGACCTTAGCTTCTAGCAACAGCTTTTCCTAGGCTAGTTTCACACAGAGAATCATCTCCTCATTCAGAGTGAGTTCTAGAATCTTGCTTGCAATGTTCATTCATTCATTTAACACCTACTGAGCACCTATTTGTAACAACTTAGTTCCTACTCTCAAAGAGGTCCATTTTTACGGGGAAAAAAATGGGGTGAGTGTGTGTGTGTGTGTGTGTGTGTGTGTGTGTGTGTGTGTAGAGATAATTAGTACATGTCAATATGTCTCGAGAGGGATTGGTACAGGAATAGGTGAGGGAGCACAGAGGAAGGACAAGTAACAGTCTAAAGCAGTCAGGCTGTGCAGACTCACAGATTGGGGTGTGTGGGTGAGTAAGTGGGGTTCTAGGATCAGACTGCCTAGATTCACATCCAAGCAATGCTGTGTGACTCTGGGCCAGTTACTCAATCTCTCTGACCTCCGATTCCTCCATCTGAAAAAAGTAGGATCCTGTAAGGCTTAGATGAGTTCATAAGTGTAAAACAATTGGCACAGTGCTTCGCGTAGAGTAATGTGCTCAAAAATGTTGGCTCTTATTCTGCAAGGAATTTCAGAGCCGTTAAAGAATTACACCAAGATCAGGTAACTGTGATTTGCAGAAATTATTCTGGCAATAGTGCTGAGAAAGTATTGGAAAAGGTAGAAGCTGGAAACAAGTGACATGGTCTGACAGACCTGTACTGATAACCCAGCTCACCGCTGTGTGACCTTGGACAAGACCTGAAGTCTAATTTGGACAATAATGACGGGAATAGAAAAGTGTTCAGATTTGCGAAATATTTGGTGATTGATTAGATGACCAGGTGAGCAGGCAAGACAGATCAAGTTTAAATAATAGCTGTGGTTTTGGAAGATACTATTGTCTGCTAGATATTATGCTAAACGTGCTACATTCAATCATTCATTCAACCAATATTTACTGAGCAAAGTATTTTCATACCAGGCACTGTTCTAGGCACTAGGAATATAGCACTAAGTAAAACAAGCAAAACTTCTTGCCCTCCTGGAGCTTACATGTTATCTCATATAATGAATATCCATAGCAATCCTGAGGTGTAACACAATTTAGATTCATCTTACAAAGGAAATTAAAACTGACACGTTCAATTTTGCTATCTGTGAGGTTTTTTGTTTTGTTTTGTGTTGTTTTTGTTTTTGCTTTTGCTATTGACAGAGTCTTGCTCTATCACCCAGGCTGAAGTGAAATTGCATGATCTTGGCTCACTGCAACCTCCACCTCCCTGGTTCAAGTAATTCTCCTGCCTCAGCCTCCGAGTAGCTGGAATTACAGGTGCACACCACCATGCCCGGCTAATTTTTGTACTTTTTGTTTTAGTAGAAACAAGATTTCACCATACTGGTCAGGCTGATCTTGAACTCCTGACCTCAGGTGATCCACCCACCTCGGCCTCCCAAAATGCTGGGATTACAGGCGTGAGCCACCTCACCTGGCCTATCTGTGAGTATTCTTATCTGTAAAATTGAAATAATATTACCTGCCTTATAGACTTGTTATATTTATTGAGTTAATACGTGTAAAGCATATGTAAAACATATCTAAGTTGTTTTCCTAAATTATTATTCAGCAACTTCTCCAGGATCACACAGCAAGTAAATGGCAAAGATGAGAATTGGGGAAAATTTCCCCAGGGAATCCCGAATCAACTGGGCAGCTATAGTTGGGTTGCTCTTAGAATACCAGGACTGAGGAAGGAGAACTTTCCCAGAGGGGCATTATGCCAGATGATGTGGGTACTACCACTGGGCTTAGAAAATGTCAAAGATGCAAAGCTGTCCTGGAGGCTAACGGGACAACTATTGTTCTGCCTGCCTGGGAGAAGGGACCCTCTTGGAAAATAGGGCATGGCCATTGTCCACACACCCTTCATCCATTTAGTTCCTTGAGAGAGTCAAGAACAAAAGATTGGCCAGATGTGGTGGCTCACGCCTGTAATCCCAGCACTTTGGGAGGCTGAGGCAGGCAGATCACTTGAGGTCAAGAGTTCAAGACCAGCCTGGCCAACATGGTGAAACCCCATCTCTACTAAAAATACAAAAATTAGCCGTCGTGGTGGTGCTCGTCTGTAGTCCCAGCTACTCGGGAGGCTGAGGCAGGAGAATGGCTTGAACCTGGGAGGTGGAGGTTGCAGTGAGTCGAGACTGCGCCACTGCACTCCAGCCTAGGCGACAGAGCATGACTCCATCTCCAAAACAAAAGAAAAAAAATAAAAAAAGAAAAAAGATCAGAGGTTGTGACTCTAGAACTTTGTTTAATTTGTCACCTCTTTTTAGTTCTTTCTGCTGTCTCCTGTCTGGCCCATCAAAGCCCACAAAATGGGATATTGGACTTGTTTTGGGGGGCAGCAATAAAGAGGAGTAATGAAAAGGAGGCCAGTCACAGGGGCTCATGCCTGTAATCCCAGCACTTTGGGAGGCCGAAGCAGGTGGATCACTTGAGGTTAGGAGTTCAAGACCAGCCTTGCCAACATGGTGAAACCCCATCTCTACTAAAAATACAAAAAAGTAGCCAGGCGGGTGGCAGGCAACTGTAATCTCAGCTACTTAGGAGGTTGAGGTAGGAGGATCGTTGGAACCCGGGAGGTGGAGGCTGCAGTGAGCTGAGATCGTGCCATTGCACTCCAACCTGGGCTACAGGCCAAAATTCCATCTCAAAAAATAAAAAATAAAATAAAGGCCACGCACGGTGGCTCACGCCTGTAATCCCAGCACTTTGGGAGGCCCAGGTGGGCGGATCACCTGAGGTCGGGAGTTCGAGACCAGCCTGGCCAACATGGTGAAACCCTGTCTCTACTAAAAATAGAAAAAGTTAGCTGGGCGTGGTGGTGCATGCCTGTAATTCCAGCTAATCAGGAGGCTGAGGCAGGAGAATTGCTTGAATCTAGGAGGCAGAGGTTGCAGTGAGCAGAGATCGTGCCACAGCACTCCAGCCTGGGTGACTCTGTCTCAAAAAAAAAAAAGAAATAATGAAGAGGAAACTGTGTTCTACTCCTGAGGCTGGCTGAGAGAGGGAAGACCAAAGGATCAAGAGGAGCCCCAAGAAGGCTGAGTCCCCTGGAGCCACAGCAGAGGCAAAAGAGAATTCAGATTTAAGGGTAACCTAAAGGGGCTGGGACTGGGGCTAAGCCAAGACCCCTGTGGATCACTGGTGAGCTCCTGGAGCTGGAGTTCAGTGAGGAATAGGCTGGGAAGACCCCTTTGGAATCCTCAGGGCACTGGTGAGATCAGTTCAGGGCCTTTCTCCTCTCACTCTCTGTCCCCTCCTCTCTCAGGGAAACTAGTCAGCTTTAGCATTTTGACATTGAGAGAGAGGGAAGAATTAACCAAGGGCGGGGGGATACCTGAAAACATCAAGGGAGTGTGGAGAAATTAACTAATGTTTATTTGCTGTACCCTAGGGCAATTTACGAGGGCTCCACATGCATTATGTCGTTTAATACTCACAATCTCATGCAGCACTTGCCAGTCCCATTTTATTGTTTTTTATTTGTTAGTTTTTAGAGACAGGATCTCACTCTGTCACCCAGACTGTAGTGCAGTGGCATGATCATAGCTCTCTGCAACCTCAAACACCTAGACTCAAGTGATCCTCCCACCTCAGCCTAGCAAGTAACTGGGACTACAGGCATGTGCCACTATGCCCAGCTAATTTTTGTGTGTGTATGCAGATGGGGTCTTGCTATGATTGCCTAGGCTGGTTACAAATTCCTGGGCTCAAGTGATTGTCCCACCTTGGCCTCTCAAAGTGCTAGGAATAGAGGCATGAGCCACCACGCCCAGCCATTCCCATTTTAAAATGAAACTAAGACTGAGAAGTTGGCTCTGTTATATGCTCTTACAGTATTCTGTACTTTTTTTTCTGGAGAAATGTTCTTGCTATGTTGCCCAGGCTGGTCTGAAACTCTTGGGCTCAAGCAATCTTCCTGCCTTATCCCCCTGAGGAACTAGAACTGGAGACAAACACCACCATGCCCAGCAGCACTCTACTTTTGTATGATTACCTGTTTAAGGTCTATCTCCCTTACCAGTTATATCAGGGCAGTTTTCTCTACTTCATGATTGGCATGTAACACTATGTCTGGCACCAAGAAGATTTTCAATAAATATACATTGAATATTTATGAATATGGGAGATCTCATATGACTAATCAAAGGCCATACTGTGTTACAACCATCCTAATCTGTCTCCAAAACCTGTCTGTGATCTCTATTCTACCCCACCAAGTGCTTTCATATTATCTCACTTCTAAATGTCCAGGTTCAATGTCCTTGTCTCTCAGCTGCTTGTAAGCATACATGCACACCACCTACCAAGAACTCACCTATTCAGGGAAAGCTAGTGAGAGAGTAGAAAAAAGAAACAGCCCATTTGGGATTGTGCCCTCTTCCTACCCTCTTCAAGTCAGCATTTCTCCTCCTTCAAGAAGCCTTTACGGACAGCTCCACCTGTCCACCTGCTTCCCTTTCCTCTGGCCCTTCCCATACCTGTGCCACAAAAGTGTTTCCAAGTTACCTGGAGTCTGATTGTTCTACACATATTAGTACTTTATTAAAGCAATTTAACATTATGGATGTTTAGTGAAGGCAAATGTGTGCTCAGGCCTGCCTCTGTCAGGCCCAGTGGGTGGACACAGAAATGAATCAGACGCAACCTCAAAGGACTTATAGTCAGTGGGGGAGACAGATATTAGGCACAGATGCAATTTACTAGAGCACAAAGCATGATGACCTAAATGGTATTAAAGAACTATGAGCAACATGCTATATGCATAAACCTTAATTATTATTCTGAAGAGTGTATCATAGAAGATGAGAGCTCAAAGGTATCATCTAGTTCAACCTCTGTTTTCCAGTGGAAGAGTTTGAGACAGAGAAGGGTGGGGCCTAGCCTAAAATCTCAATCTGTCTGTCTGAGCCAAGACAGACTTCAAGTTTGTTTGTGGTTTTTTTTTTTTTGTTTTTTGTTTTTTGAGATGGAGTCTCGCTCCGTCGCCAAGCTGAAGTGCAGTGGCGCGATTTCGGCTCACTGCAACCTCCGCCTCCTAGGTTCAAGTGATTCTCCTGCCTCAGCCTCCCGAGTAGCTGGGGTTACAGCCATGCACCATCACACCCAGCTAATTTTTGTATTTTTAGTAGAGACGGGGTTTCACCATGTTGGCCAGGATAGTCTCGATCTTCTGACCCCATGATCCGCCTGCCTCAGCCTCCCAAAGTGCTAAGATTACAGGCGTGAGCCATTGTGCCAGGCCAGACTTGAAGGTTTTCTAAAGCCCAGCCTTGGACTTTTTCCTCCTCTTCTGATAGCTTCATATGCAAAGTCCTATACTTCATCAGACCATGAGATCTTTGAGGCTGGATCAGGTTCTCCCTCCTAAACCAGGGCTAGGCAAGCCCAAGACACTTACAGGCTCAGGAAATGCAATCTGATCCCAGGCTGCCAATCCAGTCTTTCAATCTGCAGCACCTAATGTGCTCCCTACTCTTATCACTATGTCCTTAAATTGATTTTCAAATATTTTTTGCAGGAAACTTAAAAACAAAATTAAACTCTCTATGCAGAATACTAGTAAATAAATCAGATAAAAAGCAAACCTTCTCTGGTTGAAGGGGAGAGAGTCCATAGCTCCACTGTTTTTCCTGTTCTTAAGTCCTGGGAAGGGAATTCTAGGAACACATATCAGAAACATTTCTTCTGGAGCTGGATGTGGTGGTGTGTGCCTGTAGTCCTAGCTACTTGAAAGGCTGAGGTGGGAGGATGACTCGAGCCCAGGAGTTCCAGGACAGCCTAGGCAACATAGTGAGAGTCCCATCTAAAAAAAAACAACAAACAAACCAGAAAAAACTTTTGTGCTGGGACATAATCTTTAATGGCGTCATAGAAGCTGCTTTAGCGTATGGTGTTCCTCTGAACCCTGTCATTTCTGGGGCTCACAATCCTTTCTTTATTCATGAAATACCAAGCACCCCAATGTCAAGTGGTCCCAATGGTGTATGGATGGGAATGAGAATTTCCCCTTGTGCCTCCTGCTCTCATGTCCTCCACAAAGAGGAGTTTGTCTGAAGGGCTACAGGGACCAGACCGAAGAGGAGACAAGAGACCCAAACACTGCCTGGCAGGTCAGGGGAGGCTTCTAGAGAAGGATCTTTGAGAAAGACTTCATCCACACAGTCATTCACCAGCCTGAATCTGATAAAGCCTCTGTTTTTGAGGATGATACAGTAGCCACCAGCTACACATGCTATTGACCACTTGAAATGTTTCCAGCCAAATTGAGACAAATTGTAAGTATAAAATACACACCGCATTTCAAAGACTTGGTACAAGAAAAGAATGCAAAATATCCAGTTAATTTTTATAACCAGTAATTTTTATGTTGATTACCATGCTAAAAGATAATATTTTGAGGCCGGGCGCAGTGGCTCATGCCTGTAATCCCAGCACTTTGGGAGGTTGAGGCGGGCAGATCACGAGGTGAGGAGTTCAAGACCAGCCTGGCCAACATGGTGAAATCCTATCTCCATTAAAAATACAAATATAAGCCAGGCATGGTGGCACGTGCCTGTAATCCCAGCTACTTGGGAGACTGAGGCAGGAGAATCATTTGAACCCAGGAGGCGGAGGTTGCAGTGAGCAGAGACCGCGCCACTGCAGTCCAGCCTGGTGACAGAGCGAGACTCCATCTCCAAAAAAAAAAAAAAAAAAAAAAAAAAGATAATACTTTGGCTATGGCTAAGTCAAATATAGTTAAAATTCATTTCGTTTCTTTTTACTTTTTTTGAAATGTCATTAATAGACAGTTTTAAATTACTTACGTGGTTCCTATTTATTTTTTTAAAAATATAAGTAGGCTGGGTGTGGTGGCTGACGCCTGTAATCTCAGCACTTTGGGAGGCCAAGGCAGGTGGATCAACTGAGATCAGTAGTTCGAGACCAGCGTGGCCAACAGGGTGAAACCCCGTCCCTACTAGAAATACGAAAATTAGCCGGGTGTGGTGACATGCACCTGTAACCCCAGCTACTCGAGAGACTGAGGCAGGATAACTGCATGAACCTGGGAGGCAGAGATTGCAGTGAGCCGAGATCGTGCCACTGCACCCCAGCCTGGGTGACATCGTGAGACTGTCAAAAAATATGTGTGTGTTTGTGTTTATAGAGACAAGGTTTCACCATCTCTGTAATTACAGGCAGACGCCACCGCGCCAGACTCTTAGGGTATGATATTTTTAAAAGATATTTGTTTAGTGTTTGAGATACGCATTGACAACAGGTCTTTTACACCCATTCTCATGTTATCTTCAAAACTACGGGGTGAAATATAATTATTCTATTTTACCAAAGACAGATTTGAGGCTCAGAAAGGTTAAGCTATTTATTCCTGGAATCAATCCGTTTATTTGAAAAGCTTCTGGAAGACAGGGATCCTGTCTTAAACGCTGTGTTTCTTCACAGCACCTAGCACTTAGCTCTCTCCACGTGGTAGGCGCTCAGAAACTTTGTGCTGAACGAAGGATATGGATTCTCAAGTCAAAGCTCCGAGCGCAAAGCCAGGGAGCGAAGCACCAGAGGGCGCCCATGAGCCCGCCCACCCGCGGGTCGCCGGGGCCCAAGCTGGACCTCAGGCCTGGGTGCGGCTCTTCAGCCCCAAGCAGCTGCGCGCCCCAGCAGAACAGGGGGCGAGGGGGCGAGGGAAGCCCCAAGTCCTCCGTCCGCCCCGCCCCCTCCCCAGAGCCAGGCCTCGCAGGGCTGCACGGTGCTGAATGACGACTCGACATCCTGTTTTTGGGGCCCGCGGCTCCGCCTGCGCCTCTGCTGATCTTGTCTTTCCCTTGGGTGCTGACGCCAGCTCCTCTTCCCCCCGAGTCTCCCCACCCTCCCCAGGGGTCTGGGGCCTTCCCACTGCTGAATCACCACCACCTCGCACTCCCCCGGGGCTCAGGGCAGGGGCGGGGACTGCCCCAGCCTCGGCCACCACTCTATCCCTGGGGTTGACTGAAGGGACCAGGCCCAGGGGCGCCTTTCTCAGCATCTTCCCGCGGAGGCTGGTGGGGGCGGGATGGGGGGAAGAGGACGAACGCCTAGCGCCCAGGGTAGGGCCTCCAGGGGTAGGGTGGCCAGGAGGAGGCGGAGAGACTTGACCTTGGGAGGCCTGACTTACTGACCGCAGGGGCAGCGGACTGGGAGGGGAACGTGGCAAGCCCGGGACTGGGCCGGGGGCGAGGCTGGGGGCGGGCCGGGGCTGGAGAGGGGGAGATCGGCCCTCGGACTTCCTGGTCGGGCCCCGCCCCGGCCCGCCCCGCCTCGCCGGCCCGCCCCCCCCACTTCCTCCGGCCTCCCGCTCTCACTTCCTTCTCGAGCCCGGAGCCGCTGCCGCCGCCCCCAGCTCCCCCGCCTCGGGGAGGGCACCAGGTGAGGCCCGGCCGGGGCTGGCGGGTAGGGGTCCGGGGGAGGAGAGCCCGGCCGGCCCAGGACTCGGCGCGGGCGCCGGCTCATGAGTTTGCTGGCGGAGGCCGCGGGCGGGAGCTTCTCGGTTCAGTCCAAGTAGGGCGGGCGCGGCCGGCCGGGCGGGGCGGGAACGGGGCCACTGCGAGCCGGCGGAGGCTCGGCGAGGGTGGCTTCCCGGCGGCTGTACCGCCTCTAGGGAGCCGAGAGGGACCCCTGAGGTCGGAGGGTCCCGGGCTCCAAGATAAGTGTCTCTGAAGTGGAAGAGCTCAGAGCTGGGAGATCGGACGCAGGTGGGGTGTCCTCAGAAGTTGGTGGGGGGGGTGTTGAGAAGTGCGTGAGGGGAGAGGGCTTCTGGGCTGGAAAAGGCGCTCCCTCTGCTCTGGCAGTTGTGACACTTGGGGTGAGAGGGGCGGTGTCTGGGGCCTCCGAAAGCTCTCTCCCTGTCAGATGGATGCTAATACAGACCCACACTCGGTCTGCAGCCCCAAGGCCCTCTGCACTCAGGAGGACCCGGGTTGGGTGGGGGAGCCCCGCCGACCCCAGTCGTTGTCTGTATGTCTGTTTTCCTGAGTCCCGACCTTACCTGGAGCCAAGCAGTAGGTATTTAGTGAGCAGACGCTGTTCCTAGCTGACCAGAGCCTGGCCTTGCTCTTTTGGGAGTAACTTGGTCTTGCCCTGTAACTGGAAGTGGAAGGACTCTCATTCAGAGGTACTGATAGTCCCTGACAAGTTTTTGTTGTGTCTTTTGGGGACAATTGAGAACCATCTCCTAGTGTTCCTCTTCATTCTTAGTCCCTGAATTATACACATGCTCCTGTCGTCTCCCTCCACACCTTCTTTAGTTTCTACCCACAAATCCGCCATCACTCTCTTCTCATCCCTTCCAGTCTCTTTTCCTCCAAACATACGGTCATACCTAGGCCTTGACCTGTCTTCACCTACCCTGCCCCATGTTCGTCTTGGTCCTCTGCAACCTGCCCCATCCCTTCCCTTCCCAGCTCTGGCACCCACACACATGCACCTCCTGGTTTCTTCCATCACCCCTCATTCCTTTTGAACCCTCAGCCTGTCACCCTCTCTGTATCCTTCCCTCCCACCCACTTATCTCCAGCTTTGGAATCAGTTGTTGAAGACTTAGTGAGTTCTAGAGTCTTTTCAAACCTCCCTAGCTTGGAGAGGCAGTCTGCAGCCTCCCAGTGATAGAGACGGATTAAAGAGCTGGAAAGCCTGTGTGTGTGTGTGTGTGTGTGTGTGTTTGCGTGTGTGTTCGCACGCGCGTGTCTGTGTATCTACATCTTCATCTCTTAGAGATGGATTAAAGAGATGGAAAGCCTGTGTGTGTGTGTGTGTGTGTGTGTGTGTGTGTGTGTGTTCGCGCGCGCGTGTCTGTGTGACTACATCTTTATCTCTTACAGACAAAATAACTGCCCTCAGCCTTGAGAGGGCCCAGAGCAAGGGAAGCCAGCAGAATGAAGGGAACCTGCAGTGAGTGAGGTTGTGGTTAGGCAGGAGGAAGCCGTTTGTAGCAGTCAGGGTAGGGTGACACAGGAATAAGACTTGTAAGAGAGGCCGTGGGAAATCAAAATCACCCCAACCCGTGGTGCTTGACCAAGAGGCCAGGCCTAGAAGCCGGAAGACAGCCTGAAGGTCCCTGACTCCATTACCTACTAGTTCCAGCATCACCTGGTGGAAAGAATGGGACCAGCTTGGGTGTGATGGAAATAAAGGGAGGAGGCAAATGCAGGATTCTGGAGGAAAGACTGCAGCTGGTCTAACTTCGGACTTAAGAAGCGGCGGAGGCAAAAGTGTCTGCTCCTTTCCTGCTACCTTCTGGGGCCTGCCTAGGCTGGGTACCCGCATGCCCTGATCTGCATCAGGGCCTTAGTGACCAGGAAGCCCTCTGGAGTTCTACTGACCCCTCTGCCTTCAGGCATCCTTAATACTCCCCATCTCACCTAGGACCCTATTCCTTCTCAGGAATTCCTCCCAAATTTAACTTCAGTCCATCCTGGCTATGGAGGCTCTTGTTTCCACTCTAGAGCTCCATCCTCAAGCTTTTGGGGTGCATCTGAGGATCTTGCTCCTGTCTACCTCCTCTAGTCATCTGTATTCATTTCTCTCCACTAGAAAAAAAGAGAAGTAGAGGGGAGTAAGTGCTACAGCTAAATTTAAGGGCTCTCCCTGTTCCCCATTCTGTCATCTTCCCATGTCACAGTCGTCCCTCTCCCATGAATTGTTCTTCTTCCAGTCCTGCCCTTCCAACCACTTGTCTCTCTTCCCATTTCTTGGAGGTACAGAAGTTTGGGTCCGGGAAGAAATCCCAGGGACCTACATAAGAGCCCAGGTTAGAGAAGGATGTGCATACAAGGCACTTTCCCAGCATCACAGCTTAATAAAAACCCCAGGAGTCCCAGTTCCTAGGCTGGCAAACCAGTAGTTACTTTAGTATTCTGCGTAACTGAGCAAACCCACAGGGCTCTGATGGTAAAGACAAGATGGGTGAGACAGGGATTCTCCCAGGTGAGATCTGGCCCCATTGGAAGTTTGAGCTAATTGCAAAAAAGGCATCATTGGAAAAAATGTGACCAGGGCGGGAGAGATTTTAATGGGAAAATATTGGGGGGTAAAGGGAGGTGGTGGCTACAACCTAGGAGGCTGCCGCTGAAGTCTTGGCTAAACAGGTATGGTCAAGGTTGTGACATGAAGAAGGGGGCTCAGGCCCACACTGAAGACTCCTTCTATATACTGTAGACCCATTAGTGGTGAGGTCAGTAGGGGTCCGTGACAAGAGCTGAGGAGGGAAACCAAAGACAAAGCCTGGGCCACCTCCCCAGATCAGACTGGTTTTCCTGTCCAGGGTCCAGCTTCCTCTTTTGTCCTCATCTCATATGGGGGGAGGGCATCTCTCCAGGAGCTAGAGGCCAGAGGAGGAGCTTCTCAGCTAGGGCAGGGCCAGAGTGGCTGGCTATTGAGTAATGTCAGTGCTAAATCATGAATGCACCAGGATGGGCTAGGCATGAGAGCCTGGGAACTTGGAAGCAAAAAGGCTCAGATGTAAGTCAACCCACCCTTTGGCCCATTTTCTGAAGGAATAAACCATGGTAGCGTTCTCCTGAATGAGGTTAAAGAGATGGCCCATTCTCAGGCCAGAGTTAGAATCCTCACCTTCTCTCCTTTGTAGAAGTAGCATAAGGGTGGAGGCTAGAAGATCCGGATCCTTGTCGTAGATTTGCTACCTGGTCAACTTGGTTTCTCTTGGCTCTATTTTAGCATTAAGGAGTTGCATATCAGTACCTCCAAAGGCAACAGTGAACATCATGGCTCTGACTCTTCCTCCCCCAAGAGACTGCTCATAGCAGTGCCCCTCACTCTGGGCCCTTGTGTCTTACCAGCCTCAATTTGACAGGTCCGAGTAGTCTGTACATACATATCTGTCCAGGGATAGTACTGCCCTTTCCCCAAGCACAAGGACTGTTAGAGCTTGAGAGATAAGAAGGCAGAGAATGTTGGGGATTTTGCCAGGGGGTAGTAAGATGGGGGAGTACCCTGTCTCCTACTCCAGCTCTGCCTCACTGACAGTGGAAAATAGATGCCGGAGTTTCCTCCCTGGTGTTATTTTCCCTTGTGGAAACCCCCTCAGGCCTCGGGCGGGGCTAAAGGGACTGGGCAGCCCTGGGTCTCTCTGTGGGTATTTTCAGGTGGGGGTGCCAGGATTTGCAGGATGGCACTTCTGTACAGCCTCATGTGAAATTAGCAAAGGCAAAGGAAGTGCCACTTCACAGGCCTTTGGTGGGGCCCAGGGACTGCTGAGCTGCTGCTAGGCGGGGAGGAGGAAGCCAGTGTGCACCCTTCCTCTGTGCTGCGTGGGGGAGGGGGCAGCTTCCTTGGCTCCCCCAGCCAGAGCTGTCCTGGTCCTGAGGCTCAGCTTTTTTTTTTTTTTTTTTTTTTTTTTTTTGAGATGGAGTCTTGCTCTGTCACCCAGGCTGGAGTGCAATGGCGCGATCTCAGCTCACCACAACCTCCACCTCCCGGGTTCAAGCCATTCTCCTGTGTCAGCCTCCCAGGTAGCGGGGACTACCGGCATGCACCACCAGGCCCAGCTAATTTTTTTTGTATTTTTTAGTAGAGATGGGGTTTCACCATGCTGGCCAGGCTGGTCTCGAATTCCTGACCTCAAGTGATCTGCCAGCCTCAGCCTCCCAAAGTGCTGGGATTACAGATGTGAGCCACCATGCCCAGCTGAGGCTCACCTTTTATGGAACACTTAGGGTGCTGGGACAGTGAGGGAAGAAGGTTGGGAACTAGGACTTAGTGAAAGGGTCCTAGACTGCCCCCAGCCTTCCCAGCTACCACTGTCTCGTTTCCTAGTGGGTGGCATCAACTCTTCTCTTTTCCTACCTGCTGCTGCAATGTAGGATCCTCTCCAAAGGCTGAAGGATGAATGACAAGAGGTGGAGAGTCCTCCAGCATGGATTTTTTCTTTCTTTTTTTTTTTTTTTTGGAGATGGAGTCTTGCTCTGTGGCCCAGGCTGGAATGCAGTAGCATGATCTCTGCTCACTGCAACCTCTGCCTCCTGGGTTCAAGTGATTGTCCTCCCTCAGCCTCCTGAGTAGCTGGGATTACAGGCGTAATCCCACCACTACGCCCAGCTAATTTTTGTATTTTTAGTAGAGACGGGGTTTCACCATGTTGGCCAGGCTGGTTTCGAACTCCTGATCTCAAGTGGTCTGCCTGCCTTGGCCTCCCAAAGTGCTGGGATTACAGACGTGAGCCACGGCACCCGGGGGATTTTTTTTTTTTTTTTAAGGCTAGGAACTGGGCTCTCTTGGGTTCTTCCCTGCTGATGGGGAGAAAGGGAAGAAAGAGACTCAGCCCTTGGCCTGGTCCCAGTCCCACACTGACCTCATGTCTCCCCCAGCTTCCTCCTCCCAGCCCAGCTGCAGCCAGCTGCAGCCCCTTTGAGCCTCTTTATATCACCTCTCCTCTATTCCTCCCTTCAAAACAAACAAACAAACAAACTTGTAGAGCTTTGGAAGTGTTTCCAACAGTGCCCCTGTCCCTTGCCATGTCTTTGACCAAGGGTCCTCGGATATTCCCAGTCTGTAGCCTGTCGGGACCACTTTTCCTTCCCATCTTCCTCATCATCTCTGAGCTAGATCTGCCAGCTTCACCTCTCACCCTTCCAGTTGAAGACAAGACAGTATAGCTTATGTGTTTATTACCCCAACTTTGGGCTCTTCAGGGTGAATGAGAAAGAAGTTGGTTACTTATGTCTTGTGTCTTCTGGTCCTAGAGGTTCTTCCTTGTTCCCAGCATCAGAGTCTGTGGATTGATGGGGGAGGAGGGGTATGTCATTCTACAGCTTTTGCTCAGCCCTTCCCTGGGCTTCTGGAAATAAACAGAAGGTCAGACTACCCTCCCCCTGAAGCATCCAGTTAGTTCAGCACAATGAAAAGTACGGTCAATGCTGGGAAAGGTAAGGCAGAAGAGGGGGTTGCTGTGATGTCCTGGAGAAGCTGGGGAACAGTACTGGGCCTGAAGGACAGGAAGGATCTGAAGGGGGGTGAGTCGCATTCCAGGAAGAGGAACTCCCATATGCAAAGACATGATTGCATCGACTTCATTCAGTCATTTACTGACAGCTACTACATGGTGTGCTCAGCTTAGGGTGCTCAGCAAGGTCCAGTCAACCAGGACCTTGCCCTCTAGACACTCCCATTCTAATAACAAGAGATAAGATTCACATCAGCCTCTCCAAGCCTGTGAGAGAGACAGGGACCAGACTTTGGATAGGATAAGTCACTTCTGACTTGGATAATTTACGCTTTCCTGGAAGAGGCAGCAATGGTGCATGGTTCCATATTACTACTTGGTGTATTTTACGGAAGAGAATATGGAGGCCCCTTTGTAGAGGATCAGGATTGGAATGGCCAGAGATGGATTGTAGTTATAATGAGGTTCAGGGAGGGCTGCAGAAAGGGAGCCCCATGTTAGGGAGGCAGGTTATAGAAGGCTGAGGTAAGTTCCCATCACCTCCATACTCGCCTATCTTTTAAGAGTCCGTTCCTCCCCTCCCCCACTCCCAGTTGGGACACTTCCCCTGCTGTAACAGCCACAGAGATCTGGCAATCAGGCTGCTTCCTTTCCCTCCCCCATTCTGGGCCTGCCTGGGCCACACCCCAAGGCCAGGCCCCACTGGGTACAAGCCGGGCTCCAGGGACCACATTCAGATAGGGTTAGACCCCCATGGGCTATACTTCCTGCCGGAGCCAGGTCAGCCTGGTACTGGGAAGAGAGATTTTTGCCTATTTCAGGCATAGCTTTTGCCTGTCATTGCTGTCCGATGAGATTCAGCATTGCAGTCTTGTCTGTTGGGGGGTGGGCAGGGAGTGTCCGATACTGGGCTTCAGAGAAGTCTCTCCATATCTCAGTGATGAGGGCTGGTACAAGCAGATCAAAAGGCAATGGTTGTACAGTCCTGTGTGCCTAGCCCTATACTTAGAGGTTTTTTTTTGTCATTTAGTCCAGAGAAGCCAAGGCTTCAGTACTGAAGGGCATGTACAGCTGGGAAACTTACGTATGACTGTTGGAAAAGGAGAATCACACAGAGCCAAAGCAGGGTTAAAAGGGGTGGCCATGGGTGCAGTGGCTTACTCCTGTAATCCCAGCACTTTCAGAGGCCAAGGCAGGTGGATCACTTGAGGCCAGGTGTTCAAGACCAGCCTGGCCAACATGATGAAATCCTGTCTCTACTAAAAATACAAAAATTAGCTGGGCATGATGGCACATGCATGTAATCCCAATAACTCAGGAGGCTGAGGCAGGAGAATCACTTGAACCCGGGAGGTGGAGATTGCAGTGAGCTGAGATCGCGACACTGCACTCTAACCTGGGCGACAGGTAGCCATGCAATGGATATCCAAAGAAGAATTCAGTAACCTTATGCAACTGTGAGACTTAAGTTAGGCCTTAAGGAGTAAGGAAGATTAGAGAAGGGAGAGGGAATGGCAGCAGAGGGAAAAACAAAGAGTAAAAGTTCAGAGGCAAGAATGATCCTGGCTTGTTTGCAGAGGACATTGAAAATCCCTCTGGAACAGGGAGCTGGGAACTCACACTTGCAAAGTACCTACATTGTGCACATATTATACATTAATGCACTTAGTCCTTATAACAGTGCTATGTGGTAGGTACTGTACGTTGCCACTGCATTTGAAAGATAAGGAAATTGAAGCTTAGAGAGGCAAATCATCAGAAGCTCAGGGTCACACAGCTGGTAAGAGGCAGAACTAGGATTCAAACCCAAGTCTACGTAACTCTAATATCCCTTATCAAATTGTGAAGAACTCTGAATGCCAGTATGAGGGACCAGGCATGATCTGAATTGGGACTAAAAAGCCAGAATAAGTCATTGTAATTTGTCTAATAACATACAGATCTGGCCAGGCATGGTGGCCCACGCCCATAATCCCAGCACTTTGGGAGGGCTAGTCAGGAGGATCACTTGAGACCAGGAGTTCAAGACCAGCCTGGGCAACATGGCAAGACCCTGTCTCTACAAACAAACAAAAAGATGCATTAAAAATACAAAAATTAGCCAGGTGTGGTGGTGCCTGCCTGTAGTCCCAGCTACTCAGGAGGCTGAGGTAGGATGCCTTGAGCCTGGGAGGTTGAGACTACAGTGAGCTGTGATGGCACCACTGCATTTCAGCCTGGGCAACAGAACAAGACCTTGCTCCAAAAGAAAAAACAAAACAAAACAGATTGGCAACCATTGATTTACTAAATAACTTTTTTTTTTTTTGAGACATGGGGTCTTGCTGTGTTGCTCAGGCTGGAGTGCAGTGGCTACTCACAGGGACGATAACCTTGACTAGTGTACACACTACAACCCTTCACTCCTGGGCCCAGCCTCCCTAGTAGCTGGGACTGCAGGTGCACCACTGAGCTGGGCTTAATGATTCTTTTGAAAAAGCCACTTAGTGAATAAGTCATTGTTGAACCCCGCTCCAGATAGGTCACACTCCTGGTTTGGTGTCCTGCAGCACTGACATCCCTTCTTCCTGTTTGGCACAGTTTAGACTCTATATGCCCTCCTGAAATGGGCTATGGTAACTTATTCAACCCAGTTCAGGCCAGAGGATTTCAGAAAGAAGAGTTGTTTTGGGAGAGAGGATAAAGGTCTGAACTAGACCTGAGTAGGGAGGACTGGGCTGATCCCCTACCACAGATACAGGCATACTCAGTGCTTCCTGCCTTCTGGGATGAAAGGCTTTGCTCCTGTCACCTCCTGTGTGTACAGCACTTCAGTTTACAAAGTGTATTCATTCCCATGGTCAGGTTCCTTGATGCTGCCCTTGAGGCTGGGAGGGGTACTATTATTACTTCTACTGTACAGATAAAGAAACAGAGGCTCCAGGAAGGGCAGTAACTTACCTGATCAAGGTCACACAGTTAGCTGGTAAGGGGTAACTTGAAGACTGTATGATGCACCAAGGAAAACACAGGACTTTGGGTCACAAAACTGGGTTTGTGTTCTGGCTCCCACACTAACTAGCTGTGTGATGTTGAGTTACTTTTACTGTTCTGAATTTGTTTCCTCATCTGTAGAATAGGCATAGTACTAACAGGTTGTTATAAAGGTCAAATGACATAATAACATGTGACCTATAAAGGCTTATACCATATGAGGGCTTTTTTATCAAGGGTCAAGGTCGGCAGATAAACTCAAGACATCAGAGTCAGGTATCCAGTACTCTTGGCCCTATACCACACTGCCTTTGCTCTGCTTGTTTCTGGACACTACCATACTCATCATCCTTTTCCAGTGTCGGTCCTCGTTCCCTTCCCAGCCCGGAAGCTACGCTGTCCTTCCCCTCTCCTTTGAGAGCTGATTTACTGATTGCTAGTTGATAACCACCTCTTTAGAGAGCTGTACTTCCAGTCTCTTGGGCCTTGTGACAGCCAGCCGGAGTTCCCTCCTTGCCTTCCTGCCTGGGCCAGCCCAGTGCTGGGCTTTTCAGTCATACTGTCAACACCCACTCTCCTGCTCTGTGTGGAACTGAAGATTACAGGCCCAGGAGTTCTGCTTTGAATGTCAAGGCTTCCCACGTAATCCGCTGGGCACAAATAATGCCCCCTGCCTCCAAGGAGCTTTAAGTCTTAGTTCATCCACCTAGTGCTCTTGTAACAACCATTTTAATCTCTAATTCCTGGATAGGAAAACTGAGGCCCAGCAAGCGTAAATGCCTCATGCTTGGTTATAGTGAGTCAGCAGAGCTGGGGTTAGAACTTAGGTCTCTCAACTTCCAGTCTGAGGTCTCTATTTGACTCTCCACTGGCCTAGAGGGTCCTTATGCCCTTCCCTGACCCACTGTCTGAGGGTCTCTATCTGAATGTCCTGACGTTGCATGCACACGTGCACGCGCACAAACACACACACACACTCTCTCTCATTCATGCAAATAGGATGGAAATATTTTTTAATGTGAACCAGAGACACAACTTCATAGAGTGAAACCATTCCTCTCCCAGCTGATTCCAAGGCAAACTGTAGCCTGGGAGGGAGGTGGGACCAAGCCCTGGGTCCTTTGCAGCCCCCACATGACGAAAGTTTCTTTTCCACTTCCCAGTGGGGATTTTCTTCCCCACTTGTCATTGATTTTTGAAGCTTCTGAACCAGTGGTGAGAGCCCAGGCTGGGGGGGTAAGGGGTTCCCAGACCAGGGTGCAGCCTTGCAGTATAGCAAGTGAAATGGAGAAAATGGGCTAGTGTTGATGGTGCTTGGGTGGAGCCAGGGATAAGGAATACTCAGGGATTTGGTTGTGTTTAAAACAGGGCTGCCCCCTCTCAGGGAGCAGGCCCTGGTTGTGGGAGACAGTCAGGGAAAGGAAGTCACATATTGACCACCAAGAGTCCCCCATGGCCAAGAGGAAGTAGCTGATGAGAGAAGGATCCTTGCCATAGCAGTGTAAATAATCACAGGGTTTCTGGAAGCTGTGTTCCAGAACTCAGAAAAGCAGTTCATCTCCCCGAGGCCCTGTGACCTGCAGAGGTAACCAGATGTTGGCTGGAGCTGGGACTCCTCATACTTACCCCACTCATAAATACAGCAGTCCATTTATTGGGCACTTGCTATGTGCCATACCTCATGCTGGACATCTTCTATACATTATTAACTCTTACTTTTTATTTTTTTTTTTTTGAGACAGGGTCTTGCTCTGTCGCACAGGCTGGAGTGCAGTGGTGTGATCATAGCCCACTGCAGCCTTGACCACCCTGGGATCAAGTGATGCTCCCACCTCAGCCTCCCGAGTAGCTGGGACTACAGGTGTGTACCACCACACCCTGGTAATTTTTTCATTTTTTGTAGAGTCAGGGTTTTGCCATGTTGCCCAGGCTAGTCTCAAACTCCTGGGCTCAAGCGATCTACCTGCCTCATTCTCCCAAAGTGCTAAGATTACAGGCATGAGTCACCGTGCCTGGCCTCATTTCATATTCTGAGCAATTGTAATGCAATAGGCAAGATTATCCCCATTTTACAGATGAGAAAATTGAGGCTCAGGGAACAAATATATTGCCAAGATCACATATAACTAGTTGGTGGAGCTGTGATTAGAATACCTGCGAGTCTTACTCTAGCATCTATGTTCTTAATGATGGTATTTTCTATCCAAGAGTCTGGAAGTCTCTAAAATCTTTCAGAGGCACATGCCAGGATCTCAGGAAATGGACAGAAGATTGAGGGGAAAGTCAAGTTTTTGTCTTACTCTTGACTTCATCCTTCCTAGTTGGGCCTGAAAGATTTGCTCCAGGCCGGGCATGGTGGCTCATGCCTGTAATCCCAGCACTTTTTGGAAGGCCAAGGCGGGCAGATCACAAGGTCAGGAGTTCAAGACTAGCCTGACTAACATGGTGAAACCCCGTCTCTACTAAAAATACAAAAATTAGCTGGACGTGGTGGCATGCGCCTGTAATCCCAGCCACTCGGGAGGGTGAGGCAGGAGAATCGCTTGAACCCGGGAGGTGGAGGTTGCAGTGAGTCAAGATTGCGCCACTACACTCCAGCCTGGGCGACAGAGCAAGACTCCGTCTCAAAAAAGAAAAAAATTTGCTCCACCCCACCAAGGGCCTTGAGAGAAGATACTAATGTCTGGGAGCCTCAGCCTCTACCTCATTCATCATAACATACCCAGACCCCAGTCCAAATCCCAGGTCCAACTGAATCTCCAGTATTCCCCTGCATTGAATTGGCAATCTGAGTGTACATGGCCAGATAGGGTTTTCAGTACTTACAAGAATGATGGGGTGGCCAGGTGTGGTGGTTCACGCCTGTAATCCCAGCACTTTGGAAGGCTGAGGCAGGTAGATCACCTGAGGTCAGGAGCTTGAGACCAGCATGGCTAACACGGCGAAACTCCATCTCTACTAAAAATATAAAAATTAGCCGGATGCAGTGGCACCTGCCTGTAGTCCCAGCCACTCGGGAGGCTGAGGCAGGAGACACTTGAACCCAGGAGGCGGAGGTTGCAGTGAGCTGAGATCACGCCACTGCACTCCAGCCTGGACGACAGAGTGAGACTCCATCTCAAAAAAAAAAAAAAAAAAAAATTTCCCCATTGCCAGAATACCCTGGATTGGGATAGGGCAGCTCTCTAAAGAATTGAGCCCCTTACTCAGCAGGTTTCTTAACTGTGCCTTTGGGTTTGTACTCAGTAGCCAAGATACCAGGTTTGGAGAGGGCAGGGTGGGCCCTGAGTTGAGAGAGGTTCTACTTATGGCTGCATCACAGAGTGACCTGGGACAGCTGTCCTGTGCCAAAACACTTTCCAGTCTCCTGGTGGAAAGGGTCCATATTTAGTAG
Organism: Homo sapiens; assembly: GCF_000001405.40. Lineage (NCBI taxonomy): Eukaryota > Metazoa > Chordata > Mammalia > Primates > Hominidae > Homo > Homo sapiens. The sequence goes on along the minus strand of NC_000011.10, from coordinate 3,828,996 downwards.
AGGATCTAGTAGATCCCTAAATTTGTGCACTCTCCTTTTGTGTCTGTATAGCCTGGAAAAAAAAAATAGCTAATACTGGCCAGGCGCAGTGGCTCACGCCTGTAATCCCAGCACTTTAGGAGGCCAAGGCGGGCGGATCACGAGGTCAGGAGATCGAGACCATCCTGGCCAACACGGTGAAACCCCATCTCTACTAAAAATACAAAAAATTAGCCGGGCGTGGTGGTGGGTGCCTGTAGTCCCAGCTACTCGAGAGGCTGAGGCAGAATGGCGTGAACCCAGGAGGCGGAGCTTGCAGTAAGCCGAGATGACGCCACTGCACTCCAGCCTGGGTGACAGAGTGAGACTCTGTCTCAAAAAAAAAAAAAAAAAAATAGCTAATACTTGTGGACGAGGCACTGTTTTAAATGCTTTACATGTATTATATAATGCTCACAATGACCCAGTGAGGTAGATATTATTTTATCCTCATTTTACTGGTAAGAAAACTTAGGCATACAGAGGTTAAGCAATTTTTTCAGGGTTACACAGCTAGGAAATAGCAAAATCAGGATTTGACCTTAGTTTGTCTGGCGCCAGAGTTTATGTGCTTTCTACCACATTATACTGCCTCTTTGCTTGGCCTCAGGGCCTTTCATTGTGTGTCTTTCTGATGACCGTCTTGATGGGACTTTGGGATAGTGTCAGGTTAAGGGAACAGGAGCCGGTTTCCCTTTGTGTGCCCCCATCTTTTCTTCCCAATAGGCAGAGGCCTCCCTAACCAAGAATGTCCCCTTTCATCTGTCCACAGGTCACTGCAGCCAGAGGGGTCCAGAAGAGAGAGGAGGCACTGCCTCCACTACAGCAACTGCACCCACGATGCAGAGCATCAAGTGCGTGGTGGTGGGTGATGGGGCTGTGGGCAAGACGTGCCTGCTCATCTGCTACACAACTAACGCTTTCCCCAAAGAGTACATCCCCACCGTGTTCGACAATTACAGCGCGCAGAGCGCAGTTGACGGGCGCACAGTGAACCTGAACCTGTGGGACACTGCGGGCCAGGAGGAGTATGACCGCCTCCGTACACTCTCCTACCCTCAGACCAACGTTTTCGTCATCTGTTTCTCCATTGCCAGTCCGCCGTCCTATGAGAACGTGCGGCACAAGTGGCATCCAGAGGTGTGCCACCACTGCCCTGATGTGCCCATCCTGCTGGTGGGCACCAAGAAGGACCTGAGAGCCCAGCCTGACACCCTACGGCGCCTCAAGGAGCAGGGCCAGGCGCCCATCACACCGCAGCAGGGCCAGGCACTGGCCAAGCAGATCCACGCTGTGCGCTACCTCGAATGCTCAGCCCTGCAACAGGATGGTGTCAAGGAAGTGTTCGCCGAGGCTGTCCGGGCTGTGCTCAACCCCACGCCGATCAAGCGTGGGCGGTCCTGCATCCTCTTGTGACCCTGGCACTTGGCTTGGAGGCTGCCCCTGCCCTCCCCCCACCAGTTGTGCCTTGGTGCCTTGTCCGCCTCAGCTGTGCCTTAAGGACTAATTCTGGCACCCCTTTCCAGGGGGTTCCCTGAATGCCTTTTTCTCTGAGTGCCTTTTTCTCCTTAAGGAGGCCTGCAGAGAAAGGGGCTTTGGGCTCTGCCCCCCTCTGCTTGGGAACACTGGGTATTCTCATGAGCTCATCCAAGCCAAGGTTGGACCCCTCCCCAAGAGGCCAACCCAGTGCCCCCTCCCATTTTCCGCTACTGACCAGTTCATCCAGCTTTCCACACAGTTGTTGCTGCCTATTGTGGTGCCGCCTCAGGTTAGGGGCTCTCAGCCATCTCTAACCTCTGCCCTCGCTGCTCTTGGAATTGCGCCCCCAAGATGCTCTCTCCCTTCTCCAATGAGGGAGCCACAGAATCCTGAGAAGGTGAATGTGCCCTAACCTGCTCCTCTGTGCCTAGGCCTTACGCATTTGCTGACTGACTCAGCCCCCATGCTTCTGGGGACCTTTCCTACCCCCATCAGCATCAATAAAACCTCCTGTCTCCAGTGGCCCCGGCTCCTCCCTGTGTGCTGGGCATTAGCGGGTGGGCATGGGCTAGGGCTCCCCAGAGACTGGGAGCCTTTTGTTTCTTCTAGTAGACAATAGGCTTCATTGTGGTCCCCTCACCCCTCAATTTCCCTAACAAAGCTCTAGGCTCCCTTGGAGGGGGCAGTCTTGCTCTGGGGCCCAGTCACAGATGCTGTAGTGGACTCAGACACAAAACCTGAGGAAAGACTTCTTGATCTTAGGGCTCAGAAAGGGAGAGGTTCAGAGCCATTAGTCTAAAGGCAGATGCTCCCACAGTCATGCATGTGACAGCTGTACCTCACATCCCCAAGAGGACAGCTTTAACAACAAGAGTTGGAATTTGAACCCAGGTCTCTGTCTCAACTGAAGACTTCCAGGTACCCTAGCTTGCAGTCCTAGAATCATTACAGATAGCTCACTCACTCCTGCTCACCAAAATAAAGGCTTAGACCAGCTTTAGGAGACTCCAGACCTAAGGGGGACTGGGGGGTTCTGCTAGGAATCATACCCTGCCGTGGACTTACTCCCTCCCCATTCTTGAGCCTGTTTCTCTCCCAGTTCCTATCAAACAAGATGAGCCCCAAGACTAGCAAGCCTAGGCAACTGTTGGCCCAAAAAAAAAATTTATTTTCCTTTCAAATAAAATGTACAACCAAAATTTAGGGTTTGGAGCAGTAGGGAAGACAGGAGATACCAGGGAGCCCATTTTACAGTAGAGATCTGCATCTGACCCCTCTATCCCATACCTTTGCAAAGGAGGGGAGGGGTCTACAAGCCAGAACTTTCAGAAGAGAAGAAAATACATGCTGTGCTGGTGCTGTTTCTGGAGCAGGTCATCCTTTAGGTATAGAACACCACCTCCACCCGATGACATCAGAACCACTGACTGGTAGAGTCCTTGGAAATCATACAGTCCACCCATCCCCCGCCAGACACATGGACACACCGAGGCTCAGATGGGGAAGGGTACATACCCTAGGGCACACACCAAATCAAAAAGGTGAAGTCAGGACTAGAACACCTGAGCAACTTTAGCAGGGGACTGTGGCCACAGGCCTGGATGTGCACAGTAGATCATGAAATACATTAGTCCTATGAATGACCCCCGTGCAGAGAAATGGCTGTGGTTGTCAGGGAGCAGCCACTGCTCAGGGGCTCCTGACCTCAGTGAAAGGTGACTGTGTAAAGGCCAGAAACTGGATGGTGGTCATGAACCTCAGGACGTTTTTTTTTTTAGCACCAAATGGTGGAGCTCTCTGCCAGCTCAGCTTCTTGGGGCCTCTCAGGTAAAGGTGATGTTTGAGGACCCCACGCCCATATGAGGGGTGGAGAGGAGAAGCCAGCAGCACTGGGGTGAGCCTTGGCCTACACCCTTCCTTCTTACCCTTCCCCCATCTTCAGTAAGGCCAAGAGAGGATGTGGGGTGGGGAAGGCCAGAATGGTATCGTGTTTCTTGTTTCTGGGCAGTGGGCTGCGTCCTCCCAAGCAGGACTGAAGGGTTCAGAATCGCTTTTCCTCAGGCTGAGAGGTTATGAGCAGCTCCTTGTTCCCGAAGTCCCACCAGGCCGTCATGTGGAACGCCATGTTGGTTAAGACAACAGTGTACTCCAGGATGGCAAAGATGGTGTACACTGTTGTGAGGACACAAGGAACAGGACATGGTGAACTTCCAGCTACCCGCTCAGAGGCCTCTTGATAAATCACACCACCATTGGTCTGCCACAGAGAACACAATGGCAGCCAGTCCCCAAGACCATTGCCCATTATCAAAAACATCATTGCTGCCCCGCAGCCACTCATGACCGCCTGTGGATCCTATCCTGGCCTCACCTCCAGCCTCACAATACATGTTGTGCCGAAAGTAGACAGCCAGCGCCGAGAAGAAGGAGATGAAGTTGATGATGAAGAGCCGCTGTTTCCAGCTGTAGGACTTGCGATCCTAGGGAATGGGCTGTCTGATCACTCTGCAGCTTGCTGGGTATGAGAGCGTGGGCTCCCCTCTCAGCCCTAACTCCTAAGGGCTGGGCCTTATCTCCCTTGGCTCCCACTAGCGGTCATGGAAGGGAGCACAGGCAGGGGCAGCAAGAATGACGACTATGTGTTCACGTCCCTGCCTCTGGGGGAGTGATGGGCCGAGGAGCAGTGGTATTCCTGCCGCTTCCACTTCAGGGGGATGGAGTATGAAAGTTACATGGAGTCACCCACCAACCCCACCTCCAAATACTGTGGGGGAAAAGAAACCCATGTACATGGGTGGGGCGCTGGAATTATGACAGACCAGTCCTCTGACACTGTTCCTAACTCACTGCCGCCTAGATGCGACTCCTCATTCTATCCCCATTTGCAGCCTCCATCTCTTCTATTCTCCAGTCTCCCACACTACCCAAACACAGTGCTATAGTCCTAGATTCTGACCAACCACCCTCAGTTTGTTCCCAAGCCCCAGCCCCAACCCCAGCACCCCTCTGCCAGGGTTCCCATTAGAACTCAGTTCCCACCTCACCATTACCCGAATCCTGAGGACAGATGTCCTTGATTTTCTTCTGGGCTGCCTTGGAGCCCCCGCTAGGGATAGACCGTACCTCCTGACTTACTGTGTGCTTCTTGGTCAACCGCCAGAGAATGCAGGTGAGGAGCATGTGCCCGAGGGATGAGGCAATGAACACAATGAAAGCATTTTCGTGGATGGCTGGAGGGAAAGAGGATTGGGAGCCACATTGCAGGGAGTGCCCACACCACGAAGTAGGAAGGTCCGAATGTGGTAGGGGCAGGCCCGTCCCCTCAGGGAACACTTCCCCACTCCTCCCTCATCCAGGCACCCACTGAAGTCCTCGGAGGAGGAGACATAAGTGAGCACTAGCAACGCGAGGTTCTCCACGACATTGAGGCCGAAGTTGAGGCGGCAGAGCGGGCGATAGCAGGAACACGGGGAGGTGCAGCTGAGGTAGTGGTTCCAGTAGGCGAAGGCCACCAAGAAGCGAGGCGCCGAGTGCAGGCCGATGCAGAAACGCCACACGTAGCGCTGGGGCACCTCCCCGCCGATGGCTGAGCTCACCGAGGGCAGGTAATTGGGCACCTAGAGAGTTGTGACCTGTCTGGGCATCTGCCTCTGCCAGCCCCGCCCATGTGGAGAACCTTCTCTCCATCTGACAAAATCACTCTTGCCTCTGCTCCAGCCCCTCCCCTTCCAAGAAGTCCTCCTTCAGATGTCCCCATACCTCTCCCAAAAGACCTCTCCTTCCAGGTCCTAGGCCCAAAGTGCTGGATTCTCATTCCCCAGCTATCCTGGGATTTGTGCAGCAGCATGGTGGCACCTTCTCCATCTCCCCCGCAGACTGGAACCTGCCTGTGTTTGGTCAATGTGTAGATGGGTTCAGATGCTCTACACCCATAGCTCAGAGCTGTGCCTCCACTAAGACCCTGGGTGAGTTCCAAGGCCTCAGATTCAGTCCAGAGGACAGGGATGAGTCACAGACCATCTGAGCTTCCTTAGAACAGTGCTGGATTCACTGCTCAGCTAAGATGTTCCTCAGTCTGCTCCCAGCGCCACTCACTCCTCTAGGCAGGTGTGCCAAGGTGGTAGAATGGCACCCCTGCTCTGATCATGATTAACAAAGTGGGTGGGCTGGGCACGATGGCTCACATCTGTAATCCCAGCACTTTGGGAGGCCGAGGTGGGTGGATCACCCGAGGTCAGGAGTTAAAGACCAGCCTGGCCAACATGGCAAAACTCTGTCCCTACTTAAAAAAAAAAAATTAGCCAGGCGTGGTGGCCAGCGCCCGTAGTCCCAGCTACTCAGGAGGCTGATCAGAAGAACTGTGTGAACCTGGGAAGCGGAGCTTGCAGTGAGCCGAGATTGTGCCACTGCACTCCAGCTTGGGCAACAGAGTGAGACTCTGTCTCAAAAAAAAAAAAAAAAAAAAAAAAAAAAAAGAAAAGAAAAAAGAAAGTGGGTGCTCCTAACCTGGGGTAGTCTAAGGAAATGACCATGTTCTTGTGCATCTCCACCATCCATCTTAATGCCTGGAACTCCTATTGAAGCTTCAGTCCTTAAGGAAAAAGGAGAAGATAATACACAGCTGCAGGGACTGGTGTCTTGCTTGTTTGAGAGGTGAAAGGATGGGGGATGACTGAACAAGGGTTTAGATGGGGACAGGAAAGCCAAAGATGGGAAGAGGCTCTCTTAGACTCCAGGGCCTAGAGCAGTGCTTCACAAACTTTAATTACCCATACAACTCACTGGGGGAATTGTTTGAAAATGCAGAAGGCTTGGAACCTGAGGATCTGCATTTTTTAATTTTTTAATTTTGTTTTCCCCCTTTTTGAGACAGGGTCTCACTCTGTCGCCTAGGCTGGAGTGCAATAGCATGATCATGACTCACTGCAGCCTTGACCTCCTGGGCTCAGGTGATCCTCTCACTTCAGCCTCCTGAGTAGCAGGCTAATTTTTGTAGAGACAGGGTTTCGTCATGTGTCCCATGCTGGTCTCAAACTCCTGGGTTTAAGCTATCCATCTGCCTTGGCCTCCCAAAGTGCTGGCACTACAGGCATGAGCCACCTCGCTTGGCCAGAATCTGCTTTTTTTTCTCTTTTTGAGACGGAGTCTCACACTGTCGCCTAGGCTGGAGTGCAGTGGCGCGATCTTGGCTCACTGCAAGCTCCGCCTCCCGGGTTCACGCCATTCTCCTGCCTCAGCCTCCCGAGTAGCTGGGACTACAGGCGCCCGTCACCACGCCCGGCTAATTTTTTGTATTTTTAGTAGAGACGGGGTTTCACCGTGTTAGCCAGGATGGTCTCAATCTCCTGACCTCGTGATCCGCCCACCTCGGCCTCCCAAAGTGCTGGAATTACAGACGTGAGCCACTGCGCCCGGCCGTTTTGTTTTTGCTTTTGTTTTTGGAGACAGGGTCTCACTTCGGTTGCCCAGGCTGGAGTGCCATAGCCCGATCTCGGCTCACTGCAGCCTCTACTTTCTGGGCTCAGGTGATTCTCCCACCTTAGCCTCCCAAGTAGCCACCACCATGCCTGGCTAATTTTTTGGATTTTTTTTTTTTTTTAGTAGCAACAGGGTTTTGCCATGTTGCCCAGGCTGGTCTAAAACTCCTGGACTCAAACAATCCACCCCCCTCGGCCTCTCAAACTGCTGGGATTACAGGCATAAGCCACCACGCCAAGCCAGAATATGCATTTTTTTTTTTTTGAGATGGAGTCTCGCTGTGTTGCTCAGGTTGGAGTGCAGTGGCGCAATTTTGGCTCACTGCAACCTCCGCTTCCTGCGGTCAAGCAATTCTCCTGCCTCAGCCTCCCAAGTAACTGGGATTACAGGCGCCTGCTGCCACGCCCAGCTAATTTTGTATTTTTAGTAGAGATGGGGTTTCACCATGTTGGGCAGGCTCGTCTCAGAACTCCTGACCTCTGGTGATCTGCCTGCCTCGGCCTCCCAAAGTGCTGGGATTACAGGCGTGAGCCACCACCCCCAGCAAGAATATGGATTTTTAAAAGTTTCCAAAACTGTGGAAATGGCCAGTCCATTGCCCACACTTTCTGTGCACTTCTGCAGACCTCCAACGAGGGCCAGCGCAGTGCCAGAGCCCAGCAACCCAGCAAGGGAATGAATTTGCTCTAACTATGGAGGGACAGTCTTCGGAAGTGGAGTTCTTAAGGACCATCATTCCTTTCTTTCAATGAGATGCCAGACTGCTGAGAAGGTGAGCAATGCTGCAGGCGGCTCATAGGGCAGCCCACAGGTAGGCCTGGGGCAAGACTAGCCATGGGGCTTCACAGCCTCCACAAAAAAGGAGATGGATTCCCTTCTGCACTGTCAGAGGAAGCTAAATGTAGAGCTCTGGGAGAGAAGATGCTGGTCTCAAAGCCATAGCTTGAGATACCATAGCTTGAGATATCATAGCTTGAGACCAGGCTCAGACATGCACTCTGAGTAATGTGAAGGGGCAGCATAGAGGCTCAGGAACTGCACAAAGCTGAGTCTGCATCCCAGCTCTGCCTTTATTAGCTGGGTGACCTTGAGCAAGTCACTTCACCTCTCTGAGCTCCAATTTCCTCATTGGTAAAATGGGTATAACACCACCTACCTTGCAGGGTGTTTATGAATTCTCTTTATTTATTTATTTATTTGAGACAGGGTCTCGCTCTGTCACCCAGGCTGGAGTACAGTGGCATAATCTTGGCTCATTGCAACCTCCGCCTCCCAGGTTCAAGTGATTCTCGTGCTTCAGCCTGCTGAGTAGCTGGGACTAGAGGTGCCACCACACGCAGCTAATTTTTCTTTTTTTTTTTGAGATGGAGTTTCACTCTTGTTGCCTAGGCTGGAGTGCAATGGTGCGGTCTCAACTCATTGCAAACTCCACCTCCCAGGTTCAAGCAATTCTCCTGCCTCAGTCTCCCGAGTAGCTGGGATTACAGACGCCTGGCCTCTAATTTTTGTATTTTTAGTAGAGATGGGGTTTCACCATGTTGGCCAGGCTGGTCTTGAACTCCTGACCTTAAGTGATTCACCTGCCAAAGTGCTGGGATTACAGGCGTGAGCCAACATGCCAAGCCATATGAATTCTAAATATAACGTGTATAAAACATCTGCAGTATCTGGCATGCAGTTAAGTACAATAAGTGATGGCTTTCAGAAGACAAAATTTCCTGTAAAGAATGCAAAAACGCTGTGAGCTACATGGCCACAGAGCATGGGAAGGTCTGCTTATGGGAGAGACGCAGGAACCTCCAAGTCTCCTTACTTGATTTTTCTGCCTTGCTGTTACTCTGAGTTGAGTTAGTCAGAGCATTGCCTCTGCTTCCTGGAATATTCAATCTGAAAACTACTCCCCAGTCTCAGCTACTTTAAGGAAAACAGGACCACCATCTAAAGCTTGACTGGGAGAGCCTAAAGGATTCAAGGGCCCTGAACCCTGACCACTGTTGGGAACAGGTACTGGGGAGAAATGATACAGAGTTTGGGGAAGGCCTCAGGAGGAAGAGAGAGTTAGGGCATTGTGGCTGCTGGTCCTGTCTTCATGAGCTTCTCTCAGATTAGGGATGGGGGTGGGATTCTAAGAGCAGGGACTGTCTCTTCCATCATGTACACACACACGCACATATACACACAGACACATACACACAATCAGGTACATGTACTCCTACCGCCAGCCCCATTCCAGCACACAAGTTCCCCACTCATCGACTGCACCAGCAACAAGCAACATCAGGAGCTATGAGAAACTGGGTACACAGCTCACCCCAAACTTCCCCATGTGCCCAGAGCTAAGAGTACTGAGAGACGGGAGGATAAGCCCTTTCTGATAGGACAGTAGATCAGAAACTCATATGGTATAAAGCAGGGTTCCCCAAAATCCCCTTGCACGGCACCTCAGATTTCACCATAAGATTCATTCCTTTGGCCTCAGGTAAAAGTCCCCCCACATTATAGATGCCTTCTCTAGCTACCGTACTGTCCCCCGCCCCATGCCAACTGCACAAAAACTCCATTTGCTGTCAATCCCACTTTCTACACCTCTCTAGACTCCATCCCTCCTCTCTACGCTCACAGTCCGCATCTTGGCTCTGGTTCCCCCAGGAGCATGAGCTACTGCACCAGCCTCCTTATACCCTACTCTTGCCCCTGACCTTAAAGCTGTTCTCCACTCAGAAGCTAGAGTGGTCTTCTGAAGCACAAATCTCCAGCCTACACAACATGGCAAAACCCCATCTCTACAAAAAAAATATAAGAATTAGCCAGGCATGGTGGCATGCACCTGTAGTCCCAGCTACCCAAGGCTGAGGCTGAGGCGAGGAATCACCTGAGCCCAGGAGGTCAAGGCTGCAATGAGCCAAGATCAGGTCACTGTACTCCCGCCTGGGAGACAGAGTGAGATCCTGTCTCTAAATAAATAAATATGTAAAGCACAAATCTGATCATGTCCCTTTCCTGCCTAAAATCTTTCCAAAGCTCTTGATAAAAATTGCCCTCTGGATAATATCAAAAGTTGCCGGCCTGGCATTCACAAAGAGCCTTCTTTACCACAGAGCAACAATGTCCCCTCCTCCAAGAAGAAAGTGATCCCCAATGTCCAAGCTGCGTGAAGTGCCTCCTCTGAGCCCCACAGTCACTGTACTCTTTTTTTAATCATAATAGGAACCCCAGACCACTGTGTTGTGACAGTCTGTGTCTAAGGATTGATTCTTGTAACATTGAGATGTTAAGGGCAAGTCCATATCTAATTCCATGCCCCTAGCACAACAGAACCTTTATCCCTGGGCCCCCAGGAAAGGCCTAGTGGACTGATTGTGGGAGACAGAAGTCCATCCAGGTTTCTGGCTGGCAGATCCCTGAGTGGATACAGGTGGTGGGGCCTGGGGCTGCCAGTAGGAGAAACAAAGCTTGAGGATCCAGATCAGAGCTGAGGATGGATCCTCCAAGGTCAGTCCCCGAGTCTGGGCCAAAGCCACTTGTTACATCTCCCATCTTCTGGCCTCATTTTACCTCCTCAGTCCTGGCTTCCTTTCCAATCTGCCTCCTTCCTCTCATGATCTCTCCTGCCCATTCCAATCCCTTCTCTTCCCCTATCACCTCCCTCTAACCCCCAACTCCCTTGCACTGTTATTGTTTTTTTTTTTTTTTTTGGCACGATCTTGGCTCACTGCAACCTCTGCCTCCCGGGTTCAAGCAATTCTCTTGCCTCAAGCCTCCTGAGTAGCTGGGATTACAGGCACACATCACCATGCCCAGCTAATTTTTTTGTATTTTTTAGTAGAGACAGGGTTTTACCATGTTGGCCAGGCTGGTCTCAAACTCCTGACCTCAGGTGATCCTCCCACCTCGGCCTCTCAAAGTGCTGGGATTACAGGCATGAGCCACAGTGCACAGCCTGCTGTTTTTTTTTTTTTATTTTGTTTTGTTTTTGAGACAGGGTTTTACTCCTGTCACCCAGGCTGGAGTATAATGGTGTGAACTCAGCTCACTGAAATGTCCACCTCCCAGCCTCAAGCAATTCTCCTGCCTTAGCCTCCCAAGTAGCTGGGACTACAGGGGCATGCCAGGGCACCCAGCTAATTTTTTTGCATTTTTTGTACAGACGGGGTTTCACCATGTTGCCCAGGCTGGTCTCGAACTGAACTCGAGTGATCCACTGGCTTCGCCCTCCCGAGGTGCTGAGATTACAGGTATGAGCCACTGCGCCCGTCATCTCCCTTGCATTTCTATCATCATCTTCCAACTCAGGGAGGACTGTGATTCTATTCTCTCTGAGTCTCCCCCCATGAATTATCTCTGACTCTGACTTACCTACCCTTCCCCCATCCCCTTGTCCCTTTCCCTCTCTCTGATCCTCCACTTCCTCTCCACTATCTAATTCTACCCTAACTGCCACCTCCTGACCTGGCCCTGACCCAGGGGCTGGGGAGCTGGCACTCACCCCACAGTCAGTGGCCACCGTGTACTCAAAGTGGAACACCAGGGACCAGATGATGCAGAAGAAGAAGCCGAACACAGGAAAAGTGATGGCCCACCAGACCATGGCTGTGAAGCGAAGCCGGAACAAGGTCCCATCGGGGTCCAAAGGCTGGGAGGCCGCAGAGAACATCCTGCAGGGCGTGGCCTAAGCAGCACGAGGGATACAACTTGGGGCCTGGTAGGACACCTGGGTCTGGGAAAGTGGGGCCTTTTCCAGAGATGGCTCCTCAGAGTATAAGGAAAAGCCAGAGCAGAAAGGGTAGAAAAGGCATAAGGGGAAAAGGAAGACAGTGCAGAGGAGAAGGATCAGAGGGAGATGGGGCAGGAGCAGCAGAGACAGGCAGGGTCAGAGCTTAGGAATCCCCCTGGCACAGTGATACTCTAGGTCCACCTCTTGAAGAGCCTACAGAAGAGAGGCTCCCGGTGGCTTGGACAGGGAGCTCTGGTGGCCCACCTCACTCTCACAACCCTCATAGCCACTCAGGAGAAGGGTCAGAGGTAGAAAGGTTATTATTCCCATTTCACAGAAGGGGAGACTGAGGCCCAGAACTATGCCAGGATCAAACACCAGGACTAAGGCCTCTTGCCACCTGACAGCTTCAGGTTCTAAGTCATGGCTTCTTTCAGGCCAACTAACAAAGGACCGTTGGCTCAGAATGGCCAAAGCCCTCCCACTGACCCTGTCTGACCACATTCCTGTTCCTTACCCAAGTTCAACTAGGAACAGAGGGAGTGCCCCAGAGCCTATTTCAATGGGGCCACAGGCTGCCAGCCATTCCACCCCCAGGCTCTGAATGATCCAAGCCTCAGGCCAGCGGTACCCTGATCCTAAAATACCAGGTCCCTGTGGAAGCCCAGACCTACATCTCCTCCCTCTCTGAGGAGATGCAATGTCACCCAATCCAAGGTTTGGGGGAATCTGAGGGTCATGGAAACCTTCTCCACTGAGCTTGAGCCTGCTGTCCTGGGCCAGACCCAGGAGATCTCTGTCCAGGTCAGACCCAGACCCAGGGAACTGAGCTTCTTCCAATCTCTTCTCCCTCCTGGCCGACAACTCCCCCTCACAACCCCACTGCCCAAACACCTTGACCCCTCAAGCTGGGCTTCCCTCTGGATCAAGCTGAGGCAGACAGAGATGGCTTGATATTAAAAGGCCTAGGACCCAATCTCCCCTCGGCACTCATACTTCCCTCCACTAAGGAGACCCAGGAATGGGGTGGGGGCCTCATGAAGGAACACTCACACTCGGTGCTGAAGAATCCGGGTCTTGGGTTGAAGGTTGTAGCCAGACTGGGACTATTCTAAGACTGGAGGATCCCACCCCCTGCTCCTCAGGGCCTGCCCTCCCGCCCACAGTACCCAATTCTCCACGCCTGCCCAGGCACACATCCTTCCCAGGATCAACAAGCATATGTCATAAATCCTAGAACACTCTGCAAAGGGAAGAAGTGATAGTGGCTGAGGTCAGCTGGCAGTAGCTTCTTTGCCAGTGATGGGGGCAGGGACCTTCCTGAGAGTTGTATCCAGGGTCATAGGCAGGTTTCCAATAAGGGAAAGAGAGAAAGCAAAAAGGGGTCTGGCCGTTTTTTGTTAGAGCAGGACTGAGAGGGCTTGTTGGGCCTCACTGGAGAAATGGCTAAATCCTATGATGACAGAAGCAGGATACAAAAGAGATCTCAACAAGCCTGAATATGAGATATCGATGTTCAGCCTGTACCTGTGCAGAAACAGCTAATAGCAGCTCAGGCTGCCTCAACAGAGGTCTAACAGCCAGGAATAAGAATGAATAGTCCTGCTTTTGCCTGTACTGCCCAGGCCACCTGGAGTTCTATACCCAAATCAAGGCCCAGCAGAGAACAGTGACAAACTGGGCCAAGTTCAACGGTACATTCAGGATAGGGAAGAGCCTGGAAACCATTTCCTTGGAAGGTTGCCTGAAGGAACTGGATTGCCTGAGGTCAGGAGTTCGAGACCAGCCTGGGTAACACAGTGAAACCCCGTCACTACTAAAATACAAAAAGTTAGCCAGTCATGGTGGCGGTGTGCCTGTAATCCCAGCTACTCGGGAGGCTGAGACAGGAGAATCGCTTGAACCTGGGAGGCGGAGGTTGCAGTAAGCCGAGATCGTGCCATTGCACTCCAGCCTGGGTGACAAAGCGAGATTCCATCTCAAGAAAAAAAAAAAAAGAAGAAGACAGACTCAAGGCCCCTCATTACTGTCTTCTTGTCTCTACAGGGCTGACCTGAAGCCACGAGGAGAGAATAGTTCTACGGCAAAGCAGAGCCAGGGCCAAGGCAGAGACTCACCGGAAAGTAAGTACATACTCACTATAAGTAAAAGCTTCAGCCTGGCCAGCATAGTGAAACCCCATCTCTCCTAAAAATACAAAAAATGAGCCAGGCACGGTGGTGCATGCCTGTAATCTCAGCTACTCGGGAGGCTGAGGCATAAGAATGGCTTGAACCCAGGAGGCAGAGGTCGCAGTGAGCCAAGATTGTGCCACTGCACTCCAGCCTGGGCAACAGAGCAAGACCCTGCCTCAAAAAGAAAAGAAAAGAAAGGAAAGGAAAGGGAAAGGGAAAGGGAAAGGGCAAGGGAAAGGGAAAGGGAAGGAAAGGAAGAAAAGAAAGAAAAGAAAGAAAGAAGGAAAGAAAGAAGGAAAAAAAGAAAAAAAGAAAGAAAGAGAAAGAAAGAAAGAAAGAAAGAAAGAAAGAAAGAAAGAAAGAAAGAAAGAAAGAAAGAAAGAAAAGAAGGAAAGAAGGAAAGAAGGAAAGAAAAAGCTTGGGCTAGGCACAGTGGCTCAAGCCTGTAATCCTAGCACTCTGGAAGGCTGAGGCAGGAGGATCACTTGAGCTCAGGAGTTGAAGACCAGCCTGGGCAACATAGTGAGAAACTATCTCTGTTAAAAGAAAAAAAAGAAGAAGAAAGAAAAAAAAAAGAGGCTGGGCATGGTGGCTCACGCCTTTAATCCTAGCACTTTGGGAGGCCAAGGCAGGTGGATCACCTGAGGTCAGGAGTTCGAGACGAGCCTGGCCAACATGACGAAACCCCGTCAATACCAAAAATACAAAAATTAGCCAGGTGTGGTGGCGGGCACCTGTAATCCCAGCTACTCAGGAGGCTGAGGCAGGAGAATTGCTTGAACCCAAGAGGCGGAGGTTGCAGTGAGCTGAGATCACAACACTGCACTCCAGCCTAGGCGACAGAGTGAGACTACATCTAAATAAAAATAAAGAAAGAAAATAAAAGAAAAAGGCTAATTATTAGTTATTAAGCTTCCTTAGAACAGGCTACCTGGGGAGGAAGGAAGCTCCCCATCACTGGGGATATGCGAGCAGAGGCAAAGTAATCAATTACAGATATGATGGACTAGCTTGCTTCTTTTATTCCTAGGGCTGGCCATTTCTGGGATACTCTGAGTGGGAAATTCAGAGCAAATATAAAAATTCCAAGGTGGAACCAACACCGTAGGCTCAGGCAGTGGGGACAACATACCCTCAGGGTCACAGACCTAGTACTGCTCCAGAGGGACCAAGTACTCCAGCAACTATCTATATCTTAATTCCCTAACTGGTATGCCCAGAACAGGTAATAGGTATGCAAGGTATGCAATAACCTAGCTAATAGGGTATTGATGCCATCAGCCCTTGGGGTCAGCCATAAGGGGCAGAGCAAACAGCCTAGTCTGTTTAACTCCATATACTATACAAATATTATAATTTTGCTTGGACTATGATTGACTTATACCATGCCTTCCTTTCCCCAGGGCACTGGGCTAGGGAGTCTTAATCATTTATTCAACCAACACTTTCTGGCCAGGCACAGTGGCTCACGCCTATAATCCCAGTGCTTTGGGAGTCGAGGTGGGAGGATCACTTGAGGTCAGGAGTTCAAGACCAGCCTGGGCAACAGTGTGAGACCCCGTCTCCACACACATACACAAAAATTAGCTGGGCATGGTTGTGCATACCTATTGTCCTAGCTACTCAGGAGGCTGAGGCAGGAGGATTACTTGTGCCCTGGTGGTTGAGGCTGCAGTGAGCTATGATCATGCCACTGCACTCCAGCCTAGGCAACATGGCGAGACCCCATCTCCACAATTTTTTTTTTAATTAAGCTGGGTGTAGTGGCTCACATCTGTAGTCCTAACTACTCAGGAGTCTGAGGTTAGGAAGACTGCTTGATCCCAGGAGTTTGAGGCTGCAGTGAGCTATGATCATGCCACTACACTCTGGCCTGGGTGACGGAAATGAGACCCTGCCTCTAAAACAAATAAAAAAACCCAAATACTTTCTCACTCAAATGCAGTGCCTGCCTTCAAGGAGATCCCCATCTGGTTGGGAAGACAGACACAAATATGATGTGATAGATAACACAGGGAACTGTGGGCACCCAGAGGAGGGAGTGATTACATTAGCCCCAAGGAGGATAGGGAAGACATTTTAGAGCTAGCGGGGCAGGGTTTTGCGGGATGATCAGGAGTGGCTAGCGTAACAGGAATATCTGATGCATTATCTGAGATAATAGGTACTAGGTCATGTACTAGGTCACAAAAGGGTACTCCTTCCCTTCAGATCGCCTGTTCGCCCTTTTCGTCCAGTTCTTTCTAATAGCTCCCAGCCCCAGGTCTCATCAGATTGGGTGTCCATACCTCAACACCCATGTCTACCCACTGACAAATCAGGAGGAGAGGAAACTCCAGTCACATGAAGTAAAGAAGTGGGGCTCCACCCCATACTCACAGCTAGACCCCACTGCTAATCCTAGCCATTTCTCTGAAGCAGATGCTCTTTACATGAAGTGGGGATCCAGCTGGCTGGGGCCTTCAGAACTCTGAGGGACCCCAATGGTCCATGCGCAGAATCTGCCTCTTCTCCACCTAAAGCCCCTAGGTTAAGTTCATTTCCTGCCCTGCCTTCCAACCTGACAGTCTCTTCCTCCTCCTCCTTCTGCTCCTCACATTTCATCATCCTCCCTAAACTACCTTCCTATCCTTCTTCTACCTAGAGCTCTACACTAGCCCTGGGAAGGAGCAGGACAGGAATTATCAACCCTATTTTATTTTTTAGAAATGGGGGTCTCACTATGTCATCAGGCTGAAGTACAGTGAGAAAACCATAGCTCACTCCAGCCTCAGACTTCTAGGCTCAAGCAATCCTCCCACCTCAGGCTCCTGAGGAGCTAGGACTACAGGTGCATACCCCCATGCCCAGCTAATCAATTCTATTTCAGACATGAGGAAACTGAGGCTGGGTCTCTGTCTCAGGTAATATAGAGTCAGTAAATGAATTACAAGTATAACAGAGTTTGACATATGTCCCACCCCACTTACTTTGATATCCTAGAGAAAGTGGTCTTACATCTTTCTTCCTGGCCCCGCACCCCATATCCCTGTCCAGAGGGTACACAGACATCTATGGAATCTTAGAGGCCACGGGACTCACCCCAGGACACATACACACGTACATAATCAGATCTCCATACAGACAGGCACAGATATAGTCTCTCTCACACACGACCCACTCAAACCCATTATATACAGTCATGACCCTCACAATCACACACACATATACTGAGTCACATTCCTACAGAGACAGGCACAAGCCCATAGTGCTACATTAAGAGGCCCAAAATACCCTCTAGCCCAATCCTGTTCTCTCTCCACTTCCCAGAAACCCTGGGGTTCCAGAATCTGCTCTTCTATGAAGTAAGGATTTGGCTCTAGGTCTGCCCTCTGGACAGGGATATGGGGCGCGGGGCCAGGAAGAAAGATGTAAGACCACTTTCTCTAGGATATCAAAGTAAATGGGGTGGGACATGTGTCAAACTCTGTTATACTTGTAATTCATTTACTGACTCTATATTACACTTCAGTGACTCCAGCCTCCAGAACCTCACAGAAGGCAGAGGGAGACTAACCCTTGAGATTTCAATTTGCAGGCATCCCCCCAGCAGCCCCGTATGTTTGATGGGCCCCAGTGGAGAGCTGGCTAATCTTGTTAAAAGATATTCAAGATCTAAAGAAGATCCAGATCGGCCTGAATATGAGGTATCAGTGTCCCCATGCCCTACCCCACAGTGTGTGGCCGTTGTCTCCTTGAAGTGGAAGAGCAGGGACCAGAGGATGCAGAAGAGGAAGGCGACAAGTGGACAGCAGACCGTGACCAGGGCCACCATGGTGAAGCGGAGCCGTACCAGGGTCCCATCCCGATCCAGTGGTAGTGGGACCTGGTACATCTTGTCAGACCTGGGGATGGAGTGGCATGCTGTCAGGGCCCCAGGCAGCCAGGCTGGCACTCAGTGATAAAGTCAGCCCTTGTGCTCAGTCCTAAAATTAGCTGTGTGCTGTGGGGTGGGGAGTCTGAGGAGGAAGGCACCTAAACTTGGATAGCTCTTGCCCTGGATGAGGAAGACTGACTCAGAATCCCAAGACAACATTCCACCTCAATTTCAGAGGGAAGACAATGAACCAAATCTGTGCTAGGATAAAGCTTGAATGGACTGGGAGAGCTTCTCCTCACTCCTCTCTGCCTAGCTTGACAGGCCTAGGACTAGAGAAGCTGCTTTAAATAAGTGTCTCTCTTTATTTCAAGAACCAACCCTAAAACCTACCAGTGGATGGCATGGCCCATCTCCTCCCCCAGGCCTTTGAGCCTCGGCCCAGCCTCCAGGCTTCAAGGCCTCTCATCAGCTCTCATTTGCTTCCCCACTGGCCCAGGGCCCTCCTGCACCTTCAGTCCCTTCCCAGGCTCTGTGTGCCTGCACCGCAGTCCACAGTGGCAGGGATTCCATGGAAGCTGACAGAACCCCAAGCCCCCTGCTTGTCCCAGCCTGCTCCCTCACGTGCCCCCAGGGTGAAAGGCTTTGCAGAATCAGGCCTGGTGCTAGCCTGGGATTGCTGTTTGCTGGAGAGAGCTGCTTGGTCAGCTTCTGGAGGCTTCCCAGTGCCCAGGGGGCTGTCCACATCACCCTCCTGTGAACAGATGAGGGTTCCTGGGGGCTGTGATTTCCCCCTTAGATAAGGGTAGCTAAGGTCAGGAACTATAACAAATAAGTGTATACCAACAATCCTAGCCCAGCTCCGCACAGTATACAGAAGGGAAAGTTGGAGCAGGAATCTGCTCAGGATCACATAACAAAGAGATACATGTGGGACCCACGAAGAGTTACACACTGCAACTCTGGCCTTCCTTGACCCCTTCCTCTCTGTGTCTGAACTTGAGAAAGGTCAGGTTAGGACTGGAGTGAGAGAGGCAGAAGAGGCACCTGTTCACAGGAGGAAGAAAAGGAAAAACCAAAATCTACATAGATGAGGCAGTTAGCCCTATTCCCATTGTAAAGATAGAGAAACCAAGACACTCAGAGAGAGAGAAGGGCTGGCTCTTCCTCAAAGCCCTGTGCTGAGCTGAAGGGAAAGCCATCCCTGGAACGTTGGCTTGTTGTTGCCAAGCTAGGGCTGGCTCCAGACACATAAAGAATATACCCTTCTGGGCTCAAAGACCTTGTCAAATCAAGTCCCAACTCTTCCTGACCCCACCCACAAGACTCTCCCTTTAGTCCCACCCTCAAAAAGAACCCTGATCTCAGTTAGGTTGCCATCCTGGCATTCCAGAACAAGCCAGGTGGCTACGCCTCCACATTCTCACCCATTTTCCCCCAGCTGCCAGACCTGATCAGGCAGCCTGCTCCAATTGCTCAAGTTCCTCTCTCCCTTTTAGGAGCATCAGGGATCCCAGGGAGCTGGAAGTGGCTCTGGTGACCCTCCCAGAAAAAAAACACATTCCCTGGATCATCCCTAAATGGACTCTAAGTCCCTTAGGGCCCTAGATGGGGAACATTTTCCTCACCCAGCCCAAACCTAGACTCTGCAGTTGCAGTAGCACTAGTCTTCCCTCCCAGTATCCCTCCCTGAAGGCTGCAGCTCTAGATCCCTGAGGAACCACTAGGATTCCCAAATTGAAGACTAGATCTTCAGGGAATGAAGAGGCACTGCCCAAATCAGGAGTTGATGAGGAGGTTCAAGGGATAATCCATTCCAATTCTTGGAGGTATGCCTGGCCTCCCATTTAGCTGTGTGACCTTTGGCAAGCCACTTAAGCACTCTAGATCTGTTTCCACAGTTCTGCAACATGGGAATCACATGGTTTAGATTACCTCTAAGGTCCTTCCAACTTGGTCATTCTACTCCACACCTCAGGGTGGAGCTGAAGGGCAATTGTTCAGCCTGCAGATAGTTCTACATTCCTCACAGGTACTACTTAGCTGAAAATTGCTTTCTTTGGAGCTACCTCAGCTCCAAAGTCCCTAGAGATCTCCTCAGCCTCGAGTCTGAACCCACATTTACTGAGTGCCTACGGAATACTAGGCCCCCTGCTCTGTACTTGATATACATTGTCTCTTTTAATCTCACCATAATTCTATGAGGTAGGTGCTACAGCCTGTATATTTCCATTTTACAGATGAGGAAACTGAGGCTCAGGGAGGTTCAAAACACTTACTCAAGGCCAAGGCTAATAAATGGCACAGCTGCCATTCAAAACTACTCTATGGGGTTCCAACCCCGGGGCCCCATCCTCCCCACCTAGGACTCCTGACCAGGAGGCCCCGCGGAATAAAGGGAGAGCTCAACCCCTGCACACCCGGCCCCACGCTGGGGAGGGAGAAGAAGGGGGCCAGCTCGGCAAGTCCAGAGAGCAGCAGTTCCTGGGAAACAGAGTGTGTGCGATAGGACGGCAGGTACCAGGACTCCCACAGCGTGGGGCCCGGCCCTGCAGAGGCCAGACCGCGCGGCCAAGCTCCCGAGTGGGGCTGCCCGGCAGCCCAGCACATCCATGCCCATACTCACCCACGCGGTGGTGGCGAGAGTGCCGGCGGAACCCGGGGGCCCAGGTGGCCCGGGGTCGGGGGCTGGCTCTGCGGGCTGGTCAGAGCGCGAACGGCGGGGGCGGGGCCGGCGCTCTCGGGGCGGAACTTAGAGAGGAAACTGCGCCCAGATCCTCCGCTGGCTCCTCCCCGCTTCTGGAGACCCCGACCCCTGGCTCTCCTCCTCAATCTGGCGTGTCCTCAAACCATGCTTTACAGCCCGGGTCTGCCCCCACTAATTTCGGCTGCGTGAGGGCAGCCGGAAGAGCTCTGGATACCTGAGTTTGAGCATGTTGGATAAGCCACCTTGTCGCCTTACCTCTCAGCTGCGTTCCATCTACCTGTTGAAAGAACACAAAATTAATTCAACAGGGGCCGGATTTCTTTCTCATCCGCCCGTCTCTCCTGCCTCGCACCTCCATTCTAACCGAACTATCCAGCCTCGCCCTTCTGAAACATTAAGCCAGTTTCCTCCCAGCCCTGGCGCCCCTCCCCCAAACTTTGCTCGTCAGGGCGGTTGGGGACATTTCAGCAATGGGAAGAGCACCTTTGCAGGCAGTGAGACCCGGTGAGGCACATCCCAGAAACTCTGGCCTAGAGCTGTTCCCGCCTTTGTTCAGGAGAGGGCGCCCTGTCCTACGTAGCGCAGAAAGGATTTCCAGCCACCAGCCTTGGGTCTCCCCACAATGAGAGGATTGATCCCCCAAAACCAGCTGCCAGAGTTCCCTCCCTACCCTGACCATGACTGACCCATGAAAGAACTTGAGGGGGACCCCTGGCTCCCTTTGCAAAGACCATCCCAGCCCAACAGGGAAGGAGGGTGAAGGGACCAAGAATTCCTCCTGCAAGCACACTGGTGGGTAGTCAGAGCATCTGCAGCGGGTGGAGGACCTCTAAGTTAGCCATACCTAACATCGCACTTTTCCACTTAAATCCTCACAGCAATAACACATTCTGAACACCCAGTATATCCCAGGCACTCTTACTTCTTATCTCATTTATTTAATCCTCATAAAAACCCTGTGAGGGCCAGGCGCGGTAGCTCACGCCTGTAATCCCAGCACTTTAGGAGGCCGAGGCGGGCGGATCACCTGAGGTCAGGAGTTTGACACCAGCCTGGCCAACATGGCGAAACCCCGTCTCTACTAAAAATACAAAAATTAGCCGGGCACGGTGGCGGGCGCCCGTAATCCCAGCTACTTGGGAGGCTGAGGCAGGAGAATCGCTTGAACCCGGGAGGCAGAGGTTGCAGTGAGCTGAGATCGTACCACTGCACTCAAGCATGGGCGACAAGAGCGAAACTCCATTAAAAAAAAAAAAAAAAACCTGTGAAAATAGATACGATCTCGGCTCACTGCAACCTCCGCTTCCAGGGTTCAAGCGATTCTCCTGCCTCAGCCTCCCGAGTAGCTGGAATTAACAGGCGCCCGCTACTGCGCCCAGCTAATTTTTGTAGTTTTTAGTAGAGGCGAGGTTTTGCCATTTTGGCCAGGCTGGTGTCAAACTCCTGACCTCGTGATCTGCCCCCGCCTTGGCTTCCCAAAGAGCTGGGATTACAGGTGTAAGCCACCGCGCCTGGCCTTTTTTTTTTCTTTCTTTCTCTCTTTTTTTTTGGAGACAGAGTCTCACTCTGTCACCCAGGCTAGAGTGCAGTGCCACGATCTCGGCTCACTGCAACCTCCACCTCCCGGGTTCAAGCAATTCTCCTATCTCAGCCTCCCGGGTAGCTGGGAATACAGGCGGCACCACCATGCCCGGCTAATTTTTGTACTTTTAGTAGAGATGGGGTTTCGCCATATTGGTCAGGCTGGTCTCGAATTCCTGACCTCAGGTGATCCACCTGCCTTGGCCTCCCAAAGTGCTGGGATTACAGGCATGAGCCTCCGCCAGTAGATACTATTTAATATCCTCATTTTACAATGGAAAACAGGGAAACCAAGTTACCTACTTACACAGCTAATACATGCCAGAACCAGGACTCAAGTCTGGTACCTGAGATAATTCACATAATCCACTATATGCTGTTAATGCCACTTAGCATTTGTTGATTAATTTGCCAGAGCTCTTTTTCATGTGTTCACTTTTGTTCATTCACCCAGTCTAGGCCCTCTCTTTGACAGGCCTCATGTGGAGCAATGGTGGAGGACCCAGAGATACCTCAGACGCACTCTGAGGGGCTCCGAAGTCTGGAGAAGGTGCGCACTCAGAGTGTCTTGTTCTAAAAACTACTTTTCTTGATTTTGAGTTCTCCCCTATCCTGTTCTTTAAGGTCCCAGGACAAATGGACTAGCAAAACTTTACAAAAAGAACTACCTCTCTCCAAATTTGGCAACTAGATTCAGGTTTTCTGCCTTGGGGCTTCATGTCATCCTCTTTGTCTAGCTCCAACCAGGGGTGTCTGCTCCTGGCTATTGTTCCCTATCTTGACACCTTGTCTGTTCTCTTGGCCCTAAGTACCATTCCCTGAGGCTGGGTCCCCTCTCCCTGCCTCTAGACTACCCCCAATGCCCAAACCTTGAGGTGCTCTAATTTAGATTAATTCTTTAATTCTCTGGTGATTTGGGAAATATGGGCAATTCTCCATATAGCCCTGAGCCTCTGTTTCCTCGTCTATAAAATGGTTTTATTTATTTATTTAAAACAAGGTCTCGCGGGGGCGTGGTGGCTCACATCTGTAATCCCAGCACTTTGGGAGGCCAAGGTGGGCGGATCACAAGGTCAAGAGATCGAGACAATCCTAGCCAACATGGTGAAACCCTGTCTCTACTAAAAATACAAAAATTAGCTAGGCGTGATGGCGCGCACCTGTAGTCCCAGCTACTTGGGAGGCTGAGGCAGGAGAATCACCTGAACCTGGGAGGCAGAGGTTGCAGTGAGCCGAGATCGCGCCACTGCACTCCAGCCTGAAGACAGAGCAAGACCGTGTCTCAAAAAAAAAAGGTCTCACTGTCTTGCCCAGGCTGGTCTTGAACTCCTAGGCTCAAGCGATCCTCCTTCCTTGGCCTCCCAAAGTGCTGGGATTACAGGCATGAGCCACCGTGCCCAGCCTGTAAAATTGATTTAGGAATATCCACACTGGGTGTGGTGGCTTACACCTGTAATCCCAGCACTTTGGGAGGCCAAGGCAGGAGGATCACTTGAGCCCAGGAGTTCAAGACCAGCCTAGGCAACATGGCAACAGCATCTGTACCAAAAAATACAGAAAACTAGCTGGGTGTGGTGGCACACACTTGTATTCCCAGCTACTCAGGAGGCTGAGGTGGGAGGATTGCTTGAACCCTGGAGGCAGAGGTTGCAGTCAACTGAGATCATACCACTCCACAACAGCCTGAGTGACAGAGCAAGACCCAGTCTCAAAAAAAAAAAAAAAAAAAAGAATATCCACATCATAGGGTTGTTGTATTAGAGGTAATGTAGCAGTGTGCCAGCCATGTGGGAGGTACTCAGTACATGATGGTCATTATGATTAGACATGTCAGCCACAGTGTGAACTCGTCCTGAACTTTTTTTGTATTGTCTGACCTTGGCTGTCACCGACCCTTTCTGAAATCTCTTTATTTCACTATCAGTTTGAAAGACCTCGCCTACCTTGATTTATGTGAGGGAAGATAAAAGAAATAAAAAGAGTTCTTGGGCCGGGTGCGGTGGCTCACGCCTGTAATCCCAGCACTTTGGAAGGCTGATGTGAGCAGATCACCTGAGGTCACGAGTTCGAGACCAGTCTGGCCAACGTGACAAAACCACATCTCTACTAAAAATACAAAAATTAGCCAGGCCTGGTGGCGGGCGCCTGTAATCCCAGCTACTTGGGAGGCTAAAGCAGGAGAATTGCTTGAACCCAGGAGGCGGAGGTTGCAGTGAGCCAACATTGCGCCACTGCACTCCAGCCTGGGTGAGAGAGCGAGACTCCACCTCAAAAAAATAAATAAATACAAATTAAAAATAAAAATACAAAATACAAAAATAAAAAGAAAATATTTGTTGGGTTGATTTAATGGAACTGGGTTTTGAAGAATGGGCAGTATTTAGACAGGTAAGCAGAGATTGAGGAATTGCTAGAAAGGGGACACAGTGAGCATGGCTGGGGTAGGTATAGAGGCAGGGACATAGACTGCTAAAGACATCCAGCTTTAGACCAAGCTCTGCCACTGCCTCCTGGGAAGCCTCAGGAAAATCAGTGTCCTTCCTGGGTTGAGGAGGAGTTATTCTTGTTCTTCTCAAAGATCTTTTTCATGACCAAGACATCCTTCCTGGATGGCTTTAAACCACCCACCCCCAGCTCACTCATCTTGCTCTAGCCTCACTCTGACTCAGATAGCAATTAAATCTTCCCCTGTTCATCTGCTTGCTTCCCTGTTCATCTAGCTTGGAATGTTCTCTCTTCCTGCCTCCATCTCAGGAAACTCTATCCTTCCGTAAAGGTATTTATGAGCATGACACTTTGGTAAGTTAAGAATGCATGTGGTAATTTCTAGGGAGATCACTAAAATAATACTAATAGGAAAAGAGAATTTAACTTTCAAACTAGTATAGTGGGAAAAATGGGCTGGGCATGGTGGCTCATGCCTGTAATCCCAGCACTTTGGTAGGCTGAGGCAGGCGGATCGCCTGAGGTCTGGAGTTTGAGTCGAGTCTGGCCAACATGATAAAATCTTCTTTCTACTAAAAATGCAAAAATTAGCCAGGCGTGGTGGCACGCGCCTGAAGTCCCAGCTACTAGGAAGGCTGAGGCACGAGAATCACTTGAACCTGGGAGGCAGAGGCTGCAGTGAGTCATGATCGCACCACTGCACTCCAGCCTGGGCGACACAATGAGACTGTGTCTCAAAAAAAAAAATATATATATATATAGCAGTAAATTCGTTAAATGCATTAGACTAAATGTTCTGGTTAAAAGCCAAAGTATTGGCTGGGCACGGTGGCTCAGGCCCATAATCCCAACACTTTGGGAGGCCAAGGCAGGTGGAACATTTAATGTCAGGAGCTTGAGACCAGCCTGGCCCACATGGTGAAACCTCATCTCTACCAAAAATATAAAAATTAGCCTGGTGTGGTGGTGGAAGCCTGTAATCCCAGCTACTTGGGAGGCTGAGGAACGAGAATTGCTTGAACCCAGGAGGCGGAGGTTGCAGTGAGCCGAGACTGCACCGCTGCACTCCAGCCTGGGTGACAGAGTGAGACTCCATCTCAAAAAAACAAAACAAAAATGGCCGGGTGCGGTGGCTCACGCCTGTGATCCCAGCACTTTGGGAGGCCGAGGCAGGTGGATCATGAGGTCAGGAGATCGAGACCATCCTGGCTAACATGGTGAAACCCCGTCTCTACTAAAAAAAAAAAAACAGGGCCGGGTGTGGTGGCTCACGCCTGTAATCCCAGCACTTTGGGAGGCCGAGGTGGGCGGATCATCTGAGGTCAGGAGTTCAAGATCAGCCTGGCTAACATGGTGAAACCCTGTCTCTACTAAATACACAAAATTAACTGGGCATGGTGGCGCATGCCTGCAGTCCCAGCTACTCGGGAGGCTGAGGCAGGAGAATCGCTTGAACCCAGGAGGCGGAGGTTGCAGTGAGCTGGGATCACACCACTGCACTCCAGCCTGGGTGACAGAGTGAGACTCTGTCTCCAAAAGAAAAAAAAAAAATTAGCCGGGTGTGGTGGCAGGCGCCTGTAGTCCCAGCTACTCGGGAGGCTGAGGCAGGAGAATGGCGTGAACCCGGGAGGCGGAGCTTGCAGTGAGCCGAGATGGTGCCACTGCACTCCAGCCTAGGCAAAAGAGCCAGTCTCCATCTCAAAAAAAAAAAAAAAAAAGAAACAAAACAAAATACAAAGTATTCTGCCCATGTCATAGACAAGGAATTGGGGCAGAGAAGGGTTAAATAACTTAGGCGAGATATAAAAAGTAGCAGATCTACAACTTGAACTTAGCTCTGACTCCAATTCTGCTGCTTCTCTGGAAAGAAGTCTCATCCTTCCACAATTCTGCAGTCCTTACAGATCTGTCTCCTCCCTAACCACCAATCCTTCACAGCTGCATACAGTGAGTTCTCAAGCCATGTGTATGATACTGGGGCTCCTAGGACAAAGCTGGACTTTCCTTGGCCAGAATAGTGTTGAGCTGTGGACATCTCTGGGCTCTTGATGTCCAGGACAGGGCTTGGCTCCAAAAGGGTTTGTAAGCATCAAACTCCTTGTCTTTAGAACGGAAGAAGGAAGATGATGATACCTAAAAGAGGTGTTATCAGAATTTAGACAGAGTAGGAGTGTGGGAAGGAACCCCTGGCTTCACAAAGATGTCCTTCCCCAGCCAGGAATTCTGGGAATGATGAGCCATGGGCTACTTGCCTACCAAAGTACCCAACAACGTATCTTTAGAAATCACCAAAGTCACAGGAAATTCTTCCTTGGAGTATTCCTCATCCAGTACGTATTCCTCCAGTCTTTCCACAAGTATGCACTATTTCCCTGCACATCTACTTGTACTTTGGACTGAATGTACTCATTTGCTTACTCATTCAAGACATTTCTTTCAGAACCATTTTATAGCAAAAAAAAAAAAAAGGAAAAGGAAAAGAAATAAAAGAAAAAAAGACATTTCTGAGTCCTCTTTCAGTGTCAGAATCAATGTCTTAGAATATTTAGAATGGGAACTCAACATTTTTATTTATTTATTTATTTATTTATTTAGAGACAGAATCTCCCTCTGTCACACAGGCTGAGGCTGGAGTATGGTGGTGCAATCTTGGCTCACTGCAACCTCCACCTCCCGGGTTCAAGTGATTCTCCTGCCTCAGCCTCCCGACTAGCTGGGATTACAGGCGTGGGCAACTATGCCTGGCTAATTTTTTTATTTTTAGTAGAGATGAGGTTTCGCCGTGTTGGCCAGGCTGGTCTTGAACTCCTGATCTCAGGTGATCTGCCCGCCTCAGCCTCCCAAAGTGCTGGGATTACAGGAGTGAGCCCCCGTGCCCGGAAACTTTTTTTTTTTTTTTTTTTGAGATGGAGTCTTGCTCTGTCACCCAGGCTGGAGTGCAGTGGCGCGATCTCTGCTCACTGCAAGCTCCGCCTCCTGGGTTCACACCATTCTCCTGCCTCAGCCTCCCGAATAGCTGGGACTACAGGCGCCTGCCACCGCGCCCGGCTAATTTTTTGTATTTTTAGTACAGACGGGGTTTCACCATGTTAGCCAGGATGGTCTCGATCTCCTGACCTTGTGATCCGCCCGCCTCGGCCTCCCAAAGTGCTGGGATTACAGGCTTGAGCCAC
The DNA here is from genome assembly GCF_000001405.40 of Homo sapiens. Taxonomy (NCBI): domain Eukaryota; kingdom Metazoa; phylum Chordata; class Mammalia; order Primates; family Hominidae; genus Homo; species Homo sapiens. Next base: position 3,801,371 of record NC_000011.10, on the reverse strand, counting down.
CATGCCCGGCTGGGATACATTTTTAAATAATGCAAACAATACCATTTATTGAGGCCTTATCTGTGCCAGGTACTATGCTAAGTGCTTTAAATGTATTCTCTCTTTTAATGCTCACTACGACCCTGTAAGGCAAATGTGGTTGTTATCCCCATTTTATACAAAAGAAAATTGAGGTTCAGAGGGATTAGGAAATTTGCCCAAATTTCTTTTTCTTTCCTTTCTTTTCTTTTTTTTTTGAAGACAGACTTTCACTCTTGTTGCCCACGCTGGAGTGCAATGGTGCCATCTCAGCTCACTGCAACCTCTGCCTCCCCGGTTCAAGCAATTCTCCTGCCTCAGCCTCCCAAGTAGCTGGGATTACAGGCATGAGCCACCACACCCGGCTAATTTTTTGTATATTTAGTAGAGACAGGGTTTCACCATGTTGGCCAGGCGGGTTTCGAACTCCTGACCTCAGGTGATCCACCTGCTTCAGCCTCCAAAAGTGCTGGGATTATAGGCGTGAGCCACCATTCCCGGCAGGAAATTTGCCTAAATTTCTTTTTTTTTTTTTTTTTTTTGAGACGGAGTCTCACTCTGTGGCCCAGGATCGAGTGCAGTGGCTCGATCTCAGCTCACTGCAACCTCCGCCTCCCAGGTTCAAGCAATTCTCCTGCCTCAGCCTCCCAAGTAGCTGGGACTACAGGTATGTGCCACCACGCCCGGCTAATTTTTTTGTATTTTCAGTAGAGATGGGGTTTCCTTCTGTTAGCCAGGCTGGTCTCGATCTCCTGACCTCGTGATCCGCCCACCTCGGCCTCCCAAAGTGCTGGGATTACAGGCGTGAGCCATCCCGCCTGGCCCAAATTTCTTAATTAAATTAAACTGAATTAAATTAAATTAATAAATAAATTTAAACTGAATTAAATTAAATCTGCATCCAAATTTAAACCAGGGTTCTCTGACTCAAAGTCCAACACCTCTACTAATCCCCCACTGAAGAAAATAATTCACTCATTCGTGCATCAAATATCTAATGTGTACCTACTATGTGCCCTGCCTTAGGGACACCAAAATAAGTCAGTAGAAGAGAGCCTTAAAAATAATTGGGCTTGGAGATTAAAGGGCAAGAAATCAAATGTTCCAGAGGGCAGTTATGAAGCTACTGTAACTATCTAGGGAGAGTTAATGACTTTCTAAAGTCCAGCAAAGGCAAGGGAGTGTGGTTGTAAAGTAGGGGTGTTTTGGATGGAGGAGTTGGGGGAAGATGGCTGCAGTCAGTTGTTTAAAGTAACTTTACTATTTGGCCAACCATATATTGATTTTCTTCTTCCTTCAAGTATCTACTGAGCACCTACAATGTACCGTGTTTCTTCCATCCACTATCTTATTCCATCTTTACAACCCACCACCTTTTTTTTCCCCCAGTCGGAGGCTCCGTCTGTTGCCCAGGCGGGAGTGGCATGACTGTAATCACAGCTCACTGTAGCTTTAACCTCTTGGGCTCAAACGATCCTCCTACTTCAGCCTCCCTAGTAGCTGGGACCACAGGCGCTTGCCACCACACCTGGCCTTGGTTAATTTTTTGTATAGGTGGGGACTCACTATGTTGCCCGAGCTGGTCTCGAACTCCTGGGTTCAAGTGATCCTCCTACCTTGAACTCCCCAGTGCTGGGATTACAGGCGTGAGCCACCACTCCCAGTCTCCCATTTTTTAAACAAACAAATAAATCAATTATCTCTAATCCCTTGCCATCACCGAAAACCCAGATGGCTTTAAACTCATTTACATTTTAGGTAAAAGCCCAGTTCAATTTTGCATTCATGTCTCACAAAGGAGTAGTGGTGGAGGTTTTTTAAAAATTTTTTTTGAGATCACTCTGGAGCGCAGTGGCAGGATCTCCACTCACTGTAATCTCCGCCTCCCTGGTTCAAGCCATTCTCGTGCCTCAGCAAACCGAGAAGCAGCTGGGATTATAGGTGCCCACCACCATGCTTGACCAATTTTTGTATTCTTAGTAGAGACAGGGTTTCATCATGTTGGCCAGGCTGGTCTCGAACTCCTGGCCTCAAATAATCTGCCCGCCTCAGCATCCCAAAGTGCTGGGATTACAGGCATGAGCCACCAGCCCGGCCAGTATACGCTTTGCTTTCTGCGCACAGTTCCTGCTATGAGACTCTCAGTCACTAAACAGGTCTAGTTTCTAGAAAATGCCCACCTTTCACTCTTGTAATATCAGTTTTCTGCTAATGGGCTAGGCCCCAGAAGGACTTCCAAGAAGAGCCCAAGGCACAGAAAACCGAGGGTAAATAATAGGATACAAAGTGACAAGGCTTTAACAGAGGCCTGCCCAAGCATTAGCTCAACTCGCTGTGAAAGCTTGGCAAATGTATCACTGAGAAGATGGGAACATTTGAAATACCCGTCCTTTAAGAATAAGTAGGGGTTCGGCTGGGCGCGGTGGCTCACGCCTGTAAGGCCAGCACTGTGGGAGGCCGAGGCGGGCGGATCACCTGAGTTCCGGAGTTCGAGACCAGCCTGGCCAACATGGTGAAACCCCATCTCTACTAAAAATACAAAATCAGCTGGGCGCGGCGGCGAGTGCCTGTAATCCCAGCTACTCGGGAGGCTACGACAGGAGACTCTCTTGTACCTGGGAGGCGGAGATTGCAGTGAGCCGAGATCGTGCCACTGCACTCCAGCCTGGGAGAAAGAGGAGACAGAGCAAGACTCCATCTCAAAAAAAAAAAAAAAAATTAGTTCATGGGCGAGGTGGCTCACGTCTGTAATCCCAGCACTTTGGGAGGCCGAGGCGGGTGGATCACTTGAGATCAGGAGTTCGAGACCAGCCTGACCAACACAGTGAAATCCCCGTCTCTACTATAAATACAAAAATTAGCTGGGCCTGGTGGCGGACGCCTGTAATCCCAGCTACTTGGGAGGCTAAGGCGGGAGAATCGCTTGAACCCGGGAGGCAGAGGTTGCAGTGAGCCGAGATTGCGCCAATGCACTCCACCCTAGGCGACAACGCGAGACTTCATCTCAAAAGAAAAAGAAAAAAAAAGAATTAGGGGTTCTCCACGTGCAGCTGGGAAAGACGTTCCAACAATCCTCATTTGTACCAGGCCCTTTGGTGGGCCAGTCCCTTAGGGCATCTCTAATGCTCCTAATGTCCATCCTAGAAATTCAGGGAGGGAAAGAAAGTGCTGGGGCGAGCATGGGTCAGGAGAGAATAGGGTCAGGATTTAGGGCCCTGAAGAAGCCTCGGGCAAACTCTTTGGACAGACAGACCTTCCAAGAGGGCCCTCAGGCTCCGCACGTGGTCTGGGCGGGAAGTGCGGGCAGAGAGACTAGGAAGCCTTCCCAGCAGCGCCGGCGGACCGGGGCAAGGAAAGGGTCGAATAGTTACCATGCCATTCTGGGGCCGTCCCTCTGATTGGCCCGAGCTCCCTCAGCCCGAGTCGCGGCGCTCCAAGGAAGGGGGCGGAGTCTCTATGTTGCGTCACCACCCTTCCCGACACCCCGCCGGTGCTTCCCAATCTAGCCATTCACAAGCCCACTTCGAGAGGCCCTGTGTGACGTCACGACACGCTCCCGCCAACCGCGGCGGCGAGGGGCGGGACTCCACGGCCCTCTCACCGCTCCTACCCTGTGCCTCCCCGAACTCCTTCTGCCCCTCCTCTTCCCTCTCGCCCCTTCCCCCTTCAGTTCGGTTTCAAAAGACGCGTTGCCCAATGAATAACAGGGTCGACCCAGAGTGGCGGCCGCGTCCACCAATTCGCGGACGGCGAGGGCGGAGCGTCCGCAACGAGCCTCTGACGCCGGGCGGCGTGTGACGCAGTCGGGCCCTCTGCGCGCTGCGCCCGAAGCGGCGGTCGGTGGCAGGGGTGGTAGCGGCGGCGGCGACGGTTTCGTGGGGGCCGCGCGCTGCTCTGTGAGCGGCGGGTGGCAGCAGGGGACTCCTGACACTTCCCCTTCCCCACCGAACCGCGGTAAGTCGGGAGCCCGAGCTGCAGCGGCCGAGACCGGCAGGTTTCTCCCCCCTTCCGGGCGGGCGGACGCGCGGGGCGTCTCAGGGCCTCTCCGCTTCGAAGTCTAGCGCCGCTGCGCGCACCTTCTGGCCTGAGAGAGGGGCGGTGCTGAGGACCCGGGGGCCCGGAGCCCGGGAGGCCCGGCTTTGGAGGCCCTGGGAGAGAATGGACATCAGTGGGGTCTAGGCCTGGAGGTCTCCAGTTGCTGCCCACGCGAGTGGGTGTCTGTCTGGTTGTACTCATTCATTCAGTGGTGTAAGGACCCCACGGTGGGCTGGCCTTTCCGGGGTCAGCGCCTTGAAACCCTGAATACGGTCTGCCCCGCACTTCCTTGACCGTCATGTGGGACTGGGCTTTATTTGCCTTGGCTTCTCCATAAGGGAAGTGGGCACCCCGAGGATTAGGGTGAGTCCGAAGTTTGGGAGATTTTTAAGATAATATCTGAGAATAGGAGTCGGTTCGGTGGAGCAAAAGGTTCTTTTCTATTTTCCCACGTGTTCAGTGTAAAGCCAGATGAGGAGACAGATTGAGTTTCTGGATTACTATAGCCATAAGGACTTTAGAAATTGTTTAAGTCAATCCCCCTACCTTACATCAGTTTTGTAGATGGGGAAACCGAGGCCCGGAGTAACAGGCAGGATTAGCCAATGCCAGATTTTTGACAGTCTAAACAGTTTTCTACTACCTCACCCTCCCTGGATATTTCAGTCTCCCATTATTAAGAATTCCCTTTAGGAGGTCGGTGCGGCATGGACATTAGGTAGCTAAACGTAGATGTAGTCTTCACAGCGTTTTCCGTTTAGTTGCTACCAGCTCTGTTCACGGGTAAGGTGGAAGCTTCGTTAGTGGTACCCTAACCTAGAGCTTGAGAACTAAACTTAGAAGATGGTTAAAGAACGTCAGCGTTGTTATGTATCGGAAACAAATCGGTAAAACTACAAGCCATTGTTTCCCTTTCTAAATCTGAATTTTTTGACTTGTGTCAGCTGATGAGGACTCGGAGTCAGTTAGGGATTTATAACAGTACTGGAATAGAAAGCAGGAAATATTGATAAGACTTAGAAAGCCAGGTAGGAGTCCGTTTGTAGTAGTTGTACCTCGGAACTCATGGCTCCTTTCAGGTACAGAATTCAAAGTGAAGTATTATAGTAGAATAAGGTGAGGAAATAAAACTCCGTTTTGGAGGAAGAAGCTAACTGGAATAAAGAGCAAAAAGAGAGCAGTGATCATTCCCTGTGACGGTCTTACAAATTCGAAAAGAAACTCGAGTTAACTGGGTTACAGTATGTTTACCTGGTGGAGGAAGTTAGGGTATTTAAAAACCAAAACTAGAGGTTGGACAGGATAAAGGTACTGGGAAATACTTGGGTAAAATTATTCTTTTTGACTCTTCAGATTTGATGAAATTGAATTAGTTGACACTTGGTTCTGTACACATCAGTAAGATTGTTACTTTGTTCTTGTATAGATGACAAAGCATAAACTCAGAACTAGTAGTGCAGAAGAGAACCGTAGTCTAAATAGTAAAGCGTGAACAGGGTATGTTTTCCGTGACATTTTCTCAGTTCAGGCATCACCCTCTTCTGGGAAGCTTTTCTTGGCATTCTCTTCTCTGCAAGCTTCCATAACACTTATTTGATATTTCTATTTATAGCACATATCATTTTTATTTTAGCTGTTTTTTTAATTAGGCTGGTAAAATATTTTCATCTTATCTTTGTTGTCCAGTTGCTTGCCACATAGTAGGCCCTCAGTAAGTGTGTTTACTTGAATGAATAGACAAATATGGAGGAGTTATACCTAACAGTAGTCAATAGAGAGGCTCCTGAAATATGGGGCCCAGATAAGATAGTTCCTGCTGTTTATATGTTATGTGATACTTTGGTCCCTGACATTTATTTGTTTATTTATTTATGAGATAGGGTCTCACTCCATCACCCAGGCTAGAGTGCAGTGGCGCAATCTCGGTTCACAGTAGCCTCTACCTCCTGGGCTCAAGCAATCTTCCCACCTCAGCCTCCCAAGTAGCTGAGACCACAGGTGTGCACCACCATACCCAGCTAATATTTTTTTGTATATTTTGGGTAGAGACAGGGTTTCGCTATGTTGCCCAGGCTGGTATCGAATTCCTGGGCTCAAGCCATCCCCCACCTCGGCCTCCCAAAGTGCTGGGATTACAGGTATGAGCCACTGTGCCCAGCCAGTACCTGACTTTATGTCTACTAGGTCCTAGATAACTAAGAGCAAGTAGAATTTTTAAGGAACTAAATTTACGGCTTTGAAAAAATTATATTATTTTCTTGTAATATGATTTATGTGGTGGTAGTTAACCTGGAAAGTAAAGAATGATGGTACTAATGTTTAATTTCCAATAATGAGACTATGCAGTTATGTAATTTGTTGAAAGGTTAGGGAACTAAGAAACTCAGAGATTTAAGGATAAGTATTGGCTGAGCATGGTGACTGACTACTGTAATCCCAGCACTTCAAAGGTCAAGGCAGGTGGATTTCCTGAGCCCAGAAGTTCAAGACTAGCCTGGGCAACATGGGGAAACCCTGTCTCTACGAAAAATACAAAAATTAGGCAGGTATGGTGGCATGCACCTGTACTCCAGCTACTTAGGAGGCTGAAATCAAAGAAACATCAGAGCCTGGAAGATTGAGACTGCAGTGCTGTGATTGCACCACTGCTTTCCAGCCTGGGAAACTGCGTGAGGCCCTGTCTTAAAACAAAGGCGTGGTGTGGTGGTTCACGCCTGTAATCCTAGCACTTTGGGAGGCCGAGGCGGGTGGATTGCCTGAGCTCAGGAGTTTGAGACCAGCCTGGGCAACATGGTGAAACCCCATCTGTACTTAAAAAAAAATATGAAAAATTAGCTGGGCGTGGCAGCATGCGCCCATTGCCCCAGCTACTCGGGAGGCTGAGGGAGGAGAATTGCTTGAACTCGGGAGGCGGAGGTTGCAGTGAGCCAAGATTGTGCCACTGCACTCCAGCCTGGGCGACAGCGAGACTCTGACTCAAGAAAAAAAGAAAAGAAACAAAACAAAACAGTATGTATTAGAGGCAAGGTAGGTAAACATTTCCTGAGAACTTGGTGCATTCTTTTTGTTTGAAATTGACCGTAAGTATTTGGCACAGTATGGCTCTAGAGAAAGGTTTCTCAGCTTTGGAACTTTGAGACTTTGGGCCAGATAATTATCGTGGGGGCTCTGTTGTATATTGTAGGATATTTAGCAACATTCCTACCTCTACCCATTAGATACCCATAACACATCCTCTGCAGGTTGTAACGATCAGGAATGTCTGAAGAAATTGTCAGAATTGCCCTTGATTGAGACTACTACTTTAGTGAAAATATTTCACATGTATTTATTTATTTATTTATTTTTTGAGACAGAGTTTCGCTCTTGTTGCCCCGGCTGGAGTGCAATGATGTGATCTTGGCTCACCGCAACCTCCGCCTCGTGGGTTCAAGCAATTCTCTTGCCTCAGCCTCCCGAGTAGCTGGATTACAGGTGCGTGCCACCACACCCAGCTAATTTTGTATTTTTAGTAGAGACAGGCTTTCACCATGTTGGCCAGGCTGATCTGGAACTCGTGACCTCAAGCAATCCACCCGCTTTGGCCTCCCAAAGTGCTGGGATTACAGGCGTGAGCCACCATGCCCAGCCATAATTACCACATTGAGGAATTTGTACTTAATTCAGTGTAATGGGAAATACTTGCAGTTTTTTTTAGTAAGGAAAGAAAAATTCTTAAAAATATAGTGGTAGCTGGCCGGGTGTGGTGGCTCACACCTGTAATCCAGCACTTTGGGAGGCTGAAGCGGGTGGATCACAAGGTTAGGAGTTTGAGACCATCCTGGCTAATATGGTGAAACCCTGAATCTACTAAAAATAGAAAAATTAGTTGGGCACAGTGACACGCACCTGTAGTCCCAGCTACTGGGAGGCTGAGGCAGAGAATCGCTTGAACCCAGGAGGCAGAGGTTGCAGTGAGCGCAGATTGCACCACTGTGCTTCATCCTGGGTGACAGAGCAAGACTCCATATCATAAAAAGAAGACCTCTAAATGTACCAGTCTTTGCATTCTGACATATATTATGTTGTTTTGTTTGAAGTATGTGAAGAAAATCTAGCCTCATACAGATACATAGTTGGAAAAGAGAGGAGTATTTTAATGGCCTTTTCAGATAATTCTAACTGCTCTTTGACACTACAGTCAAACCTTTTTATTTGTTTGTTTTTTTGAGACGGAGTCGTGCTCTGTCGCCCAAGTCGGAGTGCAGTGGCGCTATCTCAGCGTACTCCAACCTCCGCCTCCCAGGTTCAAGCAATTCTCCTGCCTCAGCCTCCTGAGTTGCTGGGACTACAGGTGCACATCACCACGCTGGGCTAATTTTTTGTATTTTTAGTAGAGACGGGGTTTCGCCATGTTGGGTTTGAACTCCTGGCCTCAAGTGATCCGCCTGCCTTGGCCTCCCAAAGTGCTGGGATTTCAGACGTGAGCCACCGTGCCCGGCCTCAAACCTTTTTAAAGGTTCATTACAGTATGGAATCTGAAACTGTGTCATTGAACTTTTGTATTCTGTTGTATTAAAAACCATTGGTCTGTGTTGTACTTTGAATAGACCTTTACACTTCTGTGATTTTATAACATGATGCATGTTGATTTTGAAATTATTGATTTACTGAGTTATGCAGATCTTCTTTTTTTGTTGTTTTTTTGTTTGTTTGTTTCTTTGTTTTTGAGACAGAGTCTTGCTTTGTCACCCAGGCTGGAGTGTTGTGGCACAATCTTGGCTCACTGTAACCTCTGCATTCCGGGTTCAGGTGATTCTCATGCCTCAGCCTCCTGAGTAGCTGGGACTACAGGTGTGTACCACCACATCTGGCTAATTTTTGTATTTTTTGTAGAGACGGGGTTTCAACATGTTGACCATGGCTGGTCTGGAACTCCTGACATCAAGTGATCTTCCCGTCTCGGCCTCCTAAAGAGCTGGCATTACAGGCATGAGCCCCATAGGCCTGGCCCAGATATTCCAGATGTTGACAAATTTAATTATACAGTTGTTTCTGTTTCCACCCATCTCATCAGATAAGTCTTTTTAAGAATTGAGAAGCTTATGACCTGATAGTGGTGAATACATGTTTTTTTTTTTTTTTTTTTTTTTTTTTTTTTGAGATGGAGTTTCACTCTGTCACCTGGGCTGGAGTGCAGTGGCACGATCTCGGCTTATTGCAAGCTCCACTTCCCGGGTTCACGCCATTCTCCTGCCTCATCCTCCCGAGTAGCTGGGAATACAGGGGCGTGCCACCATGCCCGGCTAATTTTTTGTATTTTTAGTAGAGATGGGGTTTCACCGTGTTAGCCAGGAAGGTCTCGATCTCCTGACCTCGTGATCCGCTCACCTCCGCCTCCCAAAGTCCTGGGATTACAGGCATGAGCCGCTGCGCCCAGCCGAATGCATGTTTTTGTAGTTGTAATTTTTGTATCAAAATTTTTTTTTTTTTTTTTTTAGATGTAGTCTCACTCTGTCGCCTAGGCTGGAGTGCAGTGTCGTGATCTCGGCTCACTGTAACCTCGCCTCCTGGGTTCAAGCAATTCTCCTGCCTCAGCCTCCTGAGTAGCTGGGATTACAGGCAGGTGCCACCACACATGGCTAATTTTTGTATTTTTAGCAGAGACAGGGTTTCATCATGTTGGTCAGGCTGGTCTTCAACTCCTGACCTCGTGATCTGTCTGCCTCGGTCTCCCGAAATGCTGGGATTATAGGCATGAGCCACCATGCCCAGCCTTTCTTTTTTTTTTTTTTTTTTTTTTTTTGAGACGAGGTCTCGGTCTTTCCCCCAGGCTGGAGTACAATGGTGGGATCTCAACTCACTGCAACCTCCGCCTTCTGGGTTCCACTGATTCTCCTGTCTCCGCCTCCCAAGTAGCTGGGATTACAGGCGTCCACCACCATGCCTGGCTAATTTTTTGTATTTTTAGTAGAGATGAGGTTTCACCATGTTGGCCAGGCTGGTTTTGAACTGCTGACTTCAAGTGATCCACCTGCCTCGGCCTCCCAAACTGCTAGGATTACAGGTGTGAGCCACCATGCCCAGCCAGTACCAAATCTTAATAACCATAGTTTGTCAATCATTCTTTGAAATTAAAATGGTGGGCGGGGCGCAGTGGCTCACGCCTGTAATCCCAGCACTTTGGGAGGCTGAGGGGGGCGGATCACAAGGTCAGGAGATCGAGACCATCCTGGCTAACACGGTGAAAACCCGTCTCTACTAAAAATACAAAAAATTAGCTGGGCGTGGTGGCGGGCGCCTGTAATCCCAGTTACTCGGAAGGCTGACGCAGGAGAATGTCGTGAACCTGGGAGGCAGAGCTTGCAGTCAGCCGAGATTGCGTCACTTCACTCCAGCCTGGGCAACAGAGCCAGACTCTGTCTCAAAAAAAAAAAAAAATTAAAATGGTGTTCCATGAGAAAAACAACTACATTTAGCTTTCAAAAGTAATTACAGGTGGTTTGCCCCTTGATATCCTTTGTATTTCAGTAAGCAGAAGTTTTTGAGTATTTCCCAATACTGAATTAAAAAGAATTGTGCTGTAGTGTTGAGAAATAATACAACTAATAATTTTTGCTGCTTCATTAAGGACCCTTTTAAGTGAAAGTGGAATTTTTTATATTGTAAATGGGTGACAGTGAAGAATTCAGTGAGTGTTAGTTCAGCACCATTTGGGGTTGTTGCTTTGATTCATGCTGAGTTCCCAGCATTTTTGCACACCATTGATTTTGCACATCAGCACAGAGGTCAGAACAGTAAAGAAAAAGGGCAAAGTGTCTTAGTTTTATTGTGAAAATGGTTTTGATTTCATTGAACCCCTGGAAGAAGTGTTGGGGACTTTTAGGGGTCTTTGGGTCACACTTTGAGAACCACTAATCTAGAACAATATTTCACATTGGTTCATAGAGCCCTAAGCTGCTTCATAGGGCAGAGCTGGTGGGGTTCTACTGTACCTACTCCCTCTTCACTTCAGCCAGAGCAGCTTCTGCTTATGTCTGTTTTATATGTCGGGTTTCATGGCTAAAAAATATTTGAAAATCATTAGTCAAGGGGAAAAGAATTGAGCACCTGAATTAGGGCTGGTCTGTTCGTGAAGGGAACAGTTCATCCTCAGTAAATGTTACAGTCACTCATCACTTCACATCTTTAATTTTACTTCGTTTGACACAGAGCTTACTAGTATTTGCACACTCAACCTTCTTGATAGGTAAATGGGGCTGTGTGCCGTGGCTCACGCCTGTAATGCTAGCACTTTGGGAGGCTGAGGTGGGCGGATCACGAGGTCGGAAGATCGAGACCATCCTGGCCAACTTGGTGAAACCCCATGTCTACTAAAATACAAAAAATTAACCCGGTATAGTGGTGGGTGCCTGTAGTCCCATCTTCTCGAGAGGCTGAGGCAGGGAAATCGCTTGAACCCAGGAGGCAGAGGTTGCAGTGAGCTGAGATCATGCCACTGCACTGCACTCCAGCCTGGCAACAGAGCAAGACTGTCTCAAAAAAATAAATAAATAAAAAATAAGTAAATGGGCCTGGCACAGGGGCTCACCTATAATCCCTGCACTTTAGGAGGCCAAAGCAGGAAGATGGCTTGAGTCCAGGAGTTAGAGACCAGCCTGGGCAACATAGTGGCACATGCCTGTGGTCTCAGCTTTTTGGGAGGCTAAAGTGGGAGGATCAGTTGAACCCAGGAGGTCCAGGCTGCAGTGAGCCATGATCATGCCACTGCATTCCAGCCTGGGCAACAGAGTGAGACCTTGTCTCAAAACAAAAACCAAAAAAAAAAAAAAAAAAAAGAAATAGGTAAATGAATTTGTAAATTAAAAAGATGGATAGTTGGGAATAAAGACAGAGATGTGAGATAGATGGAAGAGGTTGAATGATCATAGTAATCTCAATATATTGTGTTTGTGCAGGGATGGGATTTGTTTTTGTTTGCAGTGGTGCTTTATGCTTGTGCTGAGTGATCAGTGGATGACACTTAAGCATTGAGAAATAAGAAATTATGGCATTCTAGCTAGCCATTGAACCAAAGTTTAGAGTGAGGGGACATTTATTATGCTTTTTAAATTATAAATACCTGTAAAATACCTGTTGAAAAATAAACAAAATGCTGCTTTTGAGGAGCTCTAGTTTGAGGCAGCTTTGTCCTCCTACCAGTCTTTTGGTGTAGGCTGTACAATCCCTATTGTTCAGATGTAGAAATTGAGGTCTGAGAGATTGAATATTATGACTTACAGTAGCAAGTGGCAGAGGAATTTTTTATTTTTTTAACTTTTTATTTTGAATTAACTTTAGATTTTAAGAGTCAATGATGGTAACTGACAGGTTTTTTTTTGGTTGTTTTTTTGAGATGGAGTTTCACTGTTGTTATCCAGGCTGGAGTGCAGTGGCACGATCTCGGCTCACTGCAATCTCTGCCTCCTGGGTTCAAGCGATTCTCCTGCCTCAGCCTCCCGAATAGCTGGGATGACAGGCATGCGTCACGACAACTGGCTAATTATGTATTTTTTAGTAGAGACGGGGTTTCTCCTTGCTTCTCAGGCTGGTCTTGAACTCCCGACCTCAGGTGATCCGCCCACTTTGGGCCTCCCAAAATGGTGCGATTACATGCGTGAGCCACCGTGCCCAGCCTTATACAGTGATTCTTAATAGTTAGGTATATATCCTTTCACTTTTAGAAATTTATTTATTTATTTATTTTTGGAGACAGAATTTCACTCTTGTCACCCAGGCTGTAGTGCAGTGGCGCAATCTGGGCTCACAGCAACCTCCACCTCCCAGGTTCAAGCAGTTCTCCTGCCTCAGCCTCCTGAGTAGCTGGGATTACAGGCATGTAGGCTAATTTTTGTATTAGTAGAGACAGGGGGTTTCACCATGTAGGCCAGGCTGGGCTCGAACTCCTGAGCTCAGGTGATCCACCAGCCTTGGCCTCCCAAAGTGTTGGGATTGCAGGTGTGAGCCACCGCGCCTAGCCGAGTGACAGTTTTAAATACAGATGTCTCACACCAAAGCTAATATACTCTTCACTCTAAAATGATTAGGGTTATGTTAAGGGGATGAAAAAAATGCTGCTCAGTGCTATTAGGAAGGAGCTTATGTAAGATGCTATGGACTATTTAAAATTAATTTACACCCAGTGAGCAAAGTCAAGACATTTTTTTTACCCAGAGCAGCAGACAGGTAAAACACTCAGGTGGCAGGTATAATAACAAATATATTGCATAACTAAAAGCAGCTGAGAGACACTAGTTTACGTAATCGGGGTTGGAAAGGAAGAGGGGAAGTAAAGTGTTTTATTTTTTTTGAGATGGACTCTGGCTCCGTCGCCAGGCTGGAGTGCAGTGGCCCGATCTCGGCTCACTGCAACCTCCGCCTCCTGGATTCAAGTGATTCTCCTGCCTCAGCCTCCCAAGTAGCTGGGACTAGAGGCACACACCACCATGCCCAGCTAATTTTTGTATTTTCAGTAGAGACGGGGTTTCACCATGTTGGCCAGGATGGTCTCGATCTCTTGACCTCGTGATCTGCCCGCCTCTGCTTCCCGGAGTGCTGGGATTACAGACATGAGCCACCGTGCCCGGCCTTTAAAGTGTTTTTATACTAATAAAGAGTTTAAGGGTGTGCGGCAGTCTTGTGAAAGCAGGTGAGGCTTGAGCAACAATTTTTAGGAAGAAAAGGAGATACGATTTTTAGAGAGGGTATGATGTTCTTTTTTTTTGTTTGAGACAGCGTCTTGCTCTGTTACCCAGGCTGGAATGATCTTGGCTCACTGCAACCTCTGCCTTCCGGGTTCGAGCGACTCTCCTGCCTCAGTCTCTCGAGTAGCTGGGATTACAGGCATGCGCCACCGCTTCTGGCTAATGTTTGTATTTTTATTAGAGACGGGGGTTTCACCCTATTGGCCAGTCTGGTCTCGAACTCCTGACCTTAGTTGATCTGCCCACCTTGGCCTTCCAAAGTGCCGGGATTACAGACCTTGAGCCACCGTGCCCGGCCTTAGAGAGGATATGATGTTCTAACCAAGGGAATGGCTTGATCAAAGATCTATCCTAGGGAGGATACTGTAAAACAGAAGGTTCCAGATAGTTTTGTTGGGATATGTTATTAGGTTACACTAGGCTAATGAATCTCTTCTTCCTGGAATTCCACCCAGCCTCGTTTCCCAGCCCTCTTTTCTTATCTAGGGCAAAAATTTTCATTCAGTTTAACTGTGTGTGATAATCCCTGGCTCTTCTAGTATTTTTGTGAAGGTTAGATGAGAGGATGTATGAAAAAATGCTTTGTAAAGTAGGAAGTACTATACAGTCCATTCATCTAACAAATATTTATTGTTTTTGCTGTTTGCTGGCTTTGATACAAAGGAGTTTAATGAAGTGGAAAGGAAAAAACTACTTCCCATTTACGTCTGGAGTTAGCAGCAAATTGGAAATGTCTTGGGAAGCTTGCATAGTCTTTCAGATAGTCTTAAAGTTGACAGTTGCCTGGAGTTGTAAACGTTTTGACCACATTTCAGGATATCCACTACTTTTCTGGGTAGAAAACTAAGTTTTGTCATTGTACCCAGAGTTCACAGAGATCACAAAAGTTAAGATATGTAAAACAGTATATCAGTGTATAGAACTTCAGTTTGGACAGTGTCAGAATATATGTCTGTCCATTGATTGGACTACTGGGTGTATTATAAGGCTACTTCTTGTATCTGAGAATCTGAATTATTAATTAGGAGATTTTTGAGCATAGAGGACAGAGTAAAATTAAGGATAAAGTTAAAGGTTTCTTTTCTATATAACACTATTTCATTTTTCTTTTTAAATATATCAAAAAGAAAAACCTGCAGTGGGTATAAATAAGTCCATTCATAAAGAAAAAAAGGAGAAAGGTTAATCTTTGTTGTAAATTTCATCTTTGCCATGGGTATACCTTATAAATTATCCTTACTCCATAAAAGAGATTATTTCTGATGACTAGAACTCCCATATTTGCCAGAGAAGTGTCTTTCCCTGATAGTGCTGGATCTGTAGTACCAATTGTTGGTTTTGTAGGTTCCCCATTTATAGTGAATGCAAGGTCATTTTCCTTTAATTGGCAATGTTCTTTCTCTAGGAGCTCTAGGCTCTAGACTCTAGAAGCATTGGCCGCTGGGGTCAACGATAGCTTTGTCTTGGGCAAATAGATTCTTGTGCCTTAATTTCTTCCTTGTAAAATAGAGATAAAAATACCTACATCGTTGGATTCTTGGGAGGTTTACATGAGATAATTCATAAGCAGCATTAGAACAGTGCCTGGGACATAGTAAAAACTCAAATGTTATCTTGTATTCTTGGTGGGGGTTTCAGCTTGGGCCAGTTTAACATATTTGAAAGGATAAAGGCTCAAGTGTGATATGCCTTTAAACTTTAATGGGTTTATTTCTGTCTCTAGGATTACTTTTTTTTTTTAATGGATTTTACTACATTTTTGGAGTAAAATCCAAATGGAATGGAAAATAGTTAATGCAAATATCTGTATTATCTAGATCTTTTGTTATTTGTTTGTTGAGACAGAGTCTCACTGTGTTGCCCAGACTGGAGTGCAGTGGCACGATCTCAACTAACTGCAACGTCTGCTTCCTGAGTTCAAGTGATTCTCCTGCCTTAGCCACCCGAGTAGCTGGAATCACAGGTGTGCACCACCGCTATCAGCTGATTTGTGTTTTTTTAGTAGAGGCGGGGTTTTGCCATGTTGGCCAAGCTGGTCTCAAACTCTTGGCCTCAAGTGATCTGCCCACCTTGGCCTCCCAAAGTGCTGGGATTACAGGCATGAGCCACCGCATCCAGCCTTGTTATTGTTAATAGAGGAAGTAAAGTGTTACATGTTCTTTCTCTGATTATGTCAGTAGTCACAAACTGAAAACCCACAGGAACCAGACAGTTGATGTAAATGAGTGATGGTGGGTATTGTGGCACTTTGGAGAGTGCATGCTCTCACAGAAGAGAGATAGATAGAGGGAATTGCTACTAAGCTTCAGCCTGTCATTGCCGTGAAGTGATTACAGTCATGGTTTGGTTAATTATCAGGTTCTTCATGAGAAGCCAAAAATCCGTTGGTTTTTTGGTTGTTTTTTTTTGTTTGTTTTTGCCATAACTGTATTTTTTTTTTTTATTCATTTATATTTTTTGAGACAGAGTCTCGCTGTGTTGCCCAGGCTGGAGTGCAGTGGCACGATCTCAGCTCACTGCAGGCTCCACCTCTGGGGTTCAAGCAATTCTCCTGTCTCAGCCTCCTGAGTAGCTGGGACGGCAGGCGCCTGCCACCACACCTGGCTAATTTTTGTATTTTTAGTAGAGACGGGGGTTTCACCATGTTGGCCAGGCTGGTCTCGAACTCCTGGTCTCAGGTGATCTGCCCGCCTCTGCCTCCCAAAGTGTTGGAATTACAGGTGTGAGCCACCGCGCCCGGCCAAGGGTGTGCTTTAGAGTAACTTGAACTTTTTCTGAATGCAAATGTCTGTACCCCAGCCCTAGACATTTTTGTTCAATATTTCTAGAATGGAGCCTGGGGGTTTGTATTTTTGTTTGTTTGCTTGCTTGCTGGAGTGCAGTGGCACCATTGTACCTTGCTGCAGGCCTGAACTCCTGGGCTAAAGTGATTCTCTAGCTTCAACCTCACTAGTAGCTGGAGCTTCGTACAGGTGTGCACCATGTTTTTTGTTTTTTTTTGTTTTTTTTTTGTTTTTAATAGAGACAGAGTCTTGCTGTGTTGTCCAAGCTTGTCTGGCTTTAAGCAGATCATCCTGCCTCAGCTTCCCAAAGCATTGGGATCTACAGATGTGAGCCAGTGTAACCAGCCAGAGTTTGTATTTTGAAAAGCTTGCCACCTAATTCTGATGTGGCCCTCTAGAACCACTGGTTTTAGTGAGCTTTGTTTAATCAAAGGAGTTACTCAGTTTTTGGATATTGAGATAAAGAACTTAAGTATTTGATTTTTTTTCCTAGGAAATTTCAGGAGAGAGAATATTTCTGTAAAGCATTTATTTAAGGGACAGCCTTATCTTTTTCAGTGTTGCACAAAATGTTTGGTTATTAGAATGACTGGAAGTGTTAGTGGGATACTAGAATTTGGGGAAGACCTCAAAATGCAATATTTAATTCTATTATATGAACACGGCCTGAGTTTCCTAGAAGAAAAGACTACTCTTTACATACATTGTGTGGCTATAATAGAAAAATCATCATCTCTGTCACAGAATCCAGATGAGCATGATTGACTGTTTTCAGAGTTTTTATGCTGAAAGTAGTTTACTTATTAATTTATTGTCTGCTAGCAGAAAAGAGGTAGCAGGCATCTAAATTTAAGGAAAATTTGTGGAGGGGGAAAGCTCTGAGTAAACTATGAAGCTATTTTTTATTTTTATTTTATTTATTTTTTTTTAATTGATCATTCTTGGGTGTTTCACTATGAAGCTATTCTTATTCAGACAGGGGGAACCAAACTTTTCTGTGTAGGCGTTCTTGGAACAGTTTGGTTCAGTTCCTTAAATGACCGGGTGCATAGTTTGGATACAGGAGTAAAATAATTTATGTGAGGTGAGCGTTTTTGTTTTTGTTTTTGTTTTTGAGACAGAGTTTCATTCTTGTCACCCATGCTGGAGTACAATGGTGCGATCTCAGCTCACTGCAACCTCTGCCTCCCAGGTTCAAGCAGTTCTCCTGCCTCAGCCTCCCAAATAGCTGAGATTACAGGCATGCACCACCACGCCTGGCTAATTTTTGTATTTTTAGTAGAGACAGGGTTTCACCATGTTGACCAGGCTGGTCTTGAACTCCTGAGCTCAGGTGATCCACCCGCCTTGGCCTCCCAAAGTGCTGGGATTACAGGCGTGAGCCACCGCGCCCAGCCAAGGTGAGCAGTTTTTTTTATTTGTTTTTGAGACATTGTCTCACCCTATCACCTTTGCTGGAGGGAAGTGGCATGATAATGGCTCACAGCAACCTCCACCTTCTGGGCTCAAGCGCTCCTCCCACCTCAGCCAACAGAGTAGCTGGGACTACAGTCCCGTGTCACCACACCAGTCCAACTTTGATTTTTTGTAGACAGGGTTTCACCATGTTGCCCAGGCTGGTCTCGAACTCCTGGGCTCAAGCAATCAGCCCGCTTCAGCCTCCCAAGCTGTCAGGATTAGAGGTGTGAGCCCACTGTGCCTGGCCAGAGGTGAGGGATTTTCATCAAAGGTTTTTCTGTAATCTTAGAAGTAGAAGATAGATAAGTAGGGGACCATAGAGAATAGTCTTAAAACGTAATCTCAAAGAGAATGTCAGGGCACCAGAATCTCTGGGATTTAGAGATAGAAGGCGGGGCATGCATAATTTGAAAAACATTTACTATTACCATGTTTTATATCCCTCGAAGGTAGGGGAGAAAGAAACTTTATAATGCAAACTATGGAAAATAAAGCCTTGGCCGGGTGCGGTGGTTTGCGCCTGTAATCCCAGCACTTTGGTGGTGTAATCTCAGCACCCAGGTGGGTGGATCACTCGATCAGGAGTTTTTTTAAGACCAGCCTGGCCAACATGGTGAAACCCTGTCTCTCCTAAAAATACAAATAATTAGACAGGCATGGTGACACACGCTTGTAATCCCAGGTACTTTGAGACTGAGGCAGGAGAATAACTTGAACCAAGGAGGAGGAGGTTGCAGTGAGCCACTGCACGTCCTTCTGTCTCAAAAAAAAAAAAAAAAAAAAAATGTTAGCTTTTTAGGTGGTTGGGTTAGCAGACTGTGTTTTAATTTTTGATGGATATGATTCATAACCTCCTATGAGGATCATATAAACATCTTGCCTTGTAGACCTGAAATATTTATTGATTAAAAAGGGGACTTAGGTTAAAAAAAAAAAAAGATTGAAAACATTGTTTTAAATGGATGGTTAATGTTGGGATCTGAAGTTTAACCTCACATTATGAAGTTTAACCTTACTGTTCAGCTCAGGAACATTGTAGATTATAAAGATCATTTTACAAGGTTTATTTTATCATACAGTTTGAGGATTTTGAATGAGAGTATATACTATAGTTCGAATAGGCCTAAGTTTGTGGAATGATAGATTTTCTAAAACAATTATATTCCATTTTGTGGTCTTTAAGAGAGTGATAATGTTTTCTTTTTCCCAGCTTTCTGAAACAAAGACTCATTTTGAAGATGTTTAACAAATCATTTGGAACACCCTTTGGGGGTGGCACAGGTGGCTTTGGCACAACTTCAACATTTGGACAGAGTAAGTTTTTAAAAAGGACAAAAGAGGGAGAAACCTTAATCTCCCTTACTAAGAACAAATCCACTCTGATAAGCTTTAGGTGGGAATTTTATTTTTACTTTCATATTTATAACAAAGTCGTCTTGAAAAAATAATTAGGATAAGATCTCTTTAACAGTTTTTAAGAAAGTAGAAATAAATTCTAAGTTTTCATGGCCTTCTTCTGATTGTCAGTAGAAGATACTTAAAATATTTATATTATTTTGGTTGACAGAAAGTTATAATTTGTTACTAATTTTCAGACCAGAAAATAATTCTCTTAATGTTGAAGTCTAAAATGCAGTTATGAAATAACTGCCCTGGAATTTACCCTGTGAACATGATGTGACATTCATGTCACAGAAATGTTAAAATGTGGAAGTGTCTAATTCCCATCAACCCTCCGGAGATCTACCTCCCTTCCTACCCAGTATCGTGTATGACTAATTGCCTGAAGCAATCCTTATTTACATTTAAACTTTTTGTTAAAAATTTTTGTGGAGGGGTTTTTTTTTTTTTTTTTTTTTTTTTAAAACCAGAAAGTCCACCCCCTCTGCAAAAAAAAAATTTTGTTTCCTGGTGAAAACCAGAAACCCTGCTAGACAAATTCTAAAAGAGCTGTGACACTTTGTTAAAAATGTTTATACTCATCCAAGTCTGGAAAGAATGGTATAATGAACTCTCATGTACTTATATCCCAACTTTAACAATCAGCATTTTCCCAGACTTGTTTTTATCTCTTTCTTTCCAGGAGGAGGAGAGCATCTTAACAGAATAAATTAAATCCCAGAAACTTTTCTCTAATTGATGAAAATTTTTTTTTTTTTTTTTTTTTTTTGAGATAGGATCCTGCACTGTCACCGAGGCTGGAGTGCATTGGCTCTATTATGGTTCACTACAGCCTCAACCTCCCAGACCCAAGCACTCCTCATACCTCAGCCTCCTAAGTAGCTAGGACCACAGTTGCACACCACCACGCCTGGCTCATTTTTCTCAGCTCGCTGTAACTTCTGCCTCCTGGGTTCAAGCAGTTCTCCTGCCTCAGCCCCCCGAGTAGCTGGGATGACAGGTGTATGGCACCATGCCCGGCTAATTTTTATATTTTTAATAGGGATGGGGTTTCACCATGTTGGCCAGGGTGGTCTCAAACTCCTGACCTCAAGCAATCTGCCCGCCTCGGCCTCCCAAAGTGCTGGGATTACAGGTGTGAGCCACTGCGCCTGGCCTCCTGGCTCATGTTTAAAATTTTTTGTAGAGGTGAGATCTTGCCGTGTTGCCCAGGCTAGTCTCCATCTCCAGAGCTCAAGCAGTTCTCCCACCTAAGCCTGCCAAAGCGAGGGGATTACAAGCATAAGCCACGGCACTGGGCTAAGGATTCTTTAAGAAGCATGACTAACAAACCTCTATCATACCTAATAAAATTAATAATAGAGGAAGTTTTTCTTTTTCTTTTTCTTTTTCTTTTTTTTTTTTTTTTTTTTTGAGATGGAGTCTCGCTCTGTCACCCAGGATGGAGTGCGGTGGTGCGATCTCAGCTCACGGCGACTTCCGCCTCCTGGGTTTAAGCAATTCTCCTGCCTCAGCCTCCCCGGTAGCTGGGACTACAGGCACCCTCCACCAGGCCCGGCTAATTTTTTTTTTTTTTTTTTTTATTTTAAGTGGAGACAGGGTTTCACCGTGTTAGCCAGGATGGTCTTGATCTCCTGACCTCATGATCTGCTTGCCTCGGCCTCCCAAAGTGCTGGGGTTACAGGCGTGAGCCTGTAACTTCCCCGCACCTGGCAGGGAAGTTTTCTTAAGTGGCTCCTGATCTCCTTTTTAAAGAATTCTACGTCCATGTCTGTGGTTTTTAACTAAAAGTGCCCATCACAGTCACCTTTGGAAGTTTTTATTCAAAATATGTATCTCTCATCAAAAACTATGGAATTAGAATCTCTGGAGTTGAAACCTGAACATGTATATTTTGAAAAAGCTTCCCAGGTTGTTCTGATGTGTTCCGCTAATGAAAGACCATTTATCTCAGTGACTACGGAGTGTCACTAATTTTTCTGAATTTTTAGTAGAGGCGGGATTTCACCATGTTGGTTAGGCTGGTCTTGAACTCCTGACCTCAAATGATTCGCCCACCTCGGCCTCCCAAAGTGCTGGGATTACAGGTGTGAGCCACCGTGCCCGGCCAGCACTTTTTTTTAACCTATGAACATCTGTAACTTTTATTGAAAAGTCACTCCTTTTGACTTTAAATTTTCATACTTCCCCTGGGGCGATGAATAAAATGTCTGTGGCTTGGTTTTTACTCTGTAATTCATACTCTGATGGGATTTTGAAAAAATGTTTTTAATTAGACTAGTAGTTCAAATGCAGAATTTTTTTTTTTTTTTTGAGACGGCGTTTCACACTTGTTGCCCCGGCTGGAGTGCAGTGGCACGATCTTGGCTCACCGAAACCTCTGCCTCCCAGATTCAAGCAGTTCTCCTGCCTCAGCCTCCCTAGTAGCTGGGATTATAGGCATGTGCCACCACGCCCTTCTAATTTTGTATTTTTAGTAGAAACGGGGTTTCTCCATGTTGGTCAGGCTGGTCTTGAACTCCCGACCTCAGGTGATCCGCCCGCCTCGGCCTCCCAAAGTGCTGGGATTACAGGCGTGAGCCACCATGCACAGCCTCAAATGCAGAATTTTAAGAAATATTAAAATGCCTTTTCATTTGGTCATCTTACGTAGATTTTATTCTAAATTCTAATTTACTCTGGATTTTGCTTTTTCAGATACTGGCTTTGGCACTACTAGTGGAGGGGCATTTGGAACATCTGCATTTGGTTCTAGCAACAATACTGGAGGCCTCTTTGGAAATTCACAGACTAAACCAGGTAGGGGCTTTATTTGTGATATAACTGGTTTGTTTGTAGCTAGTATAGGAATTGACTTAGTGGCTCTGATGTACTTAACTTTTTCCCTCCTTCTCCATCTCCTCAGGAGGATTGTTTGGAACCAGTTCATTTAGCCAGCCAGCTACCTCCACAAGCACTGGCTTTGGGTTTGGTACGTCAACAGGAACAGCAAATACCTTGTTTGGAACTGCAAGCACAGGGACCAGTCTCTTCTCATCCCAAAACAATGCCTTTGCACAAAATAAACCAACTGGCTTTGGCAGTAAGTGGGACATCACTGGAGTTCTGCATCTAATAATTTGGTTTGCTTATTGAATGTGTTGTCTTTTCTCCGTTTTTCTGTGTTCATCTACCTTCTTTTCCTACTAAATGGCAAAAACAAGGGAAGAGGAAAACTTCAATATGTACTGAAAAGGTTAATAGGCTGGAAAGGAAGAGAGTATGTACATTTCTATAAGGATAGAAATTTGAAGCACTGTTATTTAAGGGATATGCAGAGGAAGAGCTTCCTGATGCAAAATGGCTAGAGAAAGGATGAAAAGCCAGGTCAGAGTAGTGTAGTTCATGTTAAGATGGGAGAATTTCAAGGAGGAGTGTGTTACAGTCAGCCATATTGTGCTGCAGAGGCACCTTCTTCTTGTCTCTGTTTTATATTTGGTATGAAGAGACTAGAGCAGGAATGACATAATGGACGTGACATGGTTACTCCTCCATTCTTTGTCCATGGCAGATGTTTTTAGTTGATGACTTTTTTCACTTTAAGTCCAAACATGACTTGGGGATACTTCTCCACACAGCACTGTACTTTGAGCCAACCACTGCTAGTTCATCAGGTATGCTTTATCAAGTGATTCCATTCCTGGCACAAGAGTATGGAAGAATGAATAGCCAGCCATCAGTATTTTCTTTCTTTCTTTTTTTTTTTTTTTTTTTTTTGAGATGGAGTCTCGCTCTGTCACCCAGGCTGGAGTGTAGTGGCGCAATCTCGGCTCATTGCGAGCTGTGCCTCCTGGGTTCATGCCATTCTCCTGCCTCAGCCTCCCGAGTAGCTGGGACTACAGGCGCCTGCCACCATGCCCGGCTAATTTTTTTGTATTTTTTGTAGAGACGGGGTTTCACCATGTTAGCCAGGATGGTCTCGATCTCCTGACCTCGTGTTCCATCTGCCTCGGCCTCCCAAAGTGCTAGGATTACAGGTGTGAGCCACCGCGCCTGGCCTGCCATCAGTATTTTCCAGAGGGAAAGTTGTTTGTATAACATTGAAATATTTAGCCATAACAGTATATAATGCAGTCTGAAGTACTAATTCAAAAGAAATGTGCCTGTTTGCTTTAAACTATATATTAAGACATGTTTTAGAAAGAAGTAATAGCAGTTTGCCAGTGATAAATCATAGTACTCTTTAACCTGGTAATTAGGATGTTACTAATTCTAAATATTGGCATATAAATTTCTTTGCTTAGTGACATTTCTGGCACCATATGTATAACTTCTTTTTTTTTTTTTTTTTTTTTGAGACGGAGTCTTGATCTGTTACCCGGGCTGGAGTGCAGTGGCGCAATCTCTGCTCACTGCAACCTCCGCCTCCCCAGTTTAAGCGAGTCTCCTGCCTCAGCCTCCCGAGTAGTTGGGCCTACAGGCGCCCGCCATCACGCCTGGCTAATTTTTGTATTTTTAGTAGAGATGGGGTTTCACCATATTGGCCAGGCTGGTCTCGAACTCCTGACCTTGTGATCCACCCGCCTTGGCCTCCCAAAGTGCTGGGATTACAGGCGTGAGCCACCGCACCTGGCATAACTTCTTTAGAAGTAGTGTCTCTCATACTTTCAGCAATATATTCCTTAGCAACAATTAAATTCATTTATGTGTAATTTTTTTTTAAACTCAGCTTTTTGGAAAAGTAAAGTAATCCAAGGATTTGCTATTTCTTTATTAGTTTCTGTAAAGTAATTGACAGTGGCTGCTAATTTTTCTGAAATTTTGGGGGGTGAAATTTTACATTAACCTATATTTGATTTCTCTAATAGGACCACTTGTATATTCTAAAGTTTTTGGTTATGTGTAGGTATATGTTATAATGTATGTAAATAAAATGTACTGTGACCACTCTTGAAGTCTGTGACAAGATGTTTTCAGAAAGACAAGTTCATTCAGCATGTAGTTAAATGAGAAAGGGAGAAATGAGATAAAATTTATGATGAAACAAAGTATTTCTTTTAAGTTGTCTTCCAAGTGTGACCTTAGGGCTTTATGGACACTTAGCTGACCAAAGGATTCAGACTTTGTTTCACTTGAAAGTTGTGAGCCTGGAAGTACGTATCTTTCTGTATGAATTTCTATTTGGGCCGGGCACTGTGGCTCACACCTGTAATCCCAGCACTTTGGGAGGCATAGGTGGATGGATCATGAGGTCAAGAGATCGAGACCATCCTGGCTAACACAGTGAAACCCCATCTCTACTTAAAAAAAAAAAATACAAAAAATTAGCCGGGTTTGGTGGCGGGCACCTGTAGTCCCAGCTACTCAGGAGGCTGAGGCAGGAGAAATGGCGTCAACCTGGGAGGTGGAGGTTGCAGTGAGCTGAGATCACGCCACTGCACTCCAGCCTGGGCTACACAGCGAGACTCCGTCTCAAAAAAAAAAAAAAAGAAATTTCTATTTGAATATATTTGCTTGGGAGACTTGAAAGGTGAAAAATTTCAGGATATGAGATCAGGTGCAGTGGCTCACACCTGTAATCCCAACACTTTAGGATTTCGAGGTAGGAGGATTGCTTGAGCCCAGGAGTTTGAGACTAGCCCGAGCAACATGGCAAAAGGCAGTCTCTACAAAAATTAAAAAAAAAATTAGCTGGGTGTGGTGGCGCATGCCTGTGGTCCCAGCTACTTGGGAGGCTGAGGCAGGAGTATTGCTTGAGCCTGTGAGGTCAAGGCTGCAGTGAGCTGTGATTGCACCACTGCACTCCATCCTAGGAGACAGAGCAAGACCCTGTCTCAAAAAAAAAAAAAAAAAATGAAGTACTGTGATGCTAGTGCCATAGCCCAATTCCAATGCATCTTATACATTCTTAAATTTCTTACTGTTATCGTCTCATTTTTCTTTCTTATTTTTAGATTTTGGAACCAGTACTAGCAGTGGAGGACTCTTTGGAACCACAAATACCACCTCTAATCCTTTTGGCAGCACATCTGGCTCCCTCTTTGGGCCAAGTAGTTTTACAGCTGCTCCTACTGGGACTACTATTAAATTTAACGTATGTATTTTCTTCCAATCTTTGTGGAATGTTTTTTCCCGCATGTATATTTCTTTGCAGGATGAATTGTAAAATTGCTTCTCTTTCCAGCTTAGCTTGACACTGCCTGAACGATGTGTTAAAAACAAAATCTATAAATAGTTGTATAGTAGACAGGAACACTTGTGAAATGTAAATCTAGATTACGATGTATATTTGAATTAGGCTCATCCCAATAAAATTTGTATTCATAAAACTTTATTATAATCTGGTGTAAGGTAGAATTTGAATTTACTGTGTTAAGAATTTGCTTCTGAATGGTCAACTGTTCAATTTTCTTTTTTTTTTTTGTTATTTTGTTTTTTTAAGATGGAGTTTCGCTCTTGTTGCCCAGGCTGGAGTGTGGTGGTGCAATCTCAGCTCACTGCAACCTCTACCTCCTGGGTTCAAGTGATTCTCCTGCCTCCGCCTCCTGAGTAGCTGTGATTACAAGAGTCCACCACCATACCCAGCTAATTTTTTTGTAGTTTTTTGTAGTAGAGATGGCGTTTCACCATGGTGGCCAGGCTGGTCTCGAACTGCTGACCTCAGGTGATCTGCCCACCTCTGCCTCCCAAAGTGTTGGGATTACAGGCATGAGCCACCATGCCCGGCCTGGTCAACTAATCTTTATGGGAATAAAGAATAGGGGGCAAATAAGAGTAACTCATCAGCATTCTGTACCCACTGAAAAATACAGGTTTTGTTGATGAAATGGCTAAATGGGGCTGTAAAGTTTATTGTGTATGTGTTCTTTTTTTGAGAGGGATTGGGTGGAGGGCTAGAGTGGAGGATTTTGTTTACAGAAACATGTGGAATGCCACTTGATGTAAATGTTTGGGGGATTCTTAGGGTATGCTGGAGGTGCAGTTAGCCTAATGGAAATCTTTGGCAGAAATAAAACTTGTTAAAATATACTCCAGAAAATGAAGAATTTGTCAGGTAAATTGGTTAATTCATAGTACTAAATTTACAACCCCGAATTTGAAGTTAAAACATAAAATGATAGTGAAGAATACTGTGTGATGCCCTTTGGAAAGTGCAGTAGTTGAGAAAACTGGCAATACCAGCAGGAATCGTTAGTTTTACTTATTGTGCCTTTTTCCTTGTAATGTTATCGGGGAAAAACAGGTTTCCATATTTCTTTTTTTTTTTTGGAGACAGAGTCAGCCAGACGGGA
Source organism: Homo sapiens (assembly GCF_000001405.40). Lineage (NCBI taxonomy): Eukaryota > Metazoa > Chordata > Mammalia > Primates > Hominidae > Homo > Homo sapiens. Next base: position 3,774,683 of record NC_000011.10, on the reverse strand, counting down.
GCGCAGTGGTGCAATCTTGGCTCACTGCAACCTCTGCCTCCTGGTTCAAGCGATTCTGCTGCCTCAGCCTCCCAAGTAGCTGGGATTACAGGCACCCACCCAAGCTAATTTTTGTATTTTTAGTAGAGATGGGGTTTCACCATGTTGGCCAGGCTGGTCTTCAACTCCTGACCTCAAGTGATCCACCCGCCTCGGCCTCCCAAAGTGCTGGGACTGCAGGTGTGAGCCACTGCGCCTGGCCAGTTTCTGTTTTTTTGTTGTTGCTGTTTTTTGAGATGGAGTCTCACTCTGTCGCCCAGGCCAGAGTGCAGTGGCACGGTCTTGGCTCACTGCAACCTCCGCTTCTCGGATTCAAGCGATTCTCCTGCCTCAGCCTCCTGAGTAGCTGGGACTACAGGTGCACGCTACCACGCCTGGCTCATTTTTATTTTTTATTTTTTTATTTTTTAGTAGAGACGGGGTTTCACCATATTAGCCAGGCTGGTCTCGAACTCCTGACCTCATGATCCACCCGCCTCGGCCTCCCAGAGTGCTAGGATTACAGGCGTGAGCCACCGCTCCTGGCCCTCCGTATTTTTTTAATGCAGCATTACAGGGCGGAGTAGAAAGGAGAACTTAGATATAGAGGTTTAAAGGTATATATTGGGTAAAGCTTTCTTTATGCATAATATTACATGTATTTTACCATGTAATTGGATGGCTTGGGTTATGGGATTAATCCCTGCGTTTGTGATTACTTTGTTACTAAGATCGATTTATTCAGATAACCTTGATGTAGGGAGAGATCAGAAATGGCAGTATATTTAATCAAGCACCCTTGAAACCATCTCAGTATAAAAGACCTGGGGGGACTAGTTTTAGAGTTCAGTGGTTGAGAAATTGTATCTGAGAGAGTAGGAATGTAAAACTTGGACCTACAAATTTGCCTTTATTTAACTTTGCAGCCTCCAACTGGTACAGATACTATGGTCAAAGCTGGAGTTAGCACTAACATAAGTACCAAGCACCAGTGTATTACTGCTATGAAAGAATATGAAAGCAAGTCACTAGAGGTCAGTAAAATACAATACAGAATGTCAGTCTAACCTTTTGATTTTATTGGAATGCAGCTTTTAAAAATGGTTTTGATTTTCTTTAGGATAGAGTGGTTCAGTTTGGGTTTATGTAAAAAATTAACATTAACCAAATTATTTTTAAAAATCAAGTATTATTTATAGATATCTACTTGTTTAGGCAGGGATAATATTCAGGGGTATGTGAAGGTCTAGCACCCCTAATGGTCTTTTTTTTTTTTTGAGATGGGCTTTTTTGCCCAGGCTGGAATGCAGTGACACAATCACAGCTCACTGCAGTCTCAGCTTCCCAGGCTTCATGTCCTTAGCCTCCGAAGTAGGTGGGACCACTGGCATGTGCCCCACGCCCAGCTAATTTTTAAAAATTTTTTTGTAGAGGTGAGGTCTCACTATGTTGCTCAGGCCGGTCTCAGACTCCTGAGCTCAAGCGATTTTTCTTCCTCAGCCTCCCAATGTGCTGGGATAACAGGCATGAGCCACTGAGCCCAGTCTAATCATCTGTTCTGATTGGATGTTGCTTCTGTTACACTGGGCAATGTGTATGCATGCATATGAAGGTGTTTTTAGTAAAATTATGCAAAGTACAGCTTAATAAAAGTTGGTTTTTTTTTGTTTTTTTTGTTTGTTTGTTTTTGAGACAGCATCTCACTCCGTCACCCAGTCTGGTGTGCAGTGGCACATCTTGGCTCACTACAACCTCCACCTCCTAGGTTCAAGCAATTCTCGTGCCTCAGCCTCCCTAGTAGCTTGGATTACAGGTGTGGGCCACCACACACAGCTAATTTTTTTTTTTTTTTTGAGACGAGTCTTGCTCTGTTGCCTAGGCTGGAGTGCAGTGGCGTGATCTCAGCTCACTACAATCTCTGCCTCCTGGATTTAAGCAGTCTCCTGCCTCAGCCTCCTGAGTAGCTGGGATTGCAGCTGCACGCCACTATGCCCAGCTAATTTTTGTATTTTTAGTAGAGATGGGATTTTGCTACGTTGGCCGGGCTGTTCTTGAACCCTGGCCTTGTGATCCGTCCACCTCAGCCTCCCAAAGTGCTGGGATTACAGGCATGAGCTGCAGCACCCAGGCACATTATGTACTTTTTAATGGCTGTCTTTGAACATTGAGATAGTCATCCATGTTGTTGCATGAAGTTAGTTTGTTCATTCTTATTGCTTATGTAGTAGGTTGTTGTACATTTTGATAGTCATTCATGATTATAGTGATTGCTTCTTTCTACATACCAAACTATGCTTACTTTATTGGGCTGTGCCAGGAACATCCGGACTTGAGACAAAATTGATAAACTTTATTTTCTAAATTTTTTGCCCCACAGAATCTACATATGTTAATTCACTATAATTTTTATTTTTATTTTATTTTTATATTTTAGGGCTGGGGAGAGTTAGGATTATTTTATGACATTTTACCAAAAGAGTGTATTGTTTGTGAAAGAAAACTGAGATTAAGATATTGACTCTTTGGCTTGTAGTTTTATGATAATTATGGTATGGATTTTAGTGTCTATTGGAAATGTTTTTCTGTAATGATATAATGTCATTCCTTAGTTTTCTCTTTTTTAGTTATGGTTCCTATGTGAACATAGAACTTGAATACTAAATTCAAGTATTTAGCCTCCTAAATAATTATTTTTAGCTGCATGTTAAGATTAGAAATATGTTTTCCCTCCCTTCAGGAACTTCGTTTAGAGGATTATCAGGCTAACAGGAAGGGCCCACAGAACCAGGTGGGAGCAGGTACCACAACTGGCTTGTTTGGGTCTTCTCCAGCCACTTCCAGCGCAACAGGACTCTTCAGCTCCTCCACCACTAATTCAGGCTTTGCATATGGTCAGAACAAAACTGCCTTTGGAACTAGTAAGCACTTGATATCATGTTAGATTATACTGAGGAGAGACAGATAACTAAAACTAAAACATAATTGCCATTTTGGGATAAGTGCTATGGAGAAAAATAATAATTCAGGGATACCATAGGAATAGGGAGGAATGCCTGGATGTATGTGGGGAAAGGGAGAAAGACAGTTTAAGATGAAGACGACTAAGGAATGCTTCAGAGGAGAAGGTGATGTTTGAGCAGTGACGTATCTGAAGAAGATGAAGGAGCAAGTTGTACAGATTTCTGGGGGAAGAACATTCCAGCTAGTGGAAACTGAGTCTAAAAACTCTGAGTTTTTGCCATTTGAAGAGAGGGCAAGGGAAAATACTGGGGGATATAGGGGCCATATTTTATACGACTTTGTAGGCCAATATCAAGACTTGAATTTTTATTTGATTTAGGAAATCCTGAAAGTTGTTTTGAAAGAGAAGTCATGTGATTGTGAGTGAAGGATGATTCTGAAGTCTCCTATATTGACAGTAGATTGTAAGAGTAGAAACAAATTACTTAGAAAGCTATTATCAACATAAGAGGTGTTAGTGTCTTGGACAAGGATGGAAAAGAGGCCAAGTGTGGTGGCTCACGCCTGCAGTCCTAGCACTTTGGGAGGCCAAGGCAGGTGGGTTGCTTGAGGTCAGGAGTTCAAGACTAGCCTGGCCAACATGGTAAAACCCTGCCTCTACTAAAAATATGAAAATTAGCCAGGCGTGGTGACAAGCACCTGTAATCCCAACTACTTGGGAGGCTGAGGCAGGAGAATCGCTTGAACCTGGGAGGCAGAGGTTGCAGTGATCTGAGATCACACCATTGCACTCCAGCCTGGGTGACAGCAAGACTCCATCTCTAAATAAAAAGGACGGAAAAGAAAAAAGATGAGGTTCTGGACCCAGTTTGATTATAGAACTGATGGAATTTGCCGATGCATTGGTTTAATGTGGGATGTGAAAGAGGAGTTAAAGATGATGATTACTTGACAAAAATACTACTTTTGCAAAAGTAATGCACATATGTGATACAAAGTTCACAAAATACAGAAAACTAAATAACCAGAGGTTATATACTTGCCTTATACACTTTCCCCAGCCACCAGTTTGCCTCTGTAGAGAAAAGCAAAAATTATAGCTTTTCATAGCCTTCTAAAGAGATGTACATACACACACACACACACACACACACACAAATACGTATTTATCTAAGTTATATTTAACCTACTTTTTCTTTTCTTTTCTTTTCTTTTCTTGAGACAGGGTTTTAGGGTCTTACTCCCGTCACTCATGCTGGAGTGCAGTGATGTGATCAGGGCTCACTACAGCCCTGATTTCCTGGGCTCAGGTGATTCTCCTACCTCAGCCACCCTACAGGCATGTGCCACCACACCCGACTAATTTTATTTTATTTTTTTGAGACGGAGTCTCACTGTTGCCCAAGCTGGAGTGCAGTGCAACCTCCAATTCCCAGGTTCAAGCGATTCTTCTGCCTCAGCCTCCCAAGGAGTTGGGATTACAGGCACCCGCCACCATGCCTGGCCAATTTTTTATATTTTTAATAGAGTTGGGGTTTCACCATGTTGGCCAGGCTGGTCTCGAACCCCTGACCTCAGGCGATTAACCAGCCTCGGCCTCCCAAAGCGCTGGGATTATAGGCGTGAGCCATGGTGCCAGCCCTAATTGTTTTTTTTTTTTTTGAGATGGAGTTTCGCTCTGTCACCCAGGCTGGAGTGCAGTGGTGTGATCTCGGCTCACTGCATCCTCCACCTCCTGGGTTCAAGCGATTCTCTGCCTCAGCATCTGAAGTAGCTGGGATTACAGATGCCCACCACCATGCCTGGCTGATTTTTTTGTATTTTTAGTACAGATGGGGTTTTACCGTCTTGGCCAGGCTGATCTGAACTCCAGACCTTATGATCCACCCGCCTCGGCCTCTCAAAGTGCTGGGATTACAGGCATGAGCCACCATGGCTGGCCGTCCAGCCCTAATTTTTAGCAGGGACGGGGTTTCACCATATTGGCCATGCTGGTCTCGAACTCCTGATCTCAGGTGATCACCCGTCTCAGCCTCCCAGTGTGAACCACCATGTCCAGCCTAACGTACTTTTCAATCTTGATATTCCATGATTTAGTTTAGTATGCTTTTTTTTTTTTTTTTTTTTTTGAGACAGAATCCCACTTTGTTGACCAGGCTGGAGTGCAGTGGAGCAATCATAGCTCACTGCAGCCTTGAACTCTTGGGCCCAAGTAATATTCCCACCATTCTGCCTGGCTAATGTTTCATAATTTTTTCTGTTTTTTTGGTGGGGGTTGGAGGACACTGTCTAGCTCTGTCACCCAGGCTGTCGTGCAGTGGCTCCATCACAGCTCCCCGCTGCCTCAAACTCCCAGGCTCAAGCCATATACCCACCTCGGTCTCCCAAGTAGCTAAGACCACAGGCAAGTGCCATTAGCCTGACTAATTTTTAAAATTTTTTTGTAGAGATGGGGTCCCATTGTGTTGCCTAGGCTGTTCAGGAACTCCTGTCCTCAAGTGATCCTCCTGCCTTGGCCTCCCAAAATGTTGTTATTACAGGTGTGAGCCACTGTGCCTGGCCCATATTCATTATTGAATATTACATATCAGACTCTGGGCTGGATATATTCATGTAAAGAAGAAGCCTTTGTTCTCATTAACCTAGACTAGCAAGGTTAAAATACACATGCTGACTTCTAGTGTATTATCTTGTAAAACAGAAGGAAGCTGTGGACTTACAAGGGAAGATCATTTAGCCTAGTTAAGCTTCTTGGGGTAAGGATGTTATTACAGAAGTTAAAGTTTAAATCTAGAGTTAAGTGAAGGATGGAAAACGAAAAGATGATCAAGTAGTGAATGAAGGGTAGTAGATAACATAAAGACTATTACAACAACTGGATAATGGAAGGTTTTGTATTTTTGGGTGTTTACATTTTTTTTATTATTTCTTTTTTCTTTTTTTTTTCTTTTTCCTAAAAGGTACAACTGGATTTGGAACAAATCCAGGTGGTCTCTTTGGCCAACAGAATCAGCAGACTACCAGCCTCTTCAGCAAACCATTTGGCCAGGCTACAACCACCCAGAACACTGGCTTTTCCTTTGGTAATACCAGCACCATAGGACAGCCAAGCACCAACACCATGGTAAGGAAACAGACCCTTACTTACCTCCATGTCTTATTTTTAGAGTTAAGTAATGAGGATTCTAATCATGTCAAACTAGCAAATTCTACCTGTACTGCAAATCTTAAGAGTTGAGGGTATTTAATGAAGGGAAGAGAACAAAGTTTTTTTTTTTTTTTTTGAGATGGAGTCTCGCTCTGTCACCCAGGCTGTAGTGCAGTGGCCCAGTCTCAGCTCACTGCAAGCTCCGCCTCCCAGGTTCATGCCATTCTCCTGCCTCAGCCTCCCGAGTAGCTGGGACTACAGGTGTCCACCACCATGTCCAGCTAATTTTTTGTGTTTTTAGTACAGATGGGGTTTCACCGTGTTTGCCAGGATGGTCTCGATCTCCTGACCTCGTGATCCGCCCACCTCGGCCTCCCAAAGTGCTGGGATTATAGGCATGAGCCACCGTGCCCGGCCAAGAACAAAGTCTTAGAATAATTAAGACCTAGATTCTAGCCTGGGCTCTACTCTTTACTTGTTGAGATGCTATTGAGGCGATCACTTATCCTTTCTGAAAGTATTTTTCTCATTACTAAGTAGGAACTACTTAGTGGGCTGGACTTGGCCCTCTTAAAGCTATACCTTGGAAAATTGACTACAGCCATTCTATAGGGTATAGGAGAAAATACTTATTCATTACTGACTATATTTCAGAATATAGCCAACAACAGGAACTAAGGGAACGTTCACCTAGTTCCCTTGGGAATCATACAAAGAAGTTTTTTTGTTTTTTTTTTTTAAAGGGAGACCTACGACTTAGAGCCATACTGTGTCCAAAGAAAAGGTCCTCATGGTCATTACTAGTTTATTTCTAGGGACATTTTTTAGGGAAGTATGAAATTAAAGAAGGAAGTGATGTATGAGTAATTGATCAGGACTTGGAATTTACCTCGTCTTAAAATTAGAGATACTTTTACTGATTAAAAAACAAGTATGGGCTGGGCACAGTAGCTTATGCCTGTAATCCCAGCACTTTGGGAGGCCAAGGTGTGAGATCAGGAGTTTGAGACTAGCCTGGCCAACATGGTGAAACCCCGTCTCTGCTAAAAATACAAAACTTAGCCAGGCACAGTGGTTGGTGCCTGTAATCCTGACTACTTGGGAGGCTGAGGCACAAGAATAGCCTTGAACCCAGGGGGAGGCAGAGGTTGCAGTGAGCTGAGATTGCTCCATGGCACTCCAACCTGGGCGACGAAGAGAGACTTCATCCCAAAAAAAATAAAAAAAAAAGTATGCTTGTACCGCCATGTCTTCAAAATACTAGATGACTGATTTCAGTAACATATGAAAAGGATCAGCCGGGCATGCTGGCTCCTGCCTGTAATCCCAGCACTTTGGGAGGCTGAGGTGGGCGGATCATGAGGTCAGGAGTTCGAGACCAGCCTGGCAAACATGGTGAAACCCCGTCTCTACCAAAAATACAAAAATTAGCTGGGCTGGGTGGCGGGTGACTAATCCAAGCTACGCAGGAGGCTGAGGCAGGAGAATTGCTTAAACCCAGGAGGCAGAAGTTGCGGTGAGCCGAGATTTTGCCACTGCACTCCAGCCTAGGTGACAGAGCGGGACTCTGTCTCAAAACAAACAAACAAACAAAAAAGGATCATAATCCATGACTAAGTGGGATTTATCCGAGGAAGGTTGGTTCAACATATGATCATTAATCATTGTAATACACTGTGGTAATATAATTTAAACAACAGAAAACCACATGATCACCTTTGTAAATACAGAAAAAACATTTGACACTTTTTCATGATAAAAACACTGAAGAAAGAATAAGAAGGAACCCGGAATAGCCAAAACAATCTTGAAAAACAACAAGTTGGAGGACCCTCAGGCTTCTCTCTTTTTTTTTTTTTTTTTTTTTGAGACGGAGTTTCACTGTTGTCGCCCAGGCTGGAGTGTAATGGCACGATCTCAGCTCACTGCAGCCTCTGCCTCCTGGGTTCAAGGGATTCTCCGGCGTTAGCCTCCCACATAGCTGGGATTGCAGGCATGCACCACCATACCCAGCTAATTTTGTATTTTTAGTAGAGCCGGGGTTTCACTATGTTGGTCAGGCTGGTCTCAAACTCCTGACCTCAGGTGATCCACCCACCTCTGCCTCACAAAGTGCTGGGTTTACAGGCATGAGCCACTGCGCCTGGCCTTCATGTTTCTCAATTTTATTTTATTAATTTTTTTGAGACAGGCCTCGCTGCAGTCACCCAGGCTGGAGTGCAGTGGCATGATCTCAGTTCACTGCGTCCTCCGCCTCCTGGGCTAAGCGATCCTCTCACCTCACCTCCCAAGTAGCTGGGACTACAGGCGTGCACCACCATGTCCAGCTAATTTTTGTAGTTTTTGTAGAGATGGGTTTTCATCGAGTTATCCAGGCTGGTCTCGAGCTTCTGGGCTCGAACAATCTGCTCTCCTTGGACTCCCAAAGTGCTGAGATTACAGGTGTGAGCAGCTGTACCTGGCTTTACTTCTCAATTTTAAAACTTACTATAAAGCAATAGTAATTGTGTTACTGGCACAAGGAGAGACATAGACCAATTGAATAGAAGTGAGAGTCCAGAAATAAACCCTCACATTTGTAGACAATTGATTTTCAACAAGGATACCAAAACAATTCAGTGAGGAAAGAATAGTCTTTTCAACATATGGTGCTGGGACAACTGGTTATTCACATGCAAAATAATGAGGTTGGATTCTTCACAGCATTTTTTAACTGCAAAAGTTAAAATTGATCAATTTTTTTTTTTTTTTTTTTGAGACAGAGTCTTGTTCTAATTGCCCAGGCTGGAGTGCAGTGGCACGATCTTGGCTCACTGCAACCTCTGCCTCCTGGGTTCAAGCGATTCTCCTGCCTTGGTCTCCTGAGTAACTGGGATTACAGGTGTGCGCCACCGTGCCCGGCTAATTTTTTTATATTTTAGTGGAGACAGGGTTTCACCATGTTAGGCAGGCTGATCTTGAACACCTGACCTCAAATGATCCGACTGCCTCAGCCTCTCAAAGTGCTGGGATTACAGGTGTGAGCCACTATGCCTGGCCACAAATTGATCAGATTTCTAAGTGCAAGACCTAAAATTATAAAACTGTTAGAAGAAACCTAGTTAGACAGTAATATCTTAGATAGGACACCAAAAGCAAAAGCAGAAAAGAAAAAATAGATAAGTTGGGCTTTTTCAAAATTAAAACCTTTTAGCCAGGCCTTTTAGTACATGCTTGTCATCCCAGCTACTCAGGAGGCTGAGGTCGGGGAATCATTGAGGTCATGAGTTAGAAGCTGTGGTGCACTATGATCGTGGCTATGAATAGGCCACTGCACTCTAGCCTGAGCGACATAATGAGACCCTATCTCTAAACAAACAAAGATGGCAGAAAAACATTTATATATCAAAGGGATATCATCAAAGTGAAAAGACCTGTAAGTGGAAGAAAATACTTGAAAATCATACATGTGATATAGGACTTGTATCCAGGATGTATAAATAACTCTTATAATTCAGTAGTAAGACAATAACTCATTTAAAAAGGGCCAAGGATTTGAATTGACATTTCTCCAGAGAAGATATGTAAGTGGTGTGATAATATGCTTAACATCATAAGTCATCAGGGAAAGGCAAATGAAAACCAAAATGAGATAACCACTTTATACCTATTTGAAAGATACAATAAAAAAAGACTAACAGGCTGGGCGCGGTGGCTCACGCCTTTAATCCCAGCACTTTGGGAAGCCGAGGCAGGCAGATCACGAGGTCAGGAGTTCGAGATTAGCCTGGACAACATGGTGAAACCCCGTCTCTACTAAAAATACAAAAAATTAGCCGGGCATGGTGGTGCCCACCTGTAGTTCCAGCTACTCAGGGGGCTGAGGCAGGAGAATCTCTTGAACCCGGGAGGCGGAGGTTGTGGTGAGCCGAGATTGTGCTACTGCACTCCAGCCTGGGTGACAGTGTGAGACTCAACAAAAACAACAAAAAAATACAGTAGTAAGTATTGAACCTGGAGAAGTTGGAACCCTCATACATTGCTGGTACAGCCCCTTTAGAAAACAGTTTGGTGGTTCCTCAAAATGTTAAACAGAGTTACGATATGACCCAGCAATTGCACATCTTGGGATTTACCGAAGAAAAATAAGACATAGACTTGTACACAAGTGAACATAACAGCATTATTCATAATGACTAAAATGTAGAAATAACCTAAAGATCTATTAACAATGAATGGGTAACCAATTGTGGTATATGCATACAATGGAATATTGTTCAACCATAAATTGGAATGAAGTACTAATATATGCTACAACACAGATGAACCTTGAAAATGTGCTAACTGAAAGAAGCCCGTCACCAAAGACCACATTTTTTATGACTCCATTCACATTAAATGTTCAGAATAAAAAAAAAATCCATAGAAAAAGATGAATGGTTCCCTAGGGATGGGGAGTAATCACTGATGGGTCTGGGATTTCTTTGGGGGGTGTAAGAATTTAGATAGTAGGGATGGTTGCAGAACATCACGGAATAGTCCACTGTAAATGAGTGAATTTTATGATGTTTGAATTGTGTCTCAATAAAACTTTAAAAAGTGAATTCCCTATTCAGCAAGTCTATTAGCACAATATTTTTCCTTTATTAATGCATAAGTAAAATACATTGTTAAACATAGGATGATGCAGACTGCTCATTGGAAATGAGTATAGTTTCTCATTTAGAATTAAGGCTTTTGGCTGGGTGCAGTGGCTCACGCCAGCATTTTGGGAGGCTGAGGCAGGTGGATCCCCTGAGGTCAGGAGTTCGTGACCAGCCTGGGCACATTGTGAAACCCCATCTCTACTAAAAATGCAAAAATTAGCCAGGCCTGGTGGCGTGCCCTTGTAGTCCCAGCTACTTGGGAGGCTGAGGCGAGAGAATCACTTGAACAGAGGCTGCAGTGAGCCGAGATTGTGCCACTGTACTTCAGCCTGGGCAACAGAACGAAACTCCGTATCAAAAAAAGGAATTAAGGCTCTTTAACATAACACTCGTACCTCGGTCCGTGTTGATTTATTTTCGCTGATTATTTTTGGTTACTTGATTCTAAGTTCACTCCCCAGCTTGATACTGATTAGTTCTTTTCACCTAAATCGTTGAAAATGAAGGACCTAGACATACTATTTTGCTTCTCAGTGTTGCAACCCTGACATCTCTTAGAGCACAAGAGTTAAAGTCTTATTATTTAATAGACGCCTAAGACCTTGGAGTTCATCATCCTGGGAAGAACAGGGGCTTAAATATAGGTTTGAACTTCTGTTCCTACCATTCAGGAGCTGTGGCACCTTGGGCAAGTTTTAAAATGCTCTGAGCTTTTTGAAAAATATACTCCCTGCTTTTCAGGGTTGTTTTGAAGGAAATAATCTATATAAGTTATTTAGCCTAATATCTGTCATATAAGCTTGAAAAAATGGTAACTTTTTTTTTATTACTCTGAGATTCGTTACGGAAACTATTACAGGATATCTTTTAATCTATATAAACTTCTTTGCAGGGATTATTTGGAGTAACCCAAGCCTCACAGCCTGGAGGTCTTTTTGGGACAGCTACAAACACCAGCACTGGGACAGCATTTGGAACAGGAACAGGTCTCTTTGGGCAGACCAATACTGGATTTGGTGCTGTTGGTTCGGTAGGTTTCTGCAGTTGACTGTAATTTGAAGATGTGTGTAAATTTGTTAAAAGGAATTTTCTTCTAAGGATTTGACTGTTTTGCAGGTATTTTTATTGGGTGTATTATTGCACCAGCCTAATATGATTTGATTCTGAGAACAAAAAATTATTTGATATAAAATGAAATTTCAGGTTAACTTCAGGTTTGTTTTCAATTAGTAAATTCTTTCCCTTTTAAAATTTCTTTGCCTCAGTGCTTATGTGCATCATACTTCTGATAGCATTGGTTAAATTGTTGAGTCTAAATTGAAATTCTTTTGCTTTATTTGAATCAGATAATTTTTAACTCCTAGTTCTTCCCTCTTTTGTAGGTGATAAATTGGTATGATGTTTGGGAATGAAATGTTTTTGGGGTTGATCAAATTGTTGAAATTGTTGAGGTACTCATGGAAGAAACTTTGAACTTGCTATTGTGAGTAGGTTAAAAAAATTAAAAAAGAGCCAGGCGCGGTGGCTCACGCCTGTAATCCCAGCACTCTGGGAGGCCGAGGTGGGTGGATCACCTGAGGTCAGGAATTCGAGACCAATCTGGCCAACATGGTGAAACCCCGTCTCTCCTAAAAATACAAAAAAAAAAAAAACCACTAGCTGGGTGTGGTGGTGGGTGCCTGTAATACCAGCTACTTGAGATGCTGAGGCAAGAGAATCACTTGAACCCAGGAAGTGGAGGTTGCAGTGACCCGAGATCGCGCTATTGCACTCTAGCCTGGGCAACAAGAGCAAAACTCTGTCTTAAAAAATAAAAAAGGAACACAAAGTCCCTAAAACATATGGTCCTGTTTTCATGGAGATTGAAATTTCTCTTTTCTTTTTTTAAACTTTGGACAGATAATTGAGGTAAGAAATTGAGAAAATTATATAATGCTTCAAGACATTCTAGTACTTCTGTTGTTGTTGTTGTTGTTGTTGTTGTTTTTGAAACCGAGTCTCGTTCTGTTGTCCAGGCTGTACTGCAGTGGCATGATCTCGGCTCACTGCAACCTCTCCCTCCCAGGCTCAAGCGATTCTCGTGCCTCAGCCTCCCAAGTAGCTGGGATTACAGGCGTGTGACACCATGCCAGGCTTTTGTTTTGTTTTTTGTTTTGTTTTGTTTTGTTTTTTTGAGACGGAGTCTCGCCTGTTGCCCAGGCTGGAGTACAGTGGCGTGCGATCTCGGCTCACTGCAACCTCTGCCTCCCGGGTTCAAGCAGTTCTCTGCCTCAGCCTCCCGAGTAGCTGGGATTACAGGCGCCCGCCACTGCGCCCAGCTGATTTTTGTATTTTTAGTAGAGAATGGGGTTTCACCATGGTGGCCAGGCTGGTCTCGAACTCCTGACCTCGTGATCCACCTGCCTTGGACTCCGAAAGTGCTGGGATTACAGACGTGAGCCACCACTCCTGGCCTTAATTTTTGTATTTTTTAGTAGAGGTGGGATTTTGCCACGTTGGCTAGGCTGGTAACTCCTGGCCTCAAGGATCCTTCCGCCTTGGCCTTTCAGAATGCTGGGATTACAGGCGTGAGCTACTGTGCCCGGCTTCTAGTACTTTCTAGTGACAGATTTATTGATGTATAGTCCACATGCCATACAATTTGTCTCTTTAAAGTGTATAGCTAGGTGATTTTTAGTATATCAACAAAGTGTGCAACTATCACCATATTTAATTTTAGAACATACTCATTATGCCAAAAAGAAATGCCATAGTCATTGGCAGTCACTCCTGATTTTCCTGTAATCATCTTAAGCCTACTTTCTCTCTATGGATTTGACCATTTTGAACACTTCATGTAAATGGAATCATAATATGTGGTCTTTTGTGATTGATGTCTTTCACTTAGCATAGCATTTTCAAGGAACATCCATGTAGCATGTTCAAAGTTTTTCTTGTAGTGATTTCTTCTGGCAAAGCAAGTATTTGCTACATTTCTCTTAACAGGTAAAAAGATATTTGATGGCCTTGTTATTTTTTTCTTTGCCTCACTGAAATCTGGTTTCATTGGATTCATTGTGTTTCAGTCGTAATCCTTAGGGGTTACCATTAACTTTTCAGGCCAGAAGCATTCCGTGTTTATAAAGTTAATCTTGCCCAGATTATTTTTTGATAGCCTTTATTCATCTTTTTTCTACCTTTTTTATGAATGTTAGGACATCTTTCTCCCACCCCATACCCAACCCAGTATACCTGAGGTAACCTGTATTTAGTTTGGTGTGTGTCTTAATATTATTTTAAATTTTCCTGTATTCTATTCTTTTTAGACCCTGTTTGGCAATAACAAGCTTACTACATTTGGAAGCAGCACAACCAGTGCACCTTCATTTGGTACAACCAGTGGCGGGCTCTTTGGTAACAAACCAACCCTGACTTTAGGAACCAATACAAACACTTCTAATTTTGGTACATATAAAAAGCAGGTTTGGCTCTCTTAAAGTTACACTGACTATACCACACGTTATTCTCCTGATTCGTATGATTGGAAATATTTAAAAGTTCTCAGGTAAGCGGTAGCTTGATGTGAAGTACCAGAGGGAAAGGTTTAAAGTCCTGGATATGGCTTGAGATAATTAGTAGGCATGTAAATTGCCTTTCATTTACTTTGGATTACTTCAGCAATAGCTGAGAAACCATAAAGGAAACACATTTGGTTAAGTAACACATTGTATGAGGCCAGGTTTCAAACCTGTGGTAGCATACAGAAGATAATTGGTTATTCTTATTTTTGTCGTTGTTGGTTTGTTGTGTTGTTTTGTTTTTGTTTTTTTTTTTTTTTTTGGTGGAGAACAGGGTCTTTATATCGCCTTAGCCTCCCAAAGTGCTGAGATTACAGGTGTGAGCCATTGCACCTGGCCTGGTTATTCTTAGTGAAAGTCAAAATATGCCAGGCATCATGGTGAGCACCTGTAGTCCCAGCCATTATGGAGGCTGAGTCAGGAGTATCACTTAGGAGTTCAAGGCTGCAGTGTGCTATGATCACACTTGTGAATTGCCACTGCATTCCAGCCTAGGCAACATAGTGAAAGTAGGTCTCTAAAAAAAATAATAAAATAAGAAAAATAATAGAAGAAAGTTGAAACCTTTCTGATTTGGGGGATTATTCAGTAGTTTATTTTTTACGGTTTCAAAAATTTTGAATGCATGTTCATAGTATGTATATTCATTGTTGAAAATCTGGAAAATACAGAAAAGATTGAACAATAATTTTCAAAACCTTAACCTACTGGGAAAAATGTAAACCAGTTTTATGGAACATGATGATATTATTTTATTTATTTATTTATTTATTTTTGAGGTGTAGTCTCTGTCACCCAGGCTGGAGTGCAGTGGCATGATCTCGATCTTGGCTCACTGCAAACTCTGCCTCCCGGGTTCAAGCGATTCTCCTGCCTCAGCCTCCCGAGTCGCTGGGAATACAGGCACGCACCACTGTGCCTGGCTAATTTTTGTGTTTTTAGTAGAGACAAGGTTTCACCATGTAGGCCAGGCTCGTCTTGAACTCCTGAGCTCAAATGATCTGCCTGCCTCGGCCTCCCAAAGTGCTGGGATTATAGGCATGAGCCACCACACCCAGTCAATATTTTCAATATATCTTATAACTACCTAATTATGTTTTCAAAATTCAGCATCTGTCAGATCAGATATGGGAAGTTTATTCTGTTTGTCGAGGGAAATAGTGGTTCAAGTATTTCTTGAGGATTTTGTGTGCCAGATACATCACTAGGCACTGATAGATTCTTTTTAGGAGTTGAGTACAAAGACATGGTTATTTGGTGTAGGTCAGCAGTTAACAGTTTTTTAATGAGCTTTTGAACGATCCTGTACTGGAGAAAGAGATCATATTAAACATCTATTGGAAGATTAATATGTTTATCAACTACAGGAAGAAGGTAGATAGTTCATTGATAGGTACCAATTCCTAAATTGATGTGTTTGGTTTGATTTTTATAATCCCTTTTAGTCATTTTGCTCATTCACTGCCAGAAATGATTATAGTTCCTATAAACTCTGTTTGAAACAACCGTTTTGAGGCAGTGGACTTGGTTACCATGGGTAAGATACTTGGTGTCTGTCTCTCTCTGTCTCTGTCTCTGTCTCTCTGTCTCTCTCTGTCTCTCTCCCCTCCCTCCCAGGCTGGAGTGCAATGGCACAATCTTGGCTCACTGCAACCTCCACCTCCCTGGTTGGAGTGATTTTCCTGTCTCGGCCTCCTGAGTAGGTGGGATTACAGGCGCCTGCCACCATGCCCAGCTAATTTTTGTATTTAAAGTAGAGATGGGGTTTCACCGTGTTGGCGAGGCTGGTTTTGAACTCCTGACCTCAGGCGATCTGCCCTCCTCGGCCTCCCAAAGTGCTGGGATTACAGGCGTGAGCCACTGCACCCATCCCTACTTATTTCTTTCCTATAAAATTAAAATGGAAAGATAGTTAAGGGTCAGTTAGCGTTTCTCAACCTTTTCTATTATCACTTACCCTTCCCCATGGACCGTTTGTAGACTATTTTTTCATTTTTAAGTTGTACCTGCTGTAATGGGACTGTTTTTTCTTTTTTCTTTCTTTTTTTTTTTTTGAGACGGAGTCTCGCTCTGTCTCCCAGGCGGGAGTGCAGTGGCCAGATATGGGCTCACTGCAAGCCCTGCCTCCTGGGTTCACGCCATTCTCCTGCCTCAGCCTCCCGAGTAGCTGGGACTACGGGCACCCACCACCACCCCCGGCTAATTTTTTCTTTGTATTTTTAGTAGAGACGGGGTTTCTCCATGTTAGCCAGGATGGTCTCGATGTTGTGACCTCATGGTCTGCCGGCATTGGCCTCCCAAAGTGCTGGGATTACAGGCGTGAGCCACCACGCCTGGCCTGTTTTTTCTTAATCATCATCTCCCTTCCCCTGAGATTTTCATACCACGCATATACTGTGTATCTGCTTATGTTGTGTGACTCTCTGGAGGGCCACAAACTATCATAATCTGTGATATTTTAGTCCCTCAAGAACCAATTTCCACTCCCTTTGAAAATGTGTGTTTTTAATAAAGCTCTTTTTTTTGTAGCATGCTTCATGTTCAAAATTAAATATTATTTCTTTTCTTTCTTTTTGAGACGGAGTTTCGCTCTTGTCACCCAGGCTGGAGTACAGTGGCGCGATTTCAGCTCACTGCAACCTCTGCCTCCTGGGTTCAAGCGATTCTTCTGCCTCAGCCTCCCAAGTAGCTGGGATTACAGGCATGCACCACCACGCCCAGCTAATTTTTGTATTTTTAGTAGAAACAGGGTTTTACCATGTTGGCCAGTCTAGTCTGGAACTCCTGACCTCAGGTGATCTGCCAGCCTCGGTCTCCCAAAGTGCTGGGATTACAGGTGTGAACCACCACGCTCGGCATTTTTGTTTTGTTTTGTTTTGTTTGTTTTTTGGGGAGACAGGATCTCTGTCTCCCAGGCTCGAGTGTAGTGGTGTGATCTCAGCTCACTGCAACCTCCGCCTCCTGGGCTCAAGTGATCCTCCCACCTCAGCCTCCTGAGTAGCTGGGACTACAGGCATGCACCACCACACCTGGCTAATTTTTGTGTTTTTGTAGAGACAGGGTTTGCCATGTCACCCAGGCTGGCCTCGAACTCCTGAGCTCAGGTGATCTGCCTGTCTTGGCTTCCCAAAGTGCTGGGATTACAGGCATGAGCCACTGCGCCCAGCCCGTTATTTTTATCTGAACACTATAAGGGTGTTTGTATAGGCTACACTTGATAAAATATATATATATACACATATAGATATAGATATAGATATATAGATATATATATATATTTTTTTTTTGAGATGGAGTCTCGCTCTGTCGCCCGGGCTGGAGTGCAGCGGCACGATCTCGGTTTGCTGCAAGCTCCGCTTCCCGGGTTCACACCATTCTACTGCCTCAGCCTCCCAAGTAGCTGGGACTGTAGGCGCATGCTGCCACGTCTGGCTAATTTTTTTGTATTCTTAATAGAGACGGGGTTTCACCATGTTAGCCGGGATGGTCTCGATCTCCTGACCTCGTGATCCGCTCACCTCGGCCTCCCAAAAGGTTGGGATTACAGGCGTGAGCCACTGCGCCCAGCCGACAAAATTTTTTTAAAGATATATTTGATGTTATATGTGATGTATATTAAGATATATATGATGTCTCCCCAAAAAACAAAAACAAGCCGAGTGTGGTGATTCACGCCTGTAATCCCAGCACTTTGGGAGACCGAGGCTGGCAGATCACCTGAGGTCAGGAGTTCGAGATAGACTGGCCAGCATGGTAAAACCCCATTTCTACTAAAAACACAAAAATTAGCTGGGCATGGTGGTGCATGCCTGTAATCCCAGCTACTCGGGAGGCTGAGGCAGAAGAATCACTTGAACCCAGGAGGCAGAAGTTGCAGTGATGGTTGCAGATTTCTGATTTGCTTAGAGGTTTTTTTTTGGTGTGCGAATATATTTACAGTCATCTTCAGTGATATGAAAATGAAAGGTGTCATCTTTATCTGAGTTGTCTCACCAACTTGTGTGCCGAATTTGAATTGTCTTTTTAATTGTAATTTGTAAAATTGAATTTTACAAGTCGATAAACTTGTCAGTGAGAATCGGAGGAAATGTGTGGTATAAACAGTGTAAGTTGGGATTTATTTCCCTTCTGTGGGTTTGAGATAGTTCACGAGTGTCTTGTTTTCTGCTGCTTATGGGACTGTAAGATCCCTTTTGATTAAATTTTTATTCAAAAAGGAAAAGAATATCTCCAAGTACATTTTTTGTGTTTTCATCAAGGAAAATTGATGATGCTTGAGTAGGCAGCACCCCATTTTTGTGGCATAGCTATTAGAAGAATTAAAGAAGAGATTCAATGAATGTCTAAGTCAAATATATTGCGATTAAGTCAGGTTACTTGATTGGATTTTATTTCATGTATTTATTTTTTTCGAGATGGAGTCTTTCTCTGTCACCCAGGCTGGAGTGCAGTGGCGTGATTTTGGCTCACTGCAACCTTCGCCTCCCAGGTTCAAGCAGCTCTCTGCCTCAGCCTCCCAAGTAGTTGGGATTATAGGCGCCTGCCACCACACCCGGCTAATTTTTGTATTTTTTGGTAGATATGGGGTTTCACCATCTTGGCCAGGCTGGTCTTGAACACCTGACCTTGTGATCCACCTGCCTTGGCCTCCCAAAGTGGCGGGATTACAGGCGTGAGCCACTGCGCCCGGCCTGCTTGCTTGAATTTTAAAATGACATGAAATACGATTGTTTTTAAACTTTTATATTCTTCAGCTTTCTTCTTGATTTTTTTCATTGAGATAATAATCCAAATACTGGCACAACAAAGTATAATATTAGTGATACTTTCATCTGTTCTAAAATAGTCTCTTTATTCTGTTTGTTATCTTTTTGGGCTACTTTTTCCTCCATGATTTTTTTTTTCTTTTGGAGACGGAGTCTTGCTCTGTTGCCCAGGCTGGAGTGCAGTGGTGTGATCTCAGCTCACTGTAACCCTCTGCCTCCTTGGTTCAAGCGATCTTCCTGCGTCAGCCTCCCAAATTGCTGGGATTCCAAGCGTGCACCACCACAGCCAGCTAATTTTTTTTTTTTTTTTCGTGGTAGTAGAGAAGAGGTTTCACATGTTGGCCAGGCTAGTCTTAAACTCCTTTCCTCAAGTGATCCACCTGCCTCTGCCTCCCAATGTGTTGGGATTACAGGCGTGAGCCATCATGCCCAGTGCTTTATGACTTTTAAATGACTTCATATGTTCTGCAAACAGGGTTTTCTGGCTAATGATTTCTTTTCTCTCATGAGAAATTAATGACATATTCATTAATTGTTTTGTTGATATTTATTTACAAAAAGAATAATGAAACTGTGGGCATAGATGAAGAAAAGAAAAGTAATGGCAGCAGTACAGAATAGGATCTTTGTTTGATACCTATGGATTTTTTTTTTTTTTTTTTTTTTTGAGATAGTGTCTCGCTATGTCGTCTAGGCTGGAGTGCAGTGGTGCGATCTCGACTTACTGCAGCCTCTGCCTCCCGGGTTTAAGCAATTCTCCTGCTTCAGCCTCCCAAGTGGTTGGGATTCTGGGTGTGCACCACCACACCCAGCTAATTTGTGTATTTTTAGTAGAGGTGGGGTTTCTCCATGTTGGCCAGACTGGCGTTGAACTTGTGAACTCCAGTGACCTGCCCACCTTGGCCTCCCAGAGTGCTGGGATTACAGTTGTGAGCCACCGTGCCTGGCTGATACCTGTGGATTTTAAAGGGAAATTATAGGATTTTGTTTAAATGGTGGGTCATAGTGAAGAAGACTTCTCACGTGTAATCAGCTACACGTTACTATCCTGGCTAGGTTCATCTATTCAAAATAAAAGCTACTGTGGAAAGTTTTGTAAGTAATTTTTTTCTTAGCAAGGACCTTTAGGTTCAGTTAAAGTGTCTTTGTTGATTGTTTTATTTTTATTTTATTTTGTATTTTTTTTGAAACAGAGTCTCACTCTATCCATGCTAGAGTGCAGTGGCACGATCTTGGCTCACTGCAACCCCCGTCTCCCGGGTTCAAGTGATACTCCTGCCTCAGCCTCCCAAGTAGCTGGGTTTATAGGCATGCGCCATCATGCCCGGCTAATTTTGTATATTTTGTAGAGACAGAGTTTCACCATGTTCCCCAGGCTGTTCTCGAACTCTTGACCTCATGATCCGCCCACCTTGGCCTCCCAAAGTGTTGGGATTACAGGCGTAAGCCACCACACCTGGCCAGTTGTTTCATTTTTTTTAGTACAAGTTAGGGGGAATTAATTTCTCTTCTAAATAAACTTGAAACTTGCATTGAAAGCTTTGGGCCTTACAAAGGCAATGTTCCCAAAGCTCAAGTGTGTTCACTTTGCTTGAATATTGATATTATCCTATATTGAATTGATATTTCTTTATTTTATTTTATTTATTTATTTATTTTTATTTGTTTTCGAGACAGAGTCCTGCTCTGTTGCCCAGGCTGGAGTGCAGTGGCGCAATCTAGGCTCACTGCAACCTTTGCCTCCTGGGTTGAAACGATTTTCCCACCTTAGCCTCCCGAGTAGCTGGGATTACAGGCACGCACCGTCATACCTGGCCTTTTTTTTTTTTTTTTTTTTTTTTTTTTTTTTTTTTGTATTTTTATAGAGACGGGGTTTCACCATCTTGGCCAGGCTTGTTTTGAACTCCTGACTTCAGGTGATCTGTCAGCCTCGGCCTCCCAAAGTGCTGGGATTACAGGCGTGAGCCACCGCGCATGGCCTTTGAATTGATATTTCAAGGCTGAAATGTAATTAAGTAAATATGAAGACTTGTTTGCATATGTGAAATTTTTTTTTTAAGTTATCCTACAAGTTAGGAGTCCTAAATATTAACTGAAAGGTTCACAACTTAAAGTCAGACTGCTTTGTGTTAAACTCCCTTATAGAGGAAATTGAGAGTTATATTAAAAGTACAATCCACTCATTCTTTTGTCTTCCTAGGTTTTGGCACAAATACCAGTGGGAATAGTATTTTTGGAAGTAAACCAGCACCTGGGACTCTTGGAACTGGGCTTGGTGCAGGATTTGGAACAGGTAAGAAACTGCTACCATGAGATCTAGGAAGTGACACAGCTTGACTTTCTAGTTTCTGGAACTTGAGAGATCTGTTTGATTATGTTACTGGAATTAAGAAGTCTACCTTTTCGTTTTTCCAGTTGCGTTTATAAGACATTCCCAGCAGTTATGCTTTACCAGGCTTTAAAATATTGGCATGTTTGTGTTAGAAGCTGTATGCTCCCTTTTCTACAAAATGTCCTCTGATAGTCCTGGTCTTTTTGGGATTTTTAGTATTTAATGTGAGAATTGTCATGAGGACATTAACTTTCAGTTTCCCCATGTTACTTTTGTAACAGGGATTTGAGACCTTAAACTGTTCATCAAAGTAAGCCCTAATAGAAAGGCAGAGCAATAAGAGCACATGCTGATGTAATTCTCCTTTGCAAGGAGAATTTCATTTAGTTCCATTGTCATATAGACCAGTGTCACCCCTTTTCCCTGATTCCTACTGTTAACAACTATTTTTCAGTGCCTTTGAAGATACTGACCCTTCTACCTGCCCAGCTGTTTTTAAACAGCTGGAGCGTGATGATGGTCATAAAATATATAAGTGTTTTAGCATGTACAGTAAAACTAGGTTGTTTAGTTAAACATAGAGTTTTGCCTACTTTTTCAATTCGTTTGACTGCAGGTGTGGTCATTTAGTTGCAAACCATTTCCATAGTCTGCTTCCACTGTCCAGTTAATCTGTTTTTTTTTTCCCCTTCTATCATCTGAGCATTCATCTGTCATTTCCTTCTTTTTTATTTATTTATTTATTTATTTATTTATTTTGGAGATGGAGTCTCACTCTGTCGTTCAGGCTGGAGTGCAGTGGTGCAGTCTCAGCTCACTGCAATCTCTGCCTCCCAGGTTGAAGCAATTCTCCTCCCTCAGCCTTCCTAGTAGCTGGGATTACAGGTGTGTATCACCATCCTTGGCTAATTATTGTATTTTTAGTAGAGATGGGGTGTCACTATGTTGGTCAGGCTGGTCTTGAACTCCTGACCTCAGGTGATCCTCCCTCCTTGGCCTCCAAAGTGCTGGGATTACAGGTGTGAGCCACCGTGCCTGGCTGTCATTTCCTTCTTAATGGAACCTCATTTTGTACTATGATCTGCTTTTGTGGTTTTTATTTTTATTTTTTTCAATTTCCCTTTTTTTTTTTTGAGATGGAGTCTTGCTCCGTCCCCCAGGCTGGAGTGCAGTGGCATAATCTCGGCTCACTGCAACCTCCACTTCCCGAGTAGCTGGGACTACAGTCGCACGCCACCGTACCCAGCTAATTTTTGTATTTTTAGTAGAGACAGGGTTTCCCCATGTTGGCCAGGCTGGTCTCGAACTCCTGACGTCGTGATCCTCCCACCTCAACCTCCCTAAGTGCTGGGATTACAGACATGAGCCACCGCGCCCAGCCTTCAGTCTTCTTTTTAAGATAAAAGGTGTTTTATTTTGAGACAGGTTCTTGCTCTGTTACCCAGGGTGGAGTGCATTGGCATGATCACAGCTCACTGCAACCTCTACCTCCCAGGCTCAAACCATCCTCCCACCTCAGCCTCCCTAGTAACTGGGACAACAGGTGCAAGCCACCATGCTTGGCTAGTTTTTTAATATTTTGGAGAGATGAGGTCGACCTGTTTTGCCCAGGCTGGTCTCGAACCCCTGGGCTGAAGCCATCCTCCTGCCTTGAGCTCTTAAAGTGCTGGGAATATAGGCATGAGTCAGTGCTCTCTGCTTAAGATAAAAGATGTAAGTGCTGGTAAAAAGTTTTTAACAATTCAGAAATTTCATGAAAAGTCCAGTCTTTTTCAGCTGTGAAATGATTAGGGTTGTTTGGCATGTATCTTGTCAGACCCGTTTCTGTGCATTTTTCGGACATGTTTACACACACACACGTCTGTACATACATGTCTTTTATATTTAGGGTTTAGGATTATATTCTTGTTTGTTTTTTGAGTCGGAGTTTTGCTCTTGTTACCCAGGCTGGAGTGCAATGGCACAATCTCGGCTCACCGCAGCCTCCGCCTCCTGGTTTCAAGCTATTCTCCTGCCTCAGCCTCCCGAGTAGCTGGGATTACTGGCATGTGCCCACATGCCCAGCTAATTTTGTATTTTTAGGAGAGACGGGGTTTCTCCATGTTGGTCAGGCTGGTCTCAAACCCCTGACCTCAGGTGATCTGCCCGCCTCGGCCTCCCAAAGTGCTGGGATTACAGGTGTGAGCCATCGTGCCCGGCCTGGGATTATATTTTTAAATGGAAACTACACCCTGTATGAGTGACTTTTAAGCCAGAGACTGAGGTGCATTAGTTGGTTATAATTAATATAGTTGCCTGCAATCAGCATTTGAAGAAAATGAAGTAGAATTAAAAATCAGTAGGCTGGGCCTAATGGGTTATGCTTCTAATCCCAGCACTTTGGGAGGCCTAGGCAGGAGGATTGCTTGACGTCAGGAGTTTAACATCATCTTGAGCAACATAGTAAGATGCTATCAAAAAAATAAAATAAAATAGATATGCATGGTGGCATGTGCCTGTAGTCCTAGCTACTCAAGCAGCTGAATGAGATGTGCTGTGGGAGGATCGCTTCAGCCTGGGAGGTAGATGCTGCAGTGGGTTACGATAGTACCACTGCACTCCAGCCTGGGTAACAGAATGAGACGCTGTCCTAAAACAAAAAACAAAAAAAAAACATTTAAAATGTTAAGGTTAGTATCCTTTTATGAAACTTTGTCTCAGTTGTGTTTGTGTTTATGTGTTTCGGATCTCAGTGATTTTCATTGCATGTGCTGTAGTTGAAAATGTTTGAAAGCACTGTCTTACATAGTGTTCTGTGACTTGTATTTTCATTTCACATAATACCAGTTTTTCTTTTGGTCAGTACATACATATCAATCTCATTTTGAAAAACGCTATTTAGAGCTGGATGAGGTGGCTCATGCCTGTAATGCCAGGTCTTTGGGAGGCTGAGGTGGGCGGATTACTTGGGCAATGTAGGGAGACCCTCTCTGTACTAAAAATGCAAAAAGTTAGCTGGGCTTGGTGGCATGTGCCTGTAGTCCAAGCTACTCGGGAGGCTGAGGTGGGAGAATCACCTGAGCTTTGGAAGTTGAGACTGCAGTGAGCGGTGATCATTCCGCTGCACTCCAGAGAAAAGTCTCATTCCTAAAAAAAATTATTTAGTATTCCATTAAGTACACACAATTTACACACATCATACATATACCATTATTTAACATTTCACCTATTGATGGACATTTATTTGATGATGTTGGCAAAACCCTCAGTGAACATTTTTTGTTACATAATTTTGCAGGTGTTAGTTTATTGTAGGATTGATACATCAAATTGGAATTGCAGTGTTGGAATATACGCATATTTCAGATTTTGGTTGAATTTGCTAATTTGCCTTTCAAAAATACCAGTTTGTGTTGCTCACATTATATACAATGCCCATTTTTCTGTATTTTCCATACTGGGCTTTTTTGTCTTTTCATACATGACAGTAGAAATTGGTACATTCCAGTTTGCACCTCACTGATTACTGGCAAAGGTGAATATCTTTGTTTTTTTTTTTATTTGCCATTTAAGTCAGTTCTCTGTTCATAGTGTTGGATTATTGTTTCTTTTTTTCTGCACCTACCACTAACTTGAGATTCTTGTTAATTTATATTTTATTTATTTATTTATTTAGAGACCGAGTTTCTCTCGTTGCCAGGCTGGAGTACAATGGTGTGATCTCAGCTCATGGCAACCTCCGCCTCCTGGGTTCAAGTGATTCTCCTGCCTCAGCCTCCCATGTAGCTGGGATTGCAGGCATGTGCCACTGCACCCGGCTAACTGTATTTTTTTAGTTAGAGATGGGGTTTCACCATGTTGGCCAGGCTGGTGTCGAACTCCTGACCTCAAGTGATCCACCAGCCTCGGCCTCCCAAAGTGCTGGGATTACAGGCGTGAGCCTCTGTGCCCGGCCTCTTAATTTATTTATTTATTTTTTTTTTGAGACGGAGTCTCGCTCTGTCGCCCAGGCCGGACTGCGGACTGCAGTGGTGCAATCTCGGCTCACTGCAAGCTCCGCTTCCCGGGTTCACGCCATTCTCCTGCCTCAGCCTCCCGAGTAGCTGGGACTATAGGCGCCCGCCACCGCGCCCGGCTAATTTTTTGTATTTTTAGTAGAGACGGGGTTTCACCTTGTTAGCCAGGATGGTCTCGATCTCCTGACCTCATGATCCACCCGCCTCGGCCTCCCAAAGTGCTGGGATTACAGGCGTGAGCCACCGCGCCCGGCCCTCTTAATTTATTTTTAAGGATTCTTTGTGTATTGTGGATATTAACTCTTTTTGGTTATATAATTGTTTTTTTTTTTTTAATGAAAATTCCTCATTATACCCCAGAAAGCATTTCATTTGAGCTTTTCAACTTATCCAACTTCTACCACATAAATTTTGCAAGAAATAAAAACAAAAGCTCTCATTTTGTTGTACAGTGTGATCCCTAAACATATTCAGAATATATCATCTGAAATCAAATAATGGTTTCTTCCAACCCTGTAGGAAAAAATAGCTTTGGTACGGGCAAATTAAGGAAGGCTTTTCTTTTCTTTTTTTTCTTTTGCTCAAATTCAAATTAAGGAAGGCTTTTCTTTTTTTGTTGTTAATAATTTTTGTAATTTTAATAGAGATGGGGTTTCACCATGTTGGCCAGGCTGGTCTTGGACGACTGACCTCAGGTGATCTGCCTGCCTCAGCCTCCCGGCATAAGCCACTGTGCTGGGCCACAAGTTTTATTTTTTTCCAAGATGGACTCTTGCTCTGTTGCCCAGGCTGGAGTGTAGTGGTGTGATCTCGGCTCACTGCAACCTCTGCCTCCCAGGCTCAAGCAATTCTTGTGCCTCAACCTAATTTTTGTATTTTTAGTAGAAATGGGGTTTCACCATTTTGGCCAGGCTAGTCTGGAACTCCTGACCTCGTGATCCTCCTGCCTCGGCCTTCCAAAGTACTGGGATTACAGGCATGAGCCACTGCGCCCAGCCACAAGTTTTATTTTTATGTGATCAGAATTACTTTGGCTCCTGGATCTTGTAGGTTATGATTAGCAATGTCTTCCCCCATATTCCAAGACTCTATAATTCTTTTTCTGATGCTTTTGTCTCTCATTCCACAATAATGTAATATCCTAACATTTTATTTTAATATATTCTGTTTTTCTTCAACAGTTCTCTCTCACAATAAACAAACTGCATTGTGTTGCTGTTGTATATTCCTTATACATGCCTCTCCTATAAACTAAAAGATGAATACAATCAATTAAGAATTTTACACCCCCAACCTTAGCAGCAGCATATCATGTAGGGAAATGAGAATTGTGAGTCAGCAAGCACACACACTGTTGCAATTCCCTGATGATCACATCTGCTGAAGCAGGCCCTTGGGTTTGGGAGGAACATTTCCTGAGACTTGCATATAAACACCCACGTTCCTGAACTCTGCATTTCATGGTTTAACAGGTAGACTAGCACTATAGCTTCAGGCTGTATTTTTGGGAGGCAATAGCTAAGTGGGTGTTTCTCTGCAGCTTCTTATTTTCAGTGATGGTGATTCAAACTCAAGCCTCCTGTAATGTGGGCGTTTGGGTACTTAATGAGTAGTTGTTACACAAATATTAAATGTACAGATACATAAGATATTTTTGTATGCTTCGATGTAAGAAACCAATCTTAGTATAAAAGGTTTTATACTGACCCTTGGCATGTGATTTTCTCCCGCCCCATGTGTTGAGACTAAGAAACATTCATTAACTCATGGACATAACAATTTCTTGTTTTATAGTGATATTAACATCATTAGCACTATCAATTGCACACCACTGCCTTGGTTATTTAGTAATAATAATAAACCTTTGTTCTACAGGTTTTCCTTGAAGTAATGGCTACATATAGGAAGGTTGATTGTAATACTAAGAGAGACATAGAAAAATCTTTCTGGTGCTAATAGATGCCTCAGATAAATTTAAATTCTAACAATTTTGGAATATCTCAAAAGGAAAATAACCATTTTCAATTTTTTCTTGATTTTCTTTGGAGTTTCTAAGGCCACTATTACCATTTTGCCCCCCATATAGCTTCTTTATAACTGCTACAGCTAATCATAAATATAGCACATTTTTCCTATCTTGACAAATTACCAGAACTTTATTGTATCACACAACATCACACTCAGAATGTCTCTCAAATTGTGGACCATTACTTCTTTCATTAAACATAAAAAGCCATTTGTGCATAAAACAAGGCAGATCTGGATAAAAATACCTATTTTTCCATTGCAATAGTCAGTAGTCAAGTCATTTTATGATAATCCCTTTACAGACAACTCAAACCTCACAGTACTTTTTTTTTTTTTTTTTGAGACTGCGTTTTGCTCTTCTTGCCCAGGCTGGAGTGCAATGGCATGATCTCGGCTCACTGCAACCTCCGCCTCCCGGGCTCAAGCGATTCTCCTGCTTCAGCCTTCCCGAGTAGCTGGGATTACAGGCATGTGCCACCACGACCAGCTAATTTTGTATTTTTAGTGGAGACAGGGTTTCTCCATGTTTGTCAGGCTGGTCTCGAACTCCTGACCTCAGGTGATCTGCCCTCCTCGGCTTCCCACAGTGCTAGGATTACAGGCGTGAGCCACCGCGCCCAGCCCACAGTACCTTTTTTTAATTCTTCTGTGGATTACTGAAATACAGTACAGTGATTTTAGAATGATTCATGGGTCATCGTCCAGGGATGCTGTAAAGGTGAGGGCAATACACATTTAGAGTAGAATTTTTCATCTATTTTATATATTTGAGTTTCACCTAAGTTTTTGTTTGGAGGCAAGGAGGTATTAGACTACCAGAAAATAAACAATTCTGTAGTTTGTGCTGTAAACTATTTCCTTTGATGAAGTAATATAATTTTAGTATTTCTTGGAGCTTGCGTTAATTACTAATGGTTTAGAACTTTAAAAGAAGTCTTATTCTTTGTCCCAAAGCTGTCTTTTTTTTTTTTTTTTTTTTTTTTTGAGATAAAGTTTTGCTCTTGTTGCCCAGGCTGGAGTGCAATGGCGTGATCTTGGCTCACCGCAACCTCCACCTCCCGGGTTCAAGCGATTCTCCTGCCTCAGCCTCCCGAGTAGCTGGGTTACAGGCATGTGCCACCACACCCAGCTAATTTTTGTATTTTTAGTAGAGACAGGGTTTCTCCATGTTGGTCAGGCTGGTCTTGAACTCCTAACTTTAGGTGATCCACCCGCCTCGACCTCCCAAAGTGCTGGGATTACAGGCGTGAGGCACCGTGCCCGGCCCTGTTGTCTTATTTTTAATGAGGTTGGACAGTCAGTAATTTGTTCAGTAGTCATCCTTACTGATTTATATTGTGTGGGTTGTCTTGGTATAAACTTTCTGTTCTTTTTTGATTGTGATCTCAAAGCAGTTCCCATACAATATTTTTGACCTGCAAGTATTATATCTTTGAAGTGATTTTCCTGGTAAACGGTATTTGTTTCAAGATGCAGTTGATATGTTAAAAAGAACTTCAGAAGCCATGCATGGTGATGCATGCCTGTAGTTCCAGCTACTCAGAGGCTAAGGTGGGAGGATTACTTTCGCCCAGGACTCAGCCTGGGTAACATAATGAGATCCTGTCTCTCTCTCTCTTTTTTTAATGGAACTTTAAATCTTATCAATTGCCAATAATTTTGGGGAAATATGGTGGGAAATTGAATGGAATTTTTTTTAATAATGCCAATAACTTGTATTCACCATATTCTTCCCCGTTTTACACTTCTAAAATCACCACCGGCAACAAGGTCCCTAAGCAAAATTCAACAATACCAGTTTCTACAATGGGTTTTCCTCTGGTGAAAATGAGTTCTTAGTCCAACCACTCTGGTTCGTGCTGAAATTTGAGTCTGTTTAGTAACCTCACCAGAAGACGTTGAGCTTTTTGTAAAACAAGTTTGTCTAGATAAACCAGTTTTCATGAGATGGTATAATTGAAAGTGTTGTGTTAGTGAAAGACGATATGTTGGATTTAGTTTTCCTATAGTTGTCTGTAAGAAAGATGACATGATTGTGTTAGTTGAGTATTTTGATTTGCAAGTATTGAATTTTAAGAATAATTAATTTTTAAAAATTCTTTGGAAACCTGTTTTATTATAGGTGGCAGGCAGTTAAGAGCCCTGGTTGTCAAATACACCTAGGTTTGAACCCCATTTCTATCATTTATAACATTGTGACATCGTGCTAATTACTAAACCCTAAGTTTTCTCCTCTGTTAAAAGGGAATAATAGTTTCTACACCAGACATTTTGATGAGCATGTAGTATGTTCCCGATGTCTTCTAAATGCTTTATGAATGTTTATCCATTTTAATTTTAGGATTACTATCTAAGCTATGTGTTACTTCATGTTATAATTGAGGAAACTGAAGCACAGAGAGATTTAAGTATTTTACCTATGATGTGTATAATGTACTGAGCGCAGTACTTGACCTGCAGTAACACTTACCGTATTCACCCCTTTGTTGAAATGAGTGGTCACTATGAAGTTTCCAAATGTATTATATTTTTAAGTAACTGACCTCTGGCACAACATTGAAAGGATCTTCTGTGGTGCTTTTTTCTTTCCTCTTGTCTCCGTAGCTCTTGGTGCTGGACAGGCATCTTTGTTTGGGAACAACCAACCTAAGATTGGAGGGCCTCTTGGTACAGGAGCCTTTGGGGCCCCTGGATTTAATACTACGACAGCCACTTTGGGCTTTGGAGCCCCCCAGGCCCCAGTAGGTAAGTGTCAGTCACTTTAGAAGGCTTTTCTTAATTTTTTGCTAATACTTGCTGACCTGATTTTCCATCCTACACCTGTCCCATTCCTACCAAGGCATTGCATACATGCATGTCATTAAACAATTGGGTAGTAAAGAAGGGCTTATTAATAGATCCTGGCCTACTCTGCTTTCCCAGCTCCTAGGCCTCCTCTGTCAAAGAAACCACTTTTGTTACTATTTTTAATTCATCTGATATATAATTTAGTTCATATCGCTAAATGTGCTTATATTACTGTGTTTTGGTTTATTAAATCTAAGTAAATGTAACCTGTTATGGTAGATGAGAATTTAGCTCATGTATCACCTCTACTTTATTTACTTCTTCCAATATAATTATGTTTACTAAATTTACTGTATTTCCTAAATTTAGTTTTATCTATTGAAGTGTTTTTCTTTATTTTATTTTTTTGAAAAGGAGTCTCGCGCTGTTGCCCAAGCTGGAGTGCAGTGATGTGATCTCAGCTCACTGCAACCTCCACCTCCTGGGTTCAAGTGATTCTTCTGCCTCAGCTTCCTGAGTAGCTGGGATTACAGGTGCATGCCACCACACCCAGCTAATTTTTTTTTTTGGTATCTTGAGCAGAGACAGGGTTTCACCATGTTCGCCAGGCTGATCTCGAATTCCTGACCTCGTGATCCGCCCACCTCGGCCTCCCAAAGTGCAAGGATTACAGGTGTAAGCCACCACGCACAGCCTGAGGTGTTTTTCATACTTCATTCATTTGAATACCACCTTCCAGACTTTGCCAGGGTCCACCTACCACTTTATTATGTATTTTGAACTTAAGGAAATTAACTTACTTTTTTTTTTTTTTTTTTTTGAGATGGAGTTTCACTCTGTTGCCCAGGCTGGAGTACAGTGGTGCGATCTTGGCTTACTGCAAGCTCTACCTCCCAGATTCACGCCATTCTCCCGCCTCAGCCTCTTGAGTAGCTGGGACTACAGGTGCCCGCCACCATGCCCAGCTAATTTTTTTGTATTTTCAGTAGAGACGGGGTTTCACCATGTTAGCCAGGATGGTCTCGATCTCCTGACCTCGTGATCCGCCCGCCTCGGCCTCCCAAAGTGCTGGGATTAGAGGCGTGAGCCACCACGCCAGGCCGAAATTAACTTACTTTTTAATTTAAATAGCTTTTTAAAGAAAATTATGGGCTGGACCTGGTGGCCCACGCCTATAATCCCAGTACTTTGGGAGGCCGAGGCGGGTGGATCACGAGGTCAGGAGTTTGAGACCAGCCTGGCCAACACGGTGAAACCCCATCTCTATTAAAAATGCAAAAATTAGCTGGGCATGATGGCATGTGCATGTAATCCTAGGTACTCAGGAGGCTGAGGCAGGAGAATCGCTTGGACCCGGTAGGTGGAGGTTACAGTGAGCCGAGATCGCGCCACTACATTCCAACCTGGGTGACAGAGTGGGAGTCCGTCTCAACAAAAAAAAGAAAAAAGTAAAAGAAAAGAAAATTATATTCCACAGGAAGTGAAAAACGGGTTATCACCTGGCATAAACAGAGTAACTGAGATAAATAGAATGAATAGTCAGATCTTTCTGTACCACTAAATTAATCTCCCATACTATCATGATACATGTGTCAGGTTTTGAGAAACCTTTGCAAATTTAAGCTGCGTACTTACATATTTTTCTTATTCTGTCAACAAGGTGATAATATTTCTTGAGTCTTCTTTGTCAGATGAGGATATTAGTACCTTTCCCTATGTTTTTATTACCCTTATTTCTTTTCTCATCTTTTTTTTTTTTTTTTTTTTGGAGACAGAGTCTTGCTCTATCTCCTAGGCTGGAGTGCAGTGATGTAATCTCGGCTCACTGCAACCTCTGCCTCCCAGGTTCAAGCAATTCTGCTGCCTCAGCTTCCTGAGTAGCTGGGATTACAGGTGCCTGCCACCACGCATATAATTTTTGTAATTTTAGTACAGATGGGGTTTTACCATGTTGGCCAGGCTGGTCTCGAACTCCTGACCTCAGGTGATCCATCTACCTTGGCCTCCCAAAGTTCTGAGATTACAGGTGTGAGCCACCGCACCTGGCCCCATCTTTATTTTTATATTGATAAAATTGATAATATTTTCTGTCCTGTAACTGTTACTGTCTTCTGTCTTCTGTTCTTTGAAGAATAATTTAATAGTTGCAAATGAACTGTTGCAAATGATTCTGTTACAACTTACGAAAGTAGTGCTGCCCAGATTTTTTCCCCTTGGAGTTTCTGATTCCTATTTTCCCTGGTATTACCACCGCTTACTGACTTCCATAGAACTGTTCCAAATTCTGAAGGATGGTATCAGAACATTTCATTTACCCCAGTTACTTCATTCTCTGCTACCTCTGTCCTCCTGCAGCAGTGTGGACTCTGATTATTCTCTAGGCCTTCAGCATTGCTTCAAGATATTCTCGTCAAGTCTGCTCAGTGAGAACTGCTATGTCCTGCATATAGGGTTTTTCTCTTTATTTATTTTCTGAATTTTCTGGAATGTGTCTTCAAGTGAAGTGTAATATGAAGGCTAACCTTTGACTACTTAGAGGTCTGAAAATACCTTCATTCATTCCACACAATTTAATATTAGGGACTTGTGTGAAAATAATTTATTCTCAGAACATCGACTGTCTTCCTTCTTGCAGTAACCATTACTGATGGTCTAATGCTCTTGTGCTTCTTGTGACCTGTGCCCTCTATCCTCAAAAGCATTTAGGATTGTCCTTTTGTCCTGACATTTTACTACATTTTGCTTAGATCCTTTCTATCTTAACAGTTGTGTCTTTGACCTGTGTTTCTGCTTTCTGGGAGATTTTTTTGTTGTCTTCTCAGTCTTTTTGGATTTCCTTTTTTTTTGAGACGGAGTTTCGCACTGTCACCCAAGCTGGAGTGCAGTGGCGCGATCTCGGCTCACTTCTATATCCGCCTCCTGGATTGAAGCGATTCTCCTTCCTCAGTCTCATAAATAGCTGGGATTACAGGTGCCTGCCACACGCCCAGCTAATTTTTGTAGTTTAAGTAGAGATGGGGTTTCACCATGTTGGCCAGGCTGGTCTCGAACTCCTGACCTCAGGTGATCCACCTGCCTCAGCCTCCCAAAGTGCTGGGATTACAGGCATGAGCCACCGCTCCTGCCAGATTTTTGTTTTTAATTTGGAAGAATTCATTCTTGTTCTCTGAAAGTTTTTTTTTAACCACAACACCTGTTTCTTAGATACAGTTTTTTTGCTTAAAACTCAGTTGGGATAAAATTTTTTTAGCGTTCTTCTGTTCCTTGGATTTTCAGGATGATTTTTGTTTTGATAGTACTTTAGTGCTTGGTGGTCCTTTTCATTCCCATTTAAGATTAAAAATAGGCTGGGCATGGTGGCTCATGACTGTAATCCCAGCACTTTGGGAGGCTGAGGCAGGCGGATTGCTTGAGGTCAAGCGTTCGAGACCAGCCTGGCCAACATGGCAAAACCCCATGATGTCTACCACAAATAGAAAAACTAGCCAGGTATGGTGGCACATGCCTGTAATCCCAGCTACTCTGGAGGCTGAGGCGGGAGAATCGCTTGAACCTGGGAGGCGGAAGTTGCACCGAGCCGACGTCACGCCGCTACACTCCAGCCTGGGCGAAAGTGCGAGACTCTGTCTCCAAAAAAAAAAATATATATATATATATTTATATTTAAAAGCTCACTGGCAACTCTTTGTACGTGAGTAGGGCTTGTTTCCCAGTATGTTTTACTTTAGAGTAAGTAATCTAGAAACCGGCTATTATCAGAGGGTCCTCTAAATGTTAGAATGTCAGATTCTTAGCTCTGGGATGATTGCAGTAACCACAGTAGTTGCCCTTCTCCTTTTTATGTGTTTACTTAGAGAAAGGCATACTTTGACCTGTGTATTGAGCATCAGTGATTAGGAGAATGGCAATATGTAGTTTTCTATATAAACTTCATTTCTTTTTTTTTTTTTGAGACAGAGTCTTGCTCTCTCCCCAAGACTGGAGTGTAGTGGTGTGATCTTGATCTTGGCTCACTGCAACCTTCGCCTCCCAGGTTCAAGTGATTCTCTTTCCTCAGCCTCTTGAGTAGCTGGGATTGCAGGCCCATGTCACCACGCCCGGCTAATTTTTGTATTTTTAGTAGGTATTGGGTTTCACCATATTGGCTAGGCTGGTCACGAACTCCTGACCTCAAGCAATCCTCTCGCTTCGGCCTCCCAAAGTGCTGGGGTTACAGGTGTGAGCCACCGCGCCTGGCTTAGACTTTCCATTAATTCTTTCCTCTTCCTGTTTTCAATTCTACTTCATCAAACCTGGTATTCTGAAGTCCCTAGACTTCTGGGATTCTCCAAGGTAGATACGCGTCATTTGATCATACTAGTAGACCCTTGGACAACATGAGGGTTAGGGGTGCTGACCCCCACACAGTTGATAATTTGCAAATAATCTTTGATTCCCAAGCTTTACTGACAACATAAACAGTACAAATTACGTATATTATATGTAGTACGTACTATATTCTTACTATAAAGTAAGCTAAAGAAAAGAATGTATTATTAGGAAAATCATAAGGTGGAGGAAGGTGTTGGTCTTGCTCTCTCAGGGGTGGCAGAGGAGGAAATCCACACATAAGTGGATCCACACAGTTCAAACTTGTGTTGTTCAAAGGTCAGCTGTAACTGCTTTTGAGTGTACTCTAAGCTATAGTTTTCTGTATCCTGCTTGATCAGTCCTCTGTCCACATCTTTCCCCTAGAAATTTGTTAGATTTTCTCATGTGTTCATTTGCCACCTTCCCATTGTTTGTCATTGTGGGTTTATATATATAAATGTTAATATTTTTTAGCCAAAGATTTAATAAGGTCTTGGAGAGAGCGGAGGTGAATTCGAGTTTTCATTGATCTCTGTGCGGATTTTATACTTAGCTTTATCATTAAAAATAGGCCTGGTGCGGTGCCTCACGCCTGTAATCTCAGCACTTTGGGAGGCCGAGGCGGGTGGATCACCTGAGGTCAGGAGTTCGACCATCCTGGCCAACATGGTGAAACCCCGTCTCTACTAAAAATACAAAAATTAGCCGGGCGTGGCGGCAGGCACCTGTAATCCCACCTACTCGCAAGGCCGAGGCAGGAGGATTGCCTAGTCTGGGAGGCAGAGGTTGCAGTGAGCCGAGATCGCGCTACTGCGCTCCAGCCTGAGTGACACAGCAAGACTCTGTCTCAAAAAAAAAATTGTTTTAATTTTATTTTTTTCTCATTTTTTATTGGTTTTAGTAGAAGGTGGTAGCATAAATTATTGTAATATGCCATTTTTACTTGTATAGCTTTTTGACTGGTTTTTAATAATCCATCTCTTTTTCCAAAGTTCCTGACACAAGAATTTAGTTAATATTAAATTTGTGTGCCTTAACATTACTGCCCATTTAAAGGTAATTGTATTTACTTTTAGAATGTACATCTTTATACCACGGAATCTTAGTTGAAGGTACTTTAGAACTATGTGAGTGTGCCTTGTCTTAAAAAAACCTCAGGTATGGTGGCTTCCTTACAGGCAGTACAGTCTGTTCTTCTGTTCTGGTTGTGTGGAAACCAAATCCTTCCTCCATAGAGTTTCCACCCAGTGGTTCTACTTTTATTTCCTAAAGCTAAGCAAAACCAGTCTAGTATGTATGGTTTCTTTTCTTTCTTTCCTTTTTTTTTTTTTTTTTTTTTTGAGAGGAGTCTTACTCTGTCACCCAGGCTGGAGTGCTGTGGCACCATCTTGGCTCACTGCAGCCTCTGCCTCTGGGTTCAGACAATTCTCCTGTCTCAGCCTCCTGCGTAGCTGGGACTACAGGTATGTGTCACCATGCCCGGCTAATTCTTGTATTTTTTAGTAGAGATAGAGGTTCACCATTTTGGCCAGGCTATTCTTGAAGTCCTGACCTGAAGTAATCTGCTTGCTCAGCTTCCCAAAGTGCTGGGATTACTGGCATGAGCCACCATGCCTTGCTGTAGTATATTTGTGGTAACCCACTGACTTTCTTCTGGATAAAGTATCATCAGATTCTTGTGTTTCATCAGAAGACTTGGTTTTTGTACTTTTCCCTATCCCTTTAATCATTTGGTTATGATTTAGTTTTTTGGAATCTTTTATTTTGAAATTTCTTTGGAATTTGTTCTTTGGAAAGTTTTCAAATTATTTTGACCAAGATTGAATGTAATACCAGTAGTTGCTTAACTAGTGCTTGTTTGTTTTCTTGTTTTTGCTAATCTATCAAGATACTCTCTTACCTGTGTCTTTAAATACTACAGTTAACACAAAGTTTATATTTATTCATACAGATATAAAATCATGCTCATGCACTTTCTTGTGTTTGGATTTGTGAAAGGAAGTCTTTGGTTTTTTTTTTTTTTTTTTTTGAGAACGCCCAGGTAGAATGATTTGTACTTGTTAAACGATGGGATCAACTAAGACAGGTCAGTTTTCTAAATGAGTAATTGCCTGTCCAGTAACAAAATGACCAGTGAGGTTTGGAGTTCTCTAAAGTTTTTCTTGAGTCTCCTTGCATAGTCCCCAAAATAGCAGTATGCTGTTAATCTGTAGTACTGTGTACCAAAAAAAAAAAAACTTTTCTTTATTTTTTGCTCTTAAATTGGATTTAGGAACTTTCTGAATACAGATGATTTACTCTGTGCTCTTAAAATTGACATCTCTTGGTTTGAGATCCTGAGCAAACTTGTCCTGTCTAGTTAAATATCAACATGAATGTACGGTGTTTTAGTATTTATTGAATACATCGATTTTAAGAAACCTTTGACTCTTCTTTTTCATTAATTTAGCTATAGCAGCCTGTTCTGTTTTTGTTTGTTTGTTTGTTTTTGAGACGGAATCTCGCTCTGTCGCCTAGGCTAGAGTGAAGTGGCACGACCTTGGCTCACTGCCAGCTCTGTATCCTGGGTTCACGCCATTCTCCTGCCTCAGCCTCCGGAGTAGCTGGGACTACAGGTGCCCACCACCATGCCTGGCTAATTTTTTCTATTTTGTTAGTAGAGACAGGGTTTCACCATGTTAGCCAGGATAGTCTCGATCTCCTGACCTTGTGATCCGCCTGCCTCGGCCTCCCAAAGTGCTGGGATTACAGGCATGAGCCACCACGCCCAGCCTCTTTTTTTTTTTTTTTTTTTTGTTATTACTGCTTTTGTTCTCCACCCACTCCCCACAACATTGTGAGACTTTTCAGAAAGTTTTATGTCACTCCTTTACTGTGGATTATTGTATTATATTTTGGCAGTAACTTTATTTGTAAATGTTTATAAGGGAAAAAGGTAGTATTTTTGTCTGTAAAATGACTTTATTATGTTTTGGGTTTTGATCAGTATTTTTGGAAAGAGATTTTATCTTGCAAAGAGGTTTCTTCTTCAGTCAGGGTATACTGTAGTGGTTTTGCTTTTTTCTTAATGTTTTACTTGGTACAATGGTAGATCATGAATAGTCTTCATTGTTACTTATGTCTGTTCCCTAAATTCTCTGCAATTGATAACAGATGTTCTTACACTTTGAGAAAAAATTAGGCTTAGTGATTTCTTTTTTCTTTCAGTTTATATTATGTGAATGTTAAATAAATGTAAATAATAAACTTATAAGGATAGCCTAAGCATTTTCTTCAGGAAGACACCTGGATTTGGGGGAAAAGAAAAAACCACATTTTTGTTTGTATGCTGCCTTCCTCTGTAGCCTTAATGTACATAATATTTTTATTCTGGAAATTTTACTTAAAGATAATTTCATATTTCCACAATGAAACAAATTATTATTTTTAATAACTACATAACCTATGTTGATGTGTCATGATGTTTACAACTTTTTTGTTTGTTTGTTTGAGGCAGAGTCTCGCTCTTTCACCCAGGCTGGAGTGCAGTGGCGCGATCTCGGCTCACTGAAACCTCCACTTCCTGGGTTCCAGCTGGGGTTATAGGTGTGCGCCCCCACGCCCAGCTAATTTTTTGTATTTTTAGTAGAGGTGGGGTTTCACTGTATTGGCCAGGTTGGTCTCAAACTCCTCACCTCAAGTGATCTGCTCGCCACGACCTCCCAGTGCTGGGATTACAGGCATGAGCCACTGCACCCCGCCTACAACTATTAACTTAATATTGGACACGTAGGTTGTTTCCATATCTTGACTGTATATATACTATGCAGTGAATGCTTAGGAATTTATTTTCTTTCTAGTTCGAGTTAAATTTTCATGATTAAAATTATGAGGTTAAAAAATAGAGGCCAGGCATGGTGGCTGACTCCTGTAATCCTGGCATTTTGGGAGGCCAAGGTGGGCAGATAGTTCAATTTCAGGAGTTCAAGACCAGCCTGGGCAACATGGCGAAACCCCATCTCTGAAAAAAAAAACAAAACACACACACACACACACACACAAAATTAGCTGTTGTTGGTGTGGTGACTCACCCCTGTAGTCCCAGCTACTTGGGAGTCTGAGGTTAGAGGATCACTTGAGCCTGGAGGCAGAGGTTGCAGCAAGCCAAGATCATGCCACTACACTCCAGCCTGGGTGTGTGTGTGTGTGTGTACACGCACAAACACACAGTACTTGTCCTGTTGTATATTGTCATATTATTTCCTTTGGACAATTACATACACGCACGCACACACACACACACAGTATTTGCCCTGTATACTGTCATATTATTTCCTTTAGACAATTACACACACACACACACACACACACACACACACACACACACACTACTTGCCCTGTATACTGTCGTATTATTTCCTTTAGACAAACCAGTCTATAATGTTTCTAGAAGTCAAAGACTATGGCTTTTTATGCAGCTATTTCAGTGATAGGTATGCATAAAATATTTCATCAGGGTTGTTTAAATTTTCCTTTCTTTGATTAGTAGTGACAGTGAACACTGTGTAAGTGAATTTATATGAGTATTGTATCTTATGAAATGTCTCTTCCTAAATTTGACCTATTAGCTTATTTGATTCTTGATTTTCTTTACAGTTTGCTCTACACACATTCTGCCCCAATGATACCATTGATCTGAGCATTTTGAAGACCACTTCTTCAAAAAGAATACCGAGCTCTGTGTTACAAATGCATTGTATCCTTGCATTTATATATATATATATATTTTGTTTTCTTTTTTTTTTTTTAAAAGCTTTGACAGATCCAAATGCTTCTGCTGCCCAGCAGGCTGTTCTCCAGCAGCACATCAATAGTCTAACATACTCACCTTTTGGAGACTCTCCTCTCTTCCGGAATCCGATGTCAGACCCTAAGAAGAAGGAAGAGGTAAATTTAAGGATACTTCTGTAAAATATCATATCAAAGAAAGAGAAACTGAATGTGCAGAATGTAATTTTTTGCCTGTATATATTAAGGGATTAAGCAAAGCTAGGTGTAATTAATTTTTTAAGATATTATTTCACTCAGCCGGGAGTAAATTATTTTTGCTGTATCTGGAAGGTGTTGGGACAGTGAAATGACCACTACACTGAAGATCAATGCTGAGGGTTTTCAACAGTCCTGAAATAAGGCAGATATTAATGTTCTCATTTTTAATTAAAACAACTTTTTTTAAGTTTTTTTCTTTTCTTTTTGAGATGATGTCTTGCTAGTATCGAACTCCTGGAAGGAATCCTCCCGCCTCGGTCTCCCAACGTGCTGGGATTACAGGTGTAAGCCACCATGCCCAGCCCTATTCTCATTTTATAATTAAGCAAACTAAGGCTTAGAGAGGCTGACTTTCCTCAAATCATAATGCTCTTAAGTGGCATAACCAAAATCTTAACCTCTTGATTTTTACATAGCTTTGTCTTTAATCTCTTATAACTCTAGTGTAAAAACATGATCTTTTACTCACATGGTGTTAAAAGTGTAGTCTTTGGTCTGTTTGATCCTTGTTTTACCGCTTATAATCTGTGAGACATTGGAAAATGAGAAAGTCATTTTGCCTCCCTAAATTTGTTTCTTCTGTAAAATGGGAAGAGTAATAGTGTTCAATGTTGAGGGCTAAATGAGATCATGCATACCAGGATCATAGTAAATTGCTCAATATACAGAAACTACTATTCAGTCACTTATGTGATTACATGTATCCCTCAGCTTTTTATTTTGTTGTTTTGTTTTGTTGTTTTAAGAAATGGGATCTGCCCGGCGCAGTGGCTCAGGCCTGTAATCCTAGCACTCTGGGAGTCCGAGGCGGGTGGATCACCTGAGTTCAGTTCACGACCAGCCTGGTCAACACGGTGAAACCCCGTCTCTATGAAATATACAAAAATTAGCTGGGCATGGTGGTGGGCACCTGTAATCACAGCTACTTGGGAGGCTGAGGCAGGAGAATTGCTTGTACCTGGGAGGCAGAGGTTGCAGTGAGCCGAGATTGCGCCATTGCACTCCAGCCTGGGCAACAAGAGCGAAACTTCGTCTCAAAAAAAAAAAAGAGAAATGGGATCTTACTATGTTCTTAAATTTAATCCTGTAAACTAGATACTAGAAGCAAGATATGAATATGAAAGTACCTTTTAAAGTGATGTGTAAATGATTAGACAATTATTTATGCAGCCTAATTTTAGGTAGCTGAATATGTGCAAGGCATTGTGTTGTTAAGTGCTGAGGATACAAAATGAAAATAAACAAGAATTTATTAAGGTTGCTATCCAGTGACAAACATCAGACATACAAGCACTTAAGTTTACACTGGTTCAGTAGAGTGTATGTGGTAATAGAAGAGTGTCTATCAATGACGAATGGATAAACAAAATGTTTTATAAGTCTATAATGGAATATCATTTAGCCATAAATAGGAGTAAAGTACTGATACATGCTATAACATAGATGAAACCTTGAAAACATAAGTGAAGGCCGGGCACAGTGGGCATGGTGGCTCATGCCTTTAATCCCAGCACTTTGGGAGGCCGAGGTGGGGAGATCACCTGAGTTCAGGAGTTCAAGACCAGCCTGACCAACATGGTGAAACCCCATCTATACTAAATAAAAAAAAATTAGCCAGGCATGGTGGTGCGTGCCCATAATCCCAGCTATTCGTGAGGCTGAGGCAGGCGAATCACTTGAACCTGGGAGGTGGAGATTGCAGTGAGCTGAGATCGCACCATTGCACTCCAGCCCAGATGACAAGAGCGAAACTCCGTCTCAAAACAAAAAGAAAGAAAACGTTAAGTGAAAGGAGCCAGACACAAAAAGTCACATGATTTCATTTGTATGATATACCCAGAATAGGCAAATCATAAGAAAGAAAGCAGCTTCATAGTTGCAAAGGGAAGAGGGAAGAAATTGAGAGGAACTGAGTTTCTTTTTGAAGTCATCAAAGTTTTCAGGAATCAGATAGTGGTGATGGTTGCACAACCTTGTAAATATACTAAAAACTATTGAAGTAGATGCGTTAAAACGGTGAATTCTATGTCACATGAGGTTTATCTTAATACAAAATTTAAAATATACTAGTGAAAAGATCATAGATGCTTGGATGAATTTGATAAGGCTTTGTTTTCAGAAGAGGAACATTTAACTTTTTTGTATGGATATGTAGGGCTTGGCGAGTCTAGGTCAAGCATTCCAGCCAAAGAATTGTGAAAGATCACAACAATCTGGGAATAACAAAGATTCATTGTTAAGTGTAAACAGCTTGCACTGGGAAGAGAAGAATAAATTCTGACAGACTAGATATGCTAGACATTGTTATTTGAAGTGGTTATGTAATCTCATTTATGCTGTTAGGAAAACAAATATAGAACATCCTCAGGATGTTGTAGAGGTGCCATCTGAAGCACCCTGAAATTTAGTTGTGTGTCCTCCACTAACTTGTAGTTTTCTCAGTAATCAGAGGAAGTAACTTTATTTCTGGTACCCAGAGTTTGACTTAATGTTTAATTATTAATGTTTACTAAAAGATGGATAAATACAAGCTAGTATCTGCCTTTTTTTTCCCCAGAGCAACTTGCATTACATAGAAGTTGAATATTAATTCATGACAGAATCTCAGTTTTTCTTGAAGTATAAGATTTTGGGTTTAATTGAAAAGTAATGTCTATGGCTTAGGATTTTTTTGGTATCATGTTTTCATCAAATGAACATAAATACTGTTTTTCAAAGCAGAATGATTGCAAGCTAAACTCTCATAGGATGAAGAGAATGGACAAGATATATTAATATGTTGTGTTAGTACATTTTAATTTACAGAACTTTTTTCAGATTCATCATCTTTGGATTTTTTTGGGGAAAGAGTCTCGCTCTGTCACCCAGGCTGGAGTGCAGTGGTGCGATCTCGGCTTACTGCAACCTCCGCCTCCTGGGTTCAAGCGATTCCCATGCCTTAGCCTCCCCAGTAGCTGGGATTACAGGTGCACGCTTCCACTGTCCAGCTAACAGATTCATTATCTTGATTACATTTTAAAAGATGTCAGACAAATAATTTTAAATGGGGGCTGGAAAGATGAGTAAAAATCAGTTCTAGAACAATAAAGACAGTTCGGTTAGTATTCACACATACACACAGATAATGCCTCCCAAATCCAAAAATTGAAAATCCAAAATGCTCCAAAATCCAAAACTTTGCACTGACATGACATTCAAAAGAAATGCTCATTGGGACATTTTGGATTTTGGATTTTCACATT
Organism: Homo sapiens; assembly: GCF_000001405.40. Lineage (NCBI taxonomy): Eukaryota > Metazoa > Chordata > Mammalia > Primates > Hominidae > Homo > Homo sapiens. Next base: position 3,731,846 of record NC_000011.10, on the reverse strand, counting down.
TGGGATACTCAACTGGTAAGTATAATGCAAATATTTCAAAATACAAAAAAATCCAAAATACTTCTGGACCCAAGCATTTTGGATGAGGGATACTCAACATGTACAAAGTTGGGTGTTAACATCCTTGTTTTATGGGAACAGAGACTTCAACAGGTATCTAGCAGGTGAATGACAAAGATGAGGATTGAAATCTGGTCTTGTGATTTTTAAGGCCAGTGCAGTACATTTAAAGTAAACCAAAAATTTCCTTGATGCTTTTGTTTTTCAGAGATTGAAACCAACAAATCCAGCAGCCCAGAAGGCTCTTACTACACCTACTCATTATAAACTGACACCCCGCCCTGCCACTAGAGTCCGGCCAAAGGCTTTACAAACAACAGGCACAGCCAAGTCACATCTCTTTGATGGGCTGGATGACGATGAACCATCCCTAGCCAATGGAGCATTCATGCCCAAGTGAGTTTATTTTTGTTAACAGAAATTAAGTGTAAAATACTGATATAAACTAAATATGAAATAATATACAATTATTTAAATATATTATAGATGTGATACAGTCCACTTTGTTTTTGTTTTTGTTTTTGAGACAGAGTCTTACTCTGTCACCCAGGCTGGAGTGCAATGGCATGATCTTTGCTCACTGCAACCTTTGCCTCCCAGGTTCAAACGATTCTCTTGCTTCAGCCTCCTGAGTAGCTGGGATTACAGGCGTGTGCCATCACGCCCAGCTAATTTTGTATTTTTAGTAGAAATGGGGTTTCACAATGTTGGCCAGGCTGGTCTTGAACCCCTGACTGCATATGATCTGCCGCCTGGCCTCCCAAAGTGCTGGGATTACAGGTGTGAGCCGCTGTGCCCAGCCAGTCCACTTTTTTATAATTTGAAAAATACAGAACATCACAAAGAAGAATAAAAGTCACCCGATCACTCCCAGGGATAACTCATAGTTAGCATAAAAATATTTTGATAAATATGCCTCTTATTTTACATATGCATGATTTTGTTTTGTTTTTGAATAATTAGGTTTTTTTGTTGTTGCTTTTAAAAGTTCAGGTCTCACTCTGTCACCCAGGCTGGAATGCAGTGGTGCAATTACTGCTCACTGCAACCTCAACCTCCGCAGCTCAAGTGATACGTTAAAAACATTACACACAACTTTCTTTCCCTAAAAATACAGTAATCCGGCCGGGCATGGTGGCTCACACCTGTAATCCCAGCACTTTGGCTGGCCGAGGTGGGTGGATCACTGGAGGTCAGGAGTTTGAGATCAGCCTGGCTAACATGGTGAAACCCCGTCTTTACTGAATATACAAAATTAGCTGGGCATGGCTGCGTGCGTCTGTAATTCTGTAATCCCAGCTGCTTGGGAGGCTGAGGCAGGAGAATCTCTTGAACTGGGGAGGCAGAGGTTGCAGTGAGCTGGGATCCCACCACTGTACTCCAGCCTGGGTGACAGAGTGAGACTCGGCCTCCAAAAAAAAAAAGAAAATGTAACTGCTTCACCAAAGATGGAAAGTCTAATTTTATGTGTTTCTTAGAATATCAGTAAATTATTTTGAAGACAGGGACTGTGTATTATTTATGTCTGTCCTAGCATTTTATTTATTTATTTTTTTGATACAGTCGCTCTGTTACCCAGGCTGGAGTGCAGTGGCACGATCTCGGCTCACTGCAACCTCCATCTCCTAGGTTCAAGCGATTCTTCTTCCTCAGCTTCCCAAGTAGCTGGGACTACAGGCACGTGCCACCATGCCTGGCTAATTTTTGTGTAGAGATGGGGTTTCGCCATGTTGGCCAGGCTGGTCTTGAACTGCTGACCTCAGATAATTCACCTGCCTCAGACTCCCAAAGTGCTGGGATTACTGGTGTGAGCCACTGTGCCCCGCCTTGTCCTAGCATTTTATATACTGTTTTTGCGCAGAGTAGGTAAAAAGGTTTACAGTAGTCCAGTCATCAGGTCAGTAGCTCGAGATCAGCTTCACCAGGGCTTAGGATTTTCAAATATACAAGTAGAAAGGATTAGAGTGGGAGGACATACATTTTGTTGTTAATACCATCTGACCTCCTTGGCCTCACTTCTGTGGTGTTGCTGTCAAACGTCATCCTTTTTTTTTTTTTTTTTTTTTTTTTTGAGGCAAGAGTCTTATGCCATTGCCCAGGCTGGAGTGCAGTGGTGCAATCATACATCACTGCACCTTCGACCCCTGGGCTCAGGTGATCCTCCCACCTCAGTTCCCAAGTAGCTGAGACCACAGGCCCACACCACCATGCCCAGTAATTTTTTTTTTTTTTTTTTTTTTTTTGGAGATACAGGGTCTTTCTGTGTTGCCCACGGTGGTCTCGAACTCCTGGGCTCAAGCCTCAGCCTCCCAAGGTGTTAGGATTACAGGCATGAGCTACCACGCCCAGCTACCTATCAACCGTCTTAATGTAACAGAAGCATTTTACGCAGTTGATCTTGTCCCTCCTCCTTGATTCACTTTCATAATTGTCTTCCAGGACCCCACAATTTCCTAGTTTTCTTCCTGCCTTGCTGGTTGCTGCTTCTCAGTCCCCTTTACTGGTTCCTCTTCATTCCACCGTCTGTAAATTAGAATGCCCTTGGCTCAGTTGTTGATCACATTTTATCTATGCTTATTTCCAAAGTGCTTCAATTTATTCTCATGGCTTTAAATATCATCTGTAGTCTGATGATTCCCAAATTTTTATCTCCAACCCAGACCTCTTTACCAAACTAAAGATTCTTGTATCTTACCCTACTCTACATCTTCACTTCGATGTCTAAAAGAAATTGATTTAAAATTAACATGTCCATGTTTTCTTTCTCAAACCTGTTCTACCCAAAACCTGTCTCAGATGATTGCATTACTATCATTCTAGTTGCTCCGGTCAGAAATTTTGGAATCTTCCTTGACTTTGTCACACATTCCTCATCTAAGTTATCAGCAAATCCTCTTGGTTCTACCCTGTAAATTACTTAGAATCTGTATAGTTCTCACCACATTCATTGCTATTACCCTAGTGCAAGCCACCACTATCTCTTGCCTGAATTACCACAATATACTCTTCAGTTCTTATTGTTTTTATTTTTATTTATTTATTTATTTTGAGATGGAGTCTTGCTGTGTTGCCCAGGCTGGAGTGCAGTGGCCCCATCTCGGCTCACTGCAAGCTCTGCCTCCTGGGTTCACTCCACTCTCCTGCTTCAGACTCCCAAGTAGCTGGGACTACAGGCGCCCACCACCACGCCCAGCTAATTTTTTTGTATTTTTTTTAGTAGAGACAGGGTTTCACTGTGTTAGCCAGGATGGTCTTGATCTCCTGACCTCAAGATCTGCCTGCCTCGGCCTTCCAAAGTGCTGGGATTACAGGCGTGAGCCGCCGCACCCAGCCCCACTCTTCTGTTTTTACTCTTACTCTTTTGCATCTGATTCTAAACATTGCTATCACAGTGGTCATTTTGAAGCATAAGTCAGATCATTTCCCTTTTCTCCTCAAAACCCTAAGGTAGTTCACATTTTTTTACTCAGAGTAAGGACCAAAGTGCTTACATTGGCATATAAAGTCCTCAAAGGTAGGATTTCCCATTACTGCTCTGAACACATCTACGATTCTCTCCATTGCTTACTCCACTCTAAACTTACTGTTCCTTGCTCCTGTTAGGACACGATAGGCATGCTATTTATTTGGGCCTTTGCCCCAATTGTTCCCTTTGAAACACTTCTCCTCATATATCCATATAGTTAACCCTGACGCTCTGTACTCACATGTCACATCAATGAAGACTACTCTTGCGACACTATTTTTGGTTTATTTTTTTGTTTTTGAGACGGGGTCTTACTCTGTCACCCAGGCTGGAGTGCGGTGGCGCTGTCATAGCTCACTGCACCCTTGAATTCCTGGGCTCGGGATTATTCTGACTTGGCCTCCCGAGTAGCTGGGACTACAGGTGCGTGCCACCACACCTGGCTAATTTTTTTTATTTTGTAGAGACAGGATCTTGCTGTGTTGCCCAGGCTGGTCTCAAACTCCTAGCTTCAAGTGATCCTGCCACCTCAGTTTCCTAAGTAGCTGGGACTATAAGTGCACGCCATTGTCCCTGGCTGATATTTAAAAAATTTTCTGTAGAGTCGTGTTCCTACTTTATAGTAGAGATGGTGTTTCACTGTGTTACTCAGGCTTGTCTTGAACTCCTGGGCTCAAGCAATCCCCCCACCTTGGCCTCCTGAAGTGCTGAAATTACAGCGAAACCCACCATGCCACCTTTATTTACTCTCTCTTTCTACCCCCAACCCCAGTTGCTATGTTTCAGTCCAATGCAGTTATTGTTTTCTGTGATGTTCAAATTGTCTCATATTTGGGCAGCAAGGAGCCCTTTCAGATTGGCTCATAAGTCCTTTCCACATGCCTCAGTAGTGCTTGGTAACTTTCTTGCTTGTAGGATTAACTTTGTAAAATTTTGTTCAGGAGTTCTGCCCTCTGTGTTCATTAATTAAATTCCACACACTGCCCCCCACCCTCACCTGGGTTTTTTGTTTTTGTTTTTGTTTTTGTTTTGAGATGAGGTCTTCCTGTGTTGCCCGGGCTGGCCTTAAGTGATCCTGCTCAGCCTCTCAAGTACGTGGGACTATAGGTGTGTGTGCACAACTGTGTTCAGCTAACGTTTTTTTCTTACAGCGTCCCTACCCAGTTTGGGTATAAAGATTATGCTGACCTCATGAACAAACTGGAGAGTATTTCCTCTTTCTATTTTCTAGAAAAGTTTGTATAAGGTAATAATTTCTAACTGAGTACAATGGCTCACATCTGTAATCTCAGCACTTTGAGAGACCAAAGCAGGAGGATCACTAGAGAGGCCAGTGAGACCAACCTTGGCAACAAAATGAGACCTTGTCTCTAAAAAAAAATTTTTTTTTAATTAGCCAGACATGATGGCACATGCCGATAGTCCCAGCTATTTGGGAGGCTGAGGTGGGAGCATCACAGGAGCCCAGGAATTCAAGGTTGCAGTGAGCTATGATACCACCACTGTACTCCAGCCTGTCTCAAAAAAAAAAAAAGAAAGAAAAGTTGGTAATCTAATCTGATGGTAACATCAGATGTTTGGTACTGGTAATGATAGATGGGTCTGAAGTAGTATTTATAAGACTGTTTGGGGGAAAAAGTATTTAAGAGTTAGAGGATTATTCAGCTTTTTATTTTATATTTTGAGTGACTTTTGATGTTATATTTTTGTAATATGTATTCATTTCAATAACTAAAATTTCAAATTTATTGGCATAAAGTTGTTTAAAAATACCCTTGTCTTTTTTTTTTTTTTTAATGTCAGTGGCGTCTATAGGGACACCTACTTTTTCATTCCCAACATTGACTTTTATTGTGCCTTCTCTTTTTCTGTTTGACCAGGGATCTCCCAGTATTACTGGTAACTTCAAAGAACTAACTTATGGCATTATTGATGTTCTCGCTCCTGTGATTGTTTCCTATTTCATCAGTTTTTAATTTATTATATCTTATTAATATTTAATTATTATCTTGTTCCTTTCTCCTCTCCCCTTTGATTTTCAGCTTTCCTTCTTTCAAATATATGCATTTAAATATGTAAATTTTCCTTTTAGTTCAACTCTTTTTTTTTATGTTTTTGTTATTAACTTCTAGATGAAAAGTAAAAGGCGATAGCAATAGCAATTCTTAGAAATTTGAGAGTTCCTTTAATGGCCCAGTATACTGTTAGTTTATAAATGTTCCATGTGTACTTGAAAAGAGTGTGTACTCTGTAGTGAATGAGTACAGTGCTCTTACATTAGGCTAAGTTAGACCAGCCTGGGCAACCTGGCGAAACCTTGTTTCAACAAAACAGTGGCCAGGCATGGTGGTGGGTGCCTATCGTCCCAGCTACTCGGGAAGCTGAGGTGGGAGAATAGCCTGAGTCTGGGAGGTAAGTCAAGGCTGTAGTGAGCCATGATCAGCGATTGTACCACTACACACCAGCGTGGGTGACACAGTGAGACTCTGTCTAAAGAAAAAAGAGAAAAACCTGAACTTTTTAGGTATTTGTGATCGATCATTTGCATTATTTGATAACAGGATTTTTTACTTCAATACTTTCTTGTCATGTTTTTAAAAAATTCTCTCTCTTTGGGCAAACCAAAGAAAGTAAAAAGAAAAAACTTTTTAGTCAGCAAATGTCTGTTTACCTTTTTCATTCAAGACAGCACTATGAGTTCTATGGTGAGACAGCCATACGTTTGTACTGCCAAAAGAGAGAGAAAGCATTTGGAGAGTATACAGATGATTGAAATACAAACATAGTGTGATGAGTGAACGAAGTGTCTGGATAAAGTGCTCAGAGCTGGGAGGAGGACAGTTTTCAAGGGGATTTTCCACTTTGACTTGAAGGTGTTCAGCTTTATTCTTCCAAACACCATAGTACAATGTATTTGACACCTTGTGTTTTGGCTATACAATCCTAGGAAGCGTTTATAAATGAAACTTGTTAGGTTATTCTTAGGTGTACAAGAGTTGAGCAGAAGTGCACCATTGGACTCCAGTTTTTAAGATAATGTCTGGGACATATCTGTATGCCTGAGTAATTTTTTTCTTCTTCTTTTGGTTTCTTGTTTATAGGAAGAGCATTAAGAAGTTGGTTTTGAAGAACCTTAATAATAGCAATCTCTTTTCTCCTGTTAATCGTGATTCAGAAAATCTAGCTTCACCATCTGAATATCCAGAAAATGGAGAGAGGTACACTGAATTCTGTTTTGAGTTCTTCTTAGTAGAGAGTTATAGTCTCATTTTTAAGACATTCTTAGGAATTTATGAAAATTTATGAAGTTTGATGAATATTACATAGAAGTATTACAAGCTTATGAGCGCCTAGAAATCAAATCATATTTTTGTCTTTTGAATTCATTAAACCTTAAAATTATTGGAGTTCTGATTTAGTGCTTCAGAACTATTTTGGTATTTGTGTATCTTGTTTTGGACAGGGTTAGCATGTATTTGACACCCTTTAGCCCTTTAAGGGATATTTTGTCTGTGATGATTTTCTTTCTTTTTTTTTTTTGAGACAGAGTCTCACTCTGTCGCCCAGGCTGGAGTGCAGTGGCATGAGCCAAGATCGCCTCCCATGCTCAAGCGATTCTCCTGCCTCACCCTCCCATGTAGCTGGGAATACAGGCACCCGCCACCATGCCTGATTAATTTTTGTATTTTTAGTAGAGACGGCGTTTCACCTTGTTAGCCAAGGATGGTCTCGAGCTCCTGACCTCAAGTGATCTGCCCGCCTTGGCCTCCTAAAACGTTGGTATTACATGCGTGAGCCACCGTGCCCAGCCTTGTACAGTGATTCTTAATAGTTAGGTATATATTCTTTCATATCAGAAATTTATTTATTTATTTTTTTTTTTTGAGATGGAGTTTTGCTCTTATTACCCAGGCTGGAGTGCAGTGGCACGATCTCGGCCCACTGTATCCTCTGATGTGAATTGTTCAAGCAATTCTCCTGCCTCAGCCTCCTGAGTAGCTGGGATTACAGGCATGCACCTCCACGCCCAGCTAATTTTTTTTGTATTTTTAGTAGAAACAGGGTTTCGCCATGTTGGTCAAGCTGGTCTTGAACTCCTGACCTCAAGCGATCCACCCGCCTCGGCCTCACAAAGTGCTGGGATTACAAGCGTTATCCACCACACCCAGCCGAAATTTCTTTCTTTATAAATATATTTTATTATATAAAGATTATGCACGAATGATATATTCTGTAACCTGCTTATTTCCATTTATTTTATTAGAAATGCCTTTCCATTATCTGTATGAATATATTTGTCTTTTCTTTTTTAATGATTGCATAAGTCATTATTGTGAATGTAAGATAACTTGACCAGTTCCTTGTTAGTGGACATTTAGATTATCCGGTATTCCTGTACTCAAAACAGTGCTTCAGTAAAAATCCTTATATACTGGCACAAGTTCTCAGGGCCTCCTGAGGGCTGTATCACGAAAAAGAAAAAAAAAAAAAGAAACCCTTTGTATAGACACCTTTGTACTCCTGTTTTTTTTTTCTTTTGGATAAAATTCTAGTGTTTTTTATTATTATTATTATTTATAAAGCATTTTTTAACATTTTGTTGATTGTAATCTTAAAAATCTAACATTTTTTTCAGTTTTTAATCTTAAAATTAACCAATTATTTGATTCCATATAGGAGAGTATACAATAGAGATAGTAATTATCTGTTTCACAGTACTGCTGTAGTAAGTATTAAGTGAATTTTTAATACATGGAACTATCCAGAACAGTGCCAGGCACTTAGTAAAGGCTCGGTATTAGTTAGCTATTATCATTGTTATTACTACTACAAGAGGCTAAGGTATTATTTCTTTTCCTTTGCAGATTTAGTTTCCTAAGCAAACCTGTTGATGAGAATCACCAGCAGGATGGAGATGAAGATTCCCTTGTTTCACATTTTTATACTAACCCTATTGCCAAACCTATTCCTCAAACCCCAGAAAGTGCTGGAAATAAACACAGCAACAGCAACAGTGTGGATGATACCATTGTTGCATTAAACATGCGTGCTGCTTTGCGAAATGGGCTGGAAGGAAGCAGTGAAGAAACGTCTTTTCATGATGAGTCACTTCAGGATGACCGAGAAGAAATAGAAAATAATTCTTACCATATGCACCCAGCAGGTCAGGTTCAGATTGGTGCATGTTTAATCTCTTACCAGTCATTCGAGATGACTTGCTTGTTGCAGATATTCAACATATGGAAGTCAGCTGTTTGGCATTTTAAGTATTATTTTATGTGATCCCACATAGGAGAGCTTAATATTTAAACAGTTTTATGCTTTAGTTGATTCAGAGTTCACATACTCTTTGGACCTTAGAGTATGAAAATTGATACATCTTTAATTATCCTGGTGTAGTCTAAAGAACCCAAATTTTATAGCCAAAGAGACTATCCTGATATTTTCCCTGGCTTTGTAAACTCGGATAGATTGCTTATTGTTTTTTGTTTGTTTGTTTGTTTTTTCTTGAGACAGTGTCGCTCTGTCGCCCAGGCTGGAGTGCAGTGTCGCAGTCTTGGCTCACTGCAACCTCAACCTCCAGGGATCAGGACCTCTCATCTCAGCCACCCGAGTAGCTGGCACTACAGGCACATGATACCACACCCCGTTAAGTTTTGCATCTTTTGTTTTGCCATGTTTCCTGGGCTGGTCTCAAAATCCTGGGCTCAAGTGATCCTCCTATCTTGGCCTCCCAAAGTGCTAGGATTACAGGCATGAGCCACCATGCCCAGCCCATTTTGGGTGTTTTGTGGTATTCTTGAAGTGTCTCCAAAATTTATATTTAGTTTTCTTATTGCCATTATATATATATATATATTTGGTTACTTAGTATCATAAGGAAAGAAGTTTATACTTTGACAGTAAGAATCCCAGGTAGCCTGGGTGTGGTGGCTCAGCACTTTGGCAGGCTTAGGTGGGAGGATCGTTTGAACCCAGAAGTTTGAAATCAGTCTGGGCAACATAGCAAGACCTGATATCTACAATAAACTTAAAAGTAATTAGCCAGGTGTGGTGGCATGTACCTGTAGTTGCAGCTACTACGGAAGCTGAGGTGGGAGGATCACTTGAACCCAGGATTCAAGGTTGCAGTGAGCTATGATTATGCCACTGAACTCCAGCCTGGGTTGACAGACCAAGATCCTGTCTCCTAAAAAAAAAAAAAAAAAAAAAAAGAATTCCAGGTGCTTAATCTGTATTTGTGTATGTATCTCTACATGAATTTATTATGCTACTATATATCTTTTTAATAGGAAGTTTTATATTCTAGTTTTTTCATTTACCTTGTTTGCTGCCACCCAATTTAGAGTTCCCTTCCCAAGAAGCAAGTATACAAGTGGGTGTTGCTGGAGGCTGGAGTTTGGTCTGATGTTGGCCTGAAATACTTTTCTCTCAGAGAGCAAGTTAGCCTTATATCTGACTACAAGTAGGACAAGGAGTGAATAGAGCAAGCAAGCACACCAGCGTTCCACTACTTTCCTTGAGTTTTTCAGCGCTCTGCTTTTTTTATTTTGGTATTTTTTTTTCTATTTTAATTTATTCTTTCTTTCTTCTTTTCTTCCTTCCTCCCTCCCTCCCTTCCTTCCGAGTTTCACTCTTGGTTGCCCAGGCTGGAGTGCAGTGGTGTGATCTCAGCTCACTGCATCCTCTGCCTCCCAGGTTCAAGCGATTCTCCTTCCTCAACCTCCCGAGTAGCTGGGATTACAAGCACCCGCCACCATGCCCAGCTAATTTTTGTATTTTTGGTAGATAATGGATTTTTGCCATGTTAGCCAGGCTTGTCTTGGACTCCTGGCCTCAAGTGATTTACTCACCCCGGCCTCCCAAAGTCCTTGGATTACAGGCATGAGCCACCTTGCCTGGCTGGATTTTTCATCTTTCTTTTAGCTCTTTATTTGGGAGTGTAAATTTGAAAAATAAAAGAGGTTTATGCAAAACAGGCAATGAAACAAGAAGAATTGGGTTTGGAGTTTTATATCTACTTCTATTGTTAAATTACAGTATAAGCCAACACAAGTTATTTCCACTGTAGGTTTTGGTATCCTTGTGTGTAAAATAAAATAAAAAGCTGATTAAGCTTTTCTCAGAGTATTTTATGAGATACCTTTTATAGTCCGGGATGTTAATGGGTGTCCTTTGAAAATAATGTTCTGTGGTTAAATCTGGAAAAACACGAGGTTAAGCAGAGTTTAATAGGCTATTTACTGTAAGTTTTAGACTCTTTGATGTATCATATGTATGTTCTTCAAACCTATTTGACCATGAAGCTTTTCACACACACACACACACACACACACACACACACTCACACACCCCTTCTCCTAGGAATCATGTTTGGTAGAAAAGTAGTTTGGAAAATTCTTCATTCTGATATATTTTCTCTTTATATGATGATTTAGTTGCTGATTATTTCAGGTTATTTTTTTTTCTGTTTTTTTTTTTTTTTTTGTCACAGGTATTATTCTCACTAAGGTTGGTTACTATACTATTCCATCTATGGATGACCTTGCTAAAATTACCAATGAAAAAGGAGAGTGCATTGTCTCTGATTTCACTATTGGTCGGAAAGGTAAGTGTGAGTTTAGCACTTAGTGATTAAGCCAGAGAGTTGCACCTTATTTTTGTAATTAGGGGAAGCTTTTGATAGCTGAATCTTCATTTTCCTACATTTGGGCCCACCTTGGCCTGAATCTTAAATACTTTGATTGATAAGTAACAAAACAAGAAAGACTGGAACCATGTAAATTTTTTTATTTTTATTTATTTTATTTTTTCTGTTGAGATGGGGTCTTGCTACATTGCCTGGCAGATCTCAACTCCTGGGGTCAAGCATTTCTCCTGCCTCAGCCTCCTGAGAAGCACAGAACCATATAATATTCTTTGGGCTTAGGTATACCTGTTTGGTGCTAGTAACTATTTGGGTCATTTTAATTTTCTGTAATTAAAGAAAATACTGGAAATACCAAGAACTTCTGAGAAAATTGAATAATAGGCAAGAGATGTATAACACTTAGCATGAACTTCATGTTATTATTACTGATAATTTTCTTGTGGGAAATGCCACTGTGCTATATTGTATTAAAAAGAGCTCAGGCATTTTAACCCATATGCCAGGCCAAGTGCGAAGGTTTGTTTATATAGCGTCATTATAGATAAATGGGAAGAGATTTAAGAAGGTTGTTTTGAGGCTAATGGGAGTTTTATAAAAATGCAGATGTTAGGCCTGTCGCAGTGACTCACACCTGTAATTCTAGCGCTTTGGGAGGCTGAGGTGAGAGGATCACTTGAGCTCAGGAGTTCTAGACCAGCCTGGGCAACATAGTGAGACCTCACCTTTACCAAAAGTAAAGAAAATGAGCCAGGCCTGATGATATGTGCTTGTAGTCTCAGCTACTTGGGAGGGTGAGGTGGGAGGATTGTTTCAGTTTAGGAGGTTCAGGCTGCAGTGAGACAGGACCACTGCACTTCAGTCTGGTCAACAGAACAAGACCTTGCCAAAAAAAAAAAGAAAAGAAAAGAAAAGAAAAATGCAGATTTTAAATCAGATAACAGTGTAATTGAAGTTACTCTCCCTAAGTCCCCATTCTTACCAGTCTAGGAATTGCTGAATTATTTAAAATACTAATACTTAAAACTGCTTTCTCCTTGTGATTGTTTAATCACTATAGTTGTAAAGTAGGTATTTGCCTTCATACAGAATGAATTTTTAACTATTTGCTCTGATTTATAGGTTATGGTTCAATCTATTTTGAAGGAGATGTGAATTTGACAAATCTAAATTTGGATGATATTGTGCATATCCGGAGGAAAGAAGTAGTTGTCTACTTAGATGATAACCAAAAACCACCTGTGGGTGAAGGGCTAAATAGGTAAGAGTTTATGTACATACAGAAAATTATCAGCTAAATCACAATTTTTTTTTCTGTAAACATAAATGTGTTTAGATGTATGCTTCTGTAGCTTGCTTTCCTTACTATAGAGTACATTTATTGTCTCTACTTTGATTTAAAAGTATAAATGGCAAAGAAATGCTATACTGTGATTTTGAACTCCTTTTCCCTGATTTTATTTTTTAATTCATTTTTTTACATTCCTTGGATTCGATTCTATTCTATTTTATTTCATTTCATTTCATTTTACTATTATTATTTTTTTTTTTTGAGATGGAGTTTTGCTCTTGTTGCCCAGGCTGGAGCGCAGTGGAATGATGTCAGTTCACTGCAACCTCCGACTCCCGGGTTCAAGCGATTCTCCTGCCTCAGCCTCCCAAGTAGCTGGGATTGTAGGCGCCCGCCACCATGCCTGGCTAATTTTTGTATTTTTAGTAGAGACAGAGTTTCACCATGTTGGCCAGGCTGGTCTTGAGCTCCTGATTTCAAGTGATCCTCCCACCTCAGCCTCCCAAAGTGCTGGGATTACAGGTGTGAGCCACGCTGCCCAGCCTCCCTGATTTTATTGGGTCCAACTGCTAATTTCAAAAACTCTTTTTAATAGTATTTTGCTTTATTCCTGTTTCTGCTGTGGCTATACTTAACTCTCTATTTTAGTGTGAGATCCTAGCTTCTAATATCTTAGTCAAGTGAAAGGGCTGTAGTGAAAATTATTTATCTTCATAACCTACCAACCCTGAATCAGGAAGAAATAGAAAATCTGAGCAGATCAATCGATCCTTTCCTTTCCTTTCCCCTTCCGCTTCTTTTCTTTTCCCTTTCTCTTCTTTCTTTCTTTTCTTTCTTTCTTCTTTTGAGACAGAGTTTCACTCCTTTGCCCAAGCTGGAGTGCAGTGGTATAGTCTCAGCTTACTGCAACCTCTGCCCCCTGGGTTCAAGCGATTCTCCTGCCTCAGCCTCCAGAGTAGCTGGGATTATAGGTGCCCGCCACCATGCTCAGCTAATTTTTGTATTTTTAGTAGAGACAGGGTTTTGCCATGTTGACCAGGCTGGTCTTGAACTCCTGACCTCAGGTGATCTGCCCACTTCGCCCTCCCAAAGTGCTGGGATTACAAGCATGAGCCACTGTGCCGGGCCAATAATTAGTAAAGAGATTGACTCAGTAATCACAAACTTGTCAAAAAAGAAAAACCTAGAATCAGATGGCCTCATTGGTGAATTCTACTAAGCGTTTAAAGAAATAACACCAGTCCTACTCAGACTCTTCCAAAAAATTGAAGAGAAGGGAATACTTTCACACTCATTCTATGAGGCAAGCGTTACCTTATTCAGTAACCAAAGACACTGCAAGGAAAGAAAACTACAGACCACTTGATGAGTATATTGATGAAAAAGTCATCAACAGAGCCCTAGGAAGCAGAATTTAACAGCGTATTGAAAGGATTACACATCATGGCCAAAAGATTTATTCTGGAATGCATGGATGGCTTAACATACAAAAGTCAGTGAAACATACCACTTTAACAAGATAAAGGAATATACCACATCATCATCATCATCATAATACAGAAAAAGTATTTACCAAAATCCAACACTCTTTCATAATAAAGGCACTCAAATACAGAAGGCTTTTCCTGTGAGACAAGGCAACACAAGGATGCCTGCTTTTGCCACTTTTCCCAAATATACTACTGCAAGTCCTGGTCAGAGCAATTAGGCAAGAAAAATAAAAGTTAATACAGTTTTGAAAAGTAGTAAAATTATCTCTGTTCTTTGATGACATCTTGTGTAGAAATCCCTAAAGATGCCACACAAAAAAACTTACTAGTTATAAACAAATTCAACAAAGTTACAGGATACAGAATCAACATGGAAAAATCAGTTGCACTGCTATACACTAACAACAAAAATTAAGAAAACATTTCATATATATAGTAGCATCAAAAAGAATAAAATATACACAAATAAACTTAACCAGGGAGGTAAATGACTTGTTTATACAAAACTGCAAAACATGGTTGAAAGAAAGTACACCAGACACAGATAAATGGAAGACAGACCATACTCATGAGTTAGAAAACTTCATATTGTTCAGCTAGGTGCAGTGGCTCGTGCCTGTAATCCCAGCACTTCGGGAGGCCTAGGCGGGCAGATCACTTGAGGTCAGGAGTTGAGACAAGTGAGCCTGGCCAACATGGTGAAACCCCACCTCTACTAAAAATACAAAAATTCGCCAGACGTGGTGGCGCATACCTGTAATCCCAGCTACTCCGGAGGCTGAGGCTAGAGAATGGCTTGAACCTGGGAGGCGGAGGTTGCAGATTACACCACTGCACTCCAGCCTGTGTGACAAAGCGAGACCACGTGTCAAAGAAAAAAACTTAATATTGTTAAAATGTCAGTACTGCCTACAGTGAAGCATAAATTTAATGCAGTCCCTATCAAAATCCCAGCGGCATGATTTGTAGAAATAGAAAAATCCATATAGAATTTCAGAAATCTCCAAATAGCCAAACACTCTCAAAAAAGAACAATTTGGAGGTCTCACATGTCCAAATTTCAAAACTTATTATAAATCTATAATAATCAAAACAGTATGGTAGTGGCATACAGACATAAATACCAATGGAATGTAATAGAGAGCCCAGAAATAAAACTTCATCTATATAGTCGAATGATTTTTGAGATAGGGTCTTGCTGTGTCACCCAGGCTTGAGTGTAGTGGTGTGATCATGACTCTCTGCAACCTCTGCCCCCAGGTTCAAGCTATTCTCCTGCCTCAGCCTCCTAAATAGCTGGGACCACAGAGATGCACCACCACGCCCGGCTAATTTTTGTATTTTTTGTAGAGATGAGGTTTTGCCTTGTTGCCTGCCCAGCCGGTCTCAAACTCCTGAGGTGAAGTGTTTGGCCTGCCTTGGCCTCCCAAAGTGTTGGGATTATAGGTGTAAACCACCACGCCCAGTCTTAAATGATTTTCAGTAAGGTATAAAAATTACTCGGGGGCAGGGTGGTGTGGAGCACACATAAAAAAAACTAAAAAAAAAAAAAATTATTTGATCGGGAGAAGACAGTCTCTTCAACAAAGGATGCTGGCAAACTGGATATCCACATACAAAAGAGTGAAGTTATGCCATATACAAAGATTAACCCAAAATGGATAAAATACCTAAGTGTGAGATCCAAAAATTTACAACTCTTAGAAGAAAACACAGAGGAAAAGCTTCATAACATTGGTTTTGGCAATGATTTCTCAGATATAACATCAAAAAGTATAAGCACCAAAAGCAAAAATAGACAAATGACACTATATCAAACTGAAAACCTTCTGCACAGCAAAAGACAAGTGAAAAGGCAACCTATAAGAATAGGAGAAAATATATGCCAATCATATTTGATAAGGGGTTCATAGCCAGAATATAAAGAATCCTGCAATTCAACAGCAACAACAAAAATAATAACCCATTTAAAAAATGAGCAAAGAAGATGGGTGCAGTGGCTTATGCCTGTAATCCCAGCACTTTGGGAGGCAGAGAAGTGAGGATTGCTTGAGGCCAGGAGTTCAAGAAAATAGGAAGACCCTGTATCTACAAAAAAAAATTTTAAGTAGTCAAGCATGGTTGCACACACCTGTAGTCCTAGCTGCTCAGGAGGCTGAGGCAGGAGGTTCAGCTGAACTCAGGAGTTTCACCATGTTGGCCAGGTTGGTCTCGAACAGAGGTTACAGTGAGCTGTGATCATGCCACTTCTCTCCTGCCTGAGCGGGAGAGGGAGACCCTGTCTCTCAAAAAAGAAGAAAATATTGGCAAAGGACTTGAATCGACATTTCTCCAAAGATATACAAATGACCAAGGAGTACATGAAAAGATGCCCAACATCACTAATCATTAGAGAAATGCAAATCAAACTACAATGAGATACCATACCCATTAGGATGGTTACTAGAAAAAAAAAAAATGGCCGGGCGTGGTGGCTCACGCCTATAATCCCAACACTTTGGGAGGCCGAGGCAGGTGGATAGCTTGAGCCCAGTCTGACCAACATGGCAAAACCCCGTCTCTACTAAAAGTACAAAAATTAGCTGGGTGTTGTGGCGGGCACCTGTACTCTCAGCTACTTGGGAGGCTGAGGTTCGAGACTCACTTGAACCCGGTAGGCAGAGGGTGAAGTGAGCTAAGAATGTGCCACTGCACTCCAGCCTGGGTGACAGAGCGAGACTCAGTCTAATAAGAAACAAATTGCCATGTGTCTGCCAATGTGGAGAAATTGGAACCTTTGTGCACCATTGGTGGGAATGTGTAACAGTGCAGCCACTGTGGAAGACAGTATGGTGGTTCCCGGAAGAGTTAAAAATAGAATTACTGTCTGATCCAGCAGCTCCACTTCTGGGTATATATACAAAATTGAAAGCAGGATCTCAAGCATTTGTATACCCATGTTCATAGCAACACTATTCACAACAGCCAGTAGGTAAAAGTCACCCAAATGTTCATTGATAAGTGAATGGGTACACAAAATGTGGTATATACATGCAATAAAACACTATTCAGCCTACAGAGAAGATTAGCATGGTCCCTCACAAGGATAACACACAAATACATGAAGCATTCCATATTTTTTATTTTAAAAATTAAAAAATATATGTTATTCAGCCTCAGGAAGAAAATTCTGATATATGCTATAACATGGATGAACCTTGAGGACATGCTAAGTGAAGTAAGCCAGTCACAAAAAGACAAGTACTATATTGTGATGTATCTGGGATAAGTCAACTTTATAGAAACAAAGTAGAGTAGTATTTGCCAGGGGCTCCGGGAAGCAGGAAA
Source organism: Homo sapiens (assembly GCF_000001405.40). Lineage (NCBI taxonomy): Eukaryota > Metazoa > Chordata > Mammalia > Primates > Hominidae > Homo > Homo sapiens. Next base: position 3,714,564 of record NC_000011.10, on the reverse strand, counting down.
TGGAGAGCAGCATCTACCTATTACATCCTAGTAGTCACTGTGTTTAGATGTAAGGCATACAAAATGAATAGGATACAACACTTGAACTCTGGTATTAATATTAGAAGTGGTACACCACCACTCTTGTAGTCATCTTCATACCGATATTCCTGATACTTCATTTTCTAAGCATTTGTTTTTAGTAAATGGGTAGTAGCTGTTTTTTATTATTATTTAGTACGGTAGCCCTTTAAGACCTGCATAAGACTTGGTTCGTACCACTGGACTGTAACTTAAATAAGTTAGTGATTCCTAGCTTAAGTGTGAAAATGAGATTGGAAATAATTGATGTACCATGGTAATTTAAATAAATGCAGTCTGACTCTAGAACCAGATATTGAGTTGTCAATGTAGGAGTGACTCCTTGCTCTTAAGCTTATGGGGCAAAACTCAAGTTTATGACACATGCAGAATAATTCCAAGGCAGCATAGTTACCATTATTCACTATTTATGTGTTAGGTGGCTTTCTGGTCTTATATATGAAGCGCTTTTACTTTAATTGGTTACTTTAATTGGTTATGTTTTACAGGAAGGCTGAAGTTACATTGGATGGAGTTTGGCCAACAGATAAAACATCTCGTTGTTTAATAAAGAGCCCAGATCGCCTTGCTGATATCAACTATGAAGGAAGATTGGAAGCAGTTTCAAGGAAACAGGGAGCTCAATTCAAAGAATACCGGCCTGAAACTGGTTCTTGGGTGTTTAAGGTATAGTCATTTAACCCAGTTCAGACTTTTATAAACTATATTTGGAGTCACATAACGTTTATGTTGGAAGGGATCCTTTGCTAAATTCTATTGATTGATTGATGGGGTTCTTGCTCTGTTGCTCAGGCTGGAGTACAATGGTGGGATCATAGCTCCCTGCAGCCTCAAATTCCTGGGCTCAAGCAATCCTTCTGCCTCCGCCTCCCAAGTAGCTGGGATTATAGGCATGCACTACCATGCCTGGCTACTTTTTAAAATGTTTGTAAAGATCGAGTTTCTCAGTGTTGACCAGGCTGGTCTCCAACTCCTGGGATCAAGCAGTCTTCCCTCCTTGGCCTCCCAAAAGTACTGTGATTACAGGTGTAAGCCACTATACCCAGCCAAATTCTCTTTATTTTTAGAAATTTGGAGAGAGATGTACAGATACATTATGATTCACTCCAAACTACAAACCTAGTTAAAATTCAGCAGTAATGAGTTCTTACAAACTGTGGGCTCGTGATTCAAGTCCTCTACCCAACTCCTATGAGGATTTATAAATACATTTCTAAGGTGTAGTTTTTCTAATGTTTGTCATCATTAGGGACTTCAGTAATTCATCAGGCAGGTGTCTATTGGATCAACTCTTCCTATGTAATTGTCATTCTTACTTTTAAAGATTTTTGGAGATGAAGAGGTTGACTGTCCGTAATAGTTTAATCCAATGATTTCCTCCCATTCTAGGCTGGTTGAATTATTTAACTTGTTAAAGGCCCTTGGGTAGATAGAGGATAACAGGCAATATATGTCTGTGAAAATAATAACAAGTCTTTGGATTAAGTTTCCTATATTAATGATTACAGTTTAAATGACATTTTAATGTATATTATGTAATCTTTATTAATTTACTAGTATGAGCAACTAGAGCATACATCAAACGTCTTCTAAATCTTAGATAAAAGTGTGATAGGTGATATATTTTGCTTTAAATACTTAGATATTTCTCCCCTTTTCTTTCTTTTTTCTTAAGGTAATGCTGCAAGATTGCAAAGGCAGGTATTGGGAAAGCATAATGTTTAAGTTGTTTTGTGGGGTTCTTCTCTTCCTTAGGTCTCCCATTTTTCTAAGTATGGCCTTCAGGATTCTGATGAAGAGGAGGAGGAGCATCCGTCTAAAACTAGTACAAAGAAGTTGAAGACTGCTCCTTTGCCTCCTGCAAGCCAGACTACGCCCTTGCAGATGGCTCTTAATGGCAAACCTGCACCTCCACCTCAGGTAGAGAAAAAAGGACAGTGAATTTGAATGGAATCCGTGATACCGAAGTTGAAAGCAAGTCATTCAGCTAATACAAAGCTGTTTTATGACCCTTGGAACTTTGAAGAGTACAAACATTGGCAATCACGTTGAAACAAGTGCAAGGGAGGGCGTGAGGTCTTGCAGGCATCTGTCTTTTTACTGGAGAGATTTAAAGAATTCTCTTGCTGTTTGGATTATTCCTCTACAGATTGTCATTTTTAAACCCTTTGTTCTCTCTCATTTGGACTTGCTGAATTCTCTGCTCAGTGATTAACTTAAGATTTGCTCATGTGGGTTCATGCACAGTAAATTCTGCCTTTATTGACTACCTGATGTGCAGTTTAATCTTTTTCTTTACCTCCATGGTTTTTTAAAAGTTAAATTAGCTTTCTGAAAGGGTTTTTAATCTCCATTTTTTTAAAGTTGTTTGCTTATACTTCGGGTAACCTTGATATTTGTATTTTAATAGTACATAATCTTTATGAAAAATAGTTTGGGAATGTAAATGAATTATTATTTGGCTTGGGGAGATTAGGGCCTACATTGTTTATCGCAATTACTTGTATCATTGATACGGGATTTCTTTGTAAAGCATCCTCTACCTCTCAGCTGCTGAAAGCTAGACCTTTGGTATTTTCCATGCTATAATTCTTATGGCTGCTGAAATGTGTGGTTTTTATGATTTATTAAATAATCTCTTAGGAGGCATTTCTGGAGAATGTGTGTATATACATGTTTGCGCGTACAGGGGAGGGGAGGGTATGATAAATGTGGGAAACTGGAAATATATTGACTTTTATGTTTATAATCTTGGTAGCATTTAGAATGCCCCTAAGAAATCTCCATTGACAAATGAAATGCTATAGACTTGGTTTTCCAGTTATCCATATTCATTTTGTCTGTCATATGCTTTGTATCATCTCCTTCTTTCCTAATTTTTTATAACCTTATATATATATTTATTATAAATATATGTATTTCTGAGGGAAAGAGTCAGATGGCCTTATTTTCTGTAACAAAAGTAATATGTAGGATCTTAAAGATAACCTCTTTCCAGTTGGCCCAGCTGAAAAAGAAAAGCTTCATTTATGGACAGACAGGAAAATGTTTGTAATGTTGACAGTAGTTTCTAGGTTCTTTAATTGCCAGAATAGAAATAGTAGAAAAATAACTATAAACTCCTATATTGACACTTGTGTTTGTGAGAGCTCTTTGAAAAATTGAGCACCCAAAAATTTCAGATCAAGGTTCTAGCAAAAAGAGGTAGTAAGGATTTAAAATGGGCAAGTAGCTTTTTTTTTCCTTGAGAAAGAGTTGTCGCCCAGGCTGTAGTGCACTGGTGCAGTCTCGGCTCTCTGTGGCCTCTGCCTCCCAGGTTCAAGCAGCCTCATTCCTCAGCCTCCCAAGCAGCTGGGACTACAGGGCATACCACCACACTCATCTAATTTTTTGTATTTTTAGTAGAGAGGGGATTTTGCCATGTTGGCCTCAACTCATGTTGTCTTGAACTCCTGGCCTCAAGTGATCCTCCCACCTTGGCCTCCCAAAGTGCTGGGACTACAGGCGTGAGTCACCATGGCTAGCCTAAAATGGGCAAGTAGCTTTGACTGAGGAAGTGGAAATGGTCTTTGACCTTTTGGTTGGGAAGAGCAGAAATGAGAGAAATGGATAGAGGTATTTAAATGTCCAGACTTTAGGTTTTGTTTACTTGCATTATTTTCTAAGGCCTTGAGCTTGGTATGTTGGAGCAGAAATGTAGGACTCTAGAGAATTCTTTCATATTTATTGCTCACTGACCCAAGTGAAGCTGATGGGAAATGCCAGTGGTTTGTTATTAGCACCAAAGACCCTACATTTTACTTTGCATGGGGAAACTACTTGTGCCGTTTGAGTATACTGGAAATAGCAGTCTTCTCATCTCTGTGTCAAGATGACTGCATACCATCACCTCACCCCTTAAAGAGGTTGATTGCAAAACTTCAGCTTCTTTTTTTCTTGGGGGAGAGAGGCCTGTTTCTTTAGGTATTTAGGAAGATGTGTATTTTTCTTTAATGGTCACATTTGTTCCATTACCTTTTATATAATATCGTCAGTCCCCTGTTTCCAGTTGGTTCTTAAGCCTCGCTTTTGCTCTTAAAAAAAGCAAGTAAATCTAAGCAACCAGAAAACATAAAGGTAACTAAATTTTCATGTGATCTTCTCTCCTGTACCTTTTAGGTTAGAGAAAATGTTGGTTGGCAGATAAACCTTAGTCACAGAGATGAATTAAGGTAGTTGCAGAGTATTTTGTTCTGTGGTTAGAACATTAGTTTCAAAATCCTGGTCTGGGATCCAATTTCCAGCTGGCTGCATCAATGCCCTGGTAAGCTTGACTTAGATTCCACAGATTTGGCATGGGGCTCAGGCATATTTATATTTTAATGCTTCTCCCCAGGTGGTTGAAATGTGCAATCAGGTTTCAAAACTATGTTGAAAGACCTCAGGCCTTTGGCACTCAGGTAGAGATACGTGTAGGTTTTTACCTCAGCCTTTTTTTTTTTTTTTGTAAACTTTTTTTTTTTAAATTATTATTGTACTTTAAGTTTTAGGGTACATGTGCACAGTGTGCAGGTTAGTTACATATGTATACATGTGCCATGCTGCTGTGCTGCACCCATTAACTCGTCATTTAGCATTAGGTATATCTCCTAAAGCTATACCCTCCCCCCTCCCCCCTCCCCCCACCCCACAACAGTCCCCAGAGTGTACCTCAGCCTTATAACTGAAGTGTAACTTGTGTTCAGTAACATCAAGGCAGGCTAATTGGCTTGCTCAGAAACTTAGCATTGTTCACTAAGTGAATTTAAGTTAATGACTTTTTTTTTTTTTCTGAGGCAAAGTTTTCCTATGTTCCTCAGGCTGGTTGAACTCTTGGGACCAAGCAATCCTTCCCACCTCAACCTCCCAAGTAACTGGGACTGCAGGTGCATGCCATCATGCCAGCTAATTTATTTATTTATTGTTTTAGAGACAGGATCTTGCTGTGTTGCCCAGGCTGGTCTCAGATTCTTGGCCGAATGAGTATCCTGCCTTGGCCTCCCAATGTGCTGGGATTATAGGCCAGGAGCCACAGCGCCCTGCCTAAATAAGTTTTAAACTTTTTTAAAGGAAAAAAGTGATTATTTTTTGTGGAGATGGGGCCTCAGTATGTTGCCCATGCTGGTCTCGAACTTCTAGGCTCAAGTGATCCGCCTCAGCCTCCCAAAGTGCTGGAATTACAGGTATAAGCCACCACGTCCAGCCAAAAACATTCTTTACAGTTAGAAAACTAGTTCTTTTTGAGACAGGCAATAATAGTAGTTATATTGGATCAAACTGTTTGCCTGAGAGGACAGTATGAATTATTTAAATATCTGTTTGACCTTGGACTTGTCATTCACTCTGTTGAATGAGGGTGTCTTGATATATCTTACTTTTCCTACTGAATTAAGCAATGCTGTATCGTTAGGTATTGGCAGCCTTGTTTCAATGAGGAACAGTCTTTTGAGAGATCTCAAGTCATTGAAGGTTTCAGTTGTGAAACGTTACCCTCCATATATTTAGACAATCATTTTACAGATATAATCTGTGTAGTTAGTATTTGTAATGGGCCATGCCATTATTTGGAAATAAATATGATGCTGCCTTCAAGAGATTATACTGTAGGAAAGGGAGAGTTAAAATGGTGTCCTCGTTGGCTGCTTCTTCCTATACGTGCCGTTCTTTTCCATCGACCTCCCAGTAGGCTTTCTCTTCCCTTTCCTCAGTTACTTCTGAGCCATCTTTTTTTTTTTTTTTTTAAGTACACCTTTTTTTTCAGGACTGGCCTAAAAAGGGTACCTGATCTGCCAAGATATCCAGGAAAATAAGTACACAGACAGCTTTGGGGAGTATGTTGCAGTTACTTAGATATACTTCAACAAAATTTACATATAGGGCATTCTAGGCACTTAACCATAGTTTCATAGTAATTCCCTTCCCCCTTGTCCACTTATTAGATGATATCTTACAGGTTTGAAGTCTGTTTGTGTGAATAGAATAAATAAAACCTTGATCCTTAGCATTCTTCGTAAACATACGACGAGTCCCTTAGGTCTCTAATCTGGTTATTTAACGAAATCCTCTCATGTTATCTGAAACAGTGTTCAAGGTAAGCATCTCTTGCTATTAGCAGTGTTCCTTTGTTGAGTAGTATAGTAAATTGGAACCACTCTCCCCCTCCCCATTTTTTCTTTCCTCCCACTCACTCTCCTTATCTTTTTATAGTTTACTGCTTTCTCTACCATGTGTCAAGCACTGCATTAGGTAATAGAAATAACGAAATAAATAAGTGTTGAACTTAGTGATGTGCTAGACACAGAAAACAGCCATAAACCATTTTATCAAGCCTTCACGACCTGGCCTATTTTATTTATTTTTCTTTTTGAGATGGGAGTTTAACTCTCACCCAGGCTGGAGTGCAGTGGCACAATCTTGGCTCACTGCAGCCTCCACCTCTCAGGTTCAAGCAATTTTCCTGCCTCAGCCTCCTAAGTAACTGGGAGTACAGGCACACGCCACCACACCTGGCTAATTTTTGTATTTTTAGTAGAGACAGGGTTTCTTCATGTTGACCAGGCTGGTCTCGAACTCCTGACCTCAGGTGATCCACTCACCTCAGTCTCCCAAAGTGCTGGGATTATGGGTGTGAGCCACCATGACCAGCCACTGTTCTTAAAATTTAAGTGGGAGCCCTGGGTGTCATTACCAGGGCTTTTTCCTCCTTCAGGATTTTTTTTTTTTTTTTGAGACAGAGTCTCATTCTGTTGCCCATGCTGGAATGCAGTGGCCCAGTCTTGGCTCACTACAACCTCCATTGCCTCCCGAGTAGCTGGGATTATAGGCATGTGCCTGTAATCCCAGGCACATGCCACTACATCGGCTAATTTTTATATTTTTAGTAGAGACAGTTTCACCACCATGTTGGCCAGACTAGTCTTGAACTCCTGACCTCAAGTGATCTGCCCACCTCGGCCTCCCAAAGTGCTGAGATTACAAGCTTGAGCCATCAAACCCAGTCTAGAATTTTTTTTGGTTTGAAAATATTTCAAATATTGGCTTAGTCATTTGCTAACATTTTAGGATATAGGTAATTGAATTTGTACTGTACCAATTAATTTACAGTGTGTTTCAGCTTTGAGTGTTTACCCTTTTAAATCATAGACTGTTAGTCATAGTTGTCTTTAAAACTGCTTAATAAATGTAAATATAACTCTTGACATTTTTAAACATAAAGGGATTCTTCCCAGATTAAAATTGTTCCTAATATTATTACTTTGTTTTTTGGAAGAGTAGATAGTGCTCGTATCTTACGTGGTACTGCACAAGTAGAGACCAGCTAACCTTAGGATTCAGTAACCCAAAAGTTAAATTCCAGACCCAAGATTGTGTTGACTAGAAATTTATTTCTAAATGTTTTTAAGAAAAAGCAAAGTTACTGGAGACTTTGATATTTGTACCTTTTGTTCTTTTTTTCCAATGTCTTCTGGCAGTGTTAGGAAAAGGTGACCCTGTGTAAATCAGAAAATTGTAGTTGCTAGCTAGATCAAGTAAAGCATAATCTTTGTCTCTGAAGACCACCATTTGTTTCACCATGGGTGCTGGTTTAGGTCCCAGACACCAGGTCGTAATATTAGAATGGGATGACTACATGAATCCTTATTTGGATCAAAGTACTGGTTTATCTTGGGGTAATTGATTTTAAATCACTCTAGCAAATCTGCTACCTTACCTCACCATAGAATGGGCTGAATCTAATAATTGTTGTATCATATTCTGAATAAAGTAAATCTGATTTAGAATCTATTTCTGTTTGGTATAATTTAATGCTGCTTTCCTGATCTTTCTGCTGTCTACAGAGCCAGAGCCCAGAGGTGGAGCAGTTAGGGAGGGTTGTGGAACTGGACAGTGACATGGTAGATATCACCCAGGAGCCAGTTTTGGATACCATGTTAGAAGAGAGCATGCCTGAGGATCAGGAACCTGTGTCTGCCTCAACACATATTGCATCTTCACTGGGAATTAATCCACATGTCTTACAGGTGAAGTTCTAACCCACCTTTTTTGTAACAGAAAGCCAAACTAATATTTTATCTCCATTGCATAGGATCAGGTCTCTTCCTTGGTTATTAAGATCATTGAGTGCTCACTGTAATGGGGAAAAAAAATACAAGAATATGGCCAATGTCTGGGCCTCATTCTCTTATTCAAGGAGATAAGGCTATATTGAGAACTAGTAGATAGGGTTTCTGGTTTTAACTGCATTAGAATCCAGAGTCCTAGTTCCAATCCCAATTTTGTTGTGTTTTGTTTTTGAGGCAGAGTTTCTTTGCTCTGTCGCCCAGGCTGGAGTGGAGTGGTGTGATCTTGGTTCACTGCAACCTCCACCTCCTGGGTTCAAGTGATTCCCCTGCCCCAACCTCCTGTGTAGGTGAGATTACAGGCGTGTACCACCACCACACCTGGCTACTTTTTTTTTTTTTTTTTTTTGTATTTTTAGTAGAGAAAGGGGTTTCTCCATGTTGGTCAGTCTGGTCTCGAACTCCTGACCTCAGGTGATCTGCCCGCGTTGGCCTTCCAGAGTGCTAGGATTATAGGCATGAGCCACTGAGCCCGGCCCCAATCCCAATTTTGTAACTTTATTACTTTGTGCAAGTCATATAATAGCTGTGAGTACTGATTTTTCTCTATAAAATATTACTTTGTCTACATCACAGGGTACTTTTAAGACTCTGTATGTGCTCCACAAAATTTAAAAATTTTAGTACCTAGTAGCACAGGTTTCTTTAAGCTATGTCTTTACTTCCCTTTATCCCAGTGCCTTTTGGTGTGTTATGTGTTTAACCTTTGGCTTATGTTTGACTTTAAAATTATTTTATCAGCAAACATAGCAACTGCTGTGTGCCAGGCTCTGGTGAGACGCTATAGATACAAAGAAGAGAAGTATTATATGAATTCTGCCTTTCAGGCACACACAGTGTAATGGGGTCCATCCATCACACAAATATACTAGCTCTGTACACAGCCTTGAGGAGGAACAATATTTTTGGTTGTTGTAAACTGCATTTTTTTTTGGTATGGCCTTTTGATTCTGGGAAGCACATTCATTCTATAGATATTGCCTTTTTAGATCATGAAAGCATCATTGCTTACTGATGAAGAAGATGTAGATATGGCACTGGATCAACGCTTCAGTCGCCTGCCTTCCAAAGCAGATACTTCTCAAGAAATCTGTTCTCCCAGACTCCCCATTTCAGCATCCCACTCGTCGAAAACTCGTTCACTAGGTACAGTATAAAAGATGCTATTTTACAAGAAAGCTGTACAGTCATCAAGTCCTGCTTTTCACTTTTCTTCTTCTAACCCAAGTGGACTTCTCTAGCAAGTATCTGCCAAACAACTATACCTGTGACATAAGGGTGCTAAGAGAAATTGTACTTATAAGTATTCATTAAGAGTAGCCAGGTTTTTTGTTTTTAGAGACAGGGTCTCTCTCTGTTGCACAGACTGGAGTGCAGTTATGCAGTCGCACTTACTACAGCCTTGAACTCTTGGGCTCAAGCAGTCCTCCTGTCTCAGCCTCCTGAGTAGCTAGGACTATGGGCATATACCCACTACTCAACTAATTATTTTTTTAAATGTTTATAGAGATGGATCTTGCTATCTTGCCCCAGGCTGGTCTTGAACTTCTGGCCTCAACTGATCATCCTGCCTCAGCTTCCCAAAGTGCTGAGATTACAGGTATGCGTCATTGCACCTGGCAGGAGTGGCCGGTTTTTAAGAACTAGAATTACCTCTGTTTGTGCAGATGCAGAAGTGTATGGAGAAAAAAAGCATTTGTGCTTTGTTTAGGTTCATGTTTTTGTTTGCTTATGAATGTGGATTAGATAGTAAGCTCTGACTTCCCAATTTTTATAACATTACTTAGTTCAGCAAGTTGTCCTGCACTATACTTGTTTTGTGCAGTCCTTACAGCACTGTCTTATTGTCTTCTAGGGACAAGTATTGCTTCTCGTAATGCACAGAGCACATCAGATTTCTACTTTTCACTAAACCTTTTTAAATTCCCAGGGAAGTGATTACATATTTGATTTTAAAGTTTTCTCTTTTCTAGTGGGCTTGTAACTATGTGGGATTGGAAATAAAGTTTTAATATCAGCAAAGAACTTAAGCAGATGTAGTTTCAACATATTTTGAAAGCCAGAGGAACTGGCAGAGAGACATTTGTTTATATTGCTTTAAAAACTAAATATTTTTCAATTCTTTTGAGTTCCCTTATTATCAACTTTGCTTTTTAAAAATATTTTTAACTTCCCTTTGGTATAGAGGAAAGAAAGAAAATATATTAACCAAAAAAGTATCAGTTAAACATTCTTAATAACCTTTTCCGTAATGGATACTACATGAAAATCTGGTACTTCAATAATATTTAACTCCATGCTTTAGACAAAAGCCACGTAAAATTGGGAAACAGGCACTGGTAATAAGAACTGTCCTTCAGCCGGGCACAGTGGCTCATGCCTATAATCATAGCACTTTAGGAGACTGAGGAAGGAGGATGGCTTGAGGCTAGGATTTGGAGAGCAGCCTGGGCAACATAGCAAGACTCCATCCCTATAATAGCTAGCTAGCTAGATAAAAATTTAAATGTTAAAAAAATTTTTTTTTAAAGAACTGTCCTTCAGAAGGTCACATGTACAATTGTAAGATACCTAGTGTGTTTTTATTTCGTTGACTGTAGCATTGTTTAGAGTAGAGTAGGAATTTGAGTTTTGATCTTACTTTTATATGTGCTAAGAAATCGTTACCTTTAGGATTCTGATAAGGGCATGAGGAGTGGTGCCAGACTTAACCTTGGCTTGTCTCCTGGTCCTGTCACTTTGTAGATTTGGACAAGTCACTTATCTGAGCTCAGTTTTCTCATATATACAATAGGAATGATAATAATGCTAATCATTTAAAAGTTTTTGAGGCCAAGTGCAGTGGCTCATGCCTGTAATTGCAGCACTCTAGGAGGCTGAGGCAGGTGGATCACGAGGTCAGGAGTTCAAGACCAGCCTGGCCAACATGGTGAAACTCTGTCTCTACTAAAAATACAGAAAAGTTAGCCAGGCATGGTGGCGGGCACCTGTAATCCCAGCTACTCGGGAGGCTGAGGCAGAGAATTGCTTGAACCCAGGAGGCAGAGGTTGCAGTGAGCCAAGATCATGCCACTGCACTCTAGCCTGGGCTACAGGGCGAGACTCTGTCTCCAAAAAAAAAAAAAAAAAGTTTTTGAAGAGTGAAATGAAATAACATATACAAATGACTTATACAGAGCCTGCTGCATATTTTTAAATAATATTAATAGTGTTGTTGCTTTTATTATTGTTGTAGATATCATCATCATCATTAGAATCTTGTCCTGATTTCCTAGTTCAAAGAGTAATTTCTGCAAAATCTGACTTAGCCTGCTTCTGGTCATCCACATCTGATATAAGTAGTTTGATTAAACATTGAATGATTTCAGCCTTACTGATTTTTGTTATTGTTCAAGAAACAATAGCTTGTGTTTTGTAATAGTCTTTCTCCCCTTCATTCCCGCTTCATTTCAGTTGGTGGGTTACTACAATCAAAATTTACAAGTGGAGCTTTTCTTTCACCAAGTGTCTCTGTGCAAGAATGTCGTACTCCCAGAGCAGCATCTTTAATGAATATCCCATCCACATCCTCTTGGTCTGTCCCTCCACCCCTGACTTCTGTGTTCACAATGCCCAGCCCAGCCCCTGAGGTTCCGTTGAAAACAGTGGGTACACGTAGGCAACTAGGCCTAGTCCCTCGTGAAAAGTCTGTCACCTATGGCAAGGGAAAACTCTTGATGGACATGGCCCTATTCATGGGACGCTCATTTCGTGTTGGTTGGGGCCCCAACTGGACTCTTGCTAATAGTGGAGAACAGCTGAATGGCTCTCATGAACTAGAAAATCATCAGATTGCCGATTCCATGGAGTTTGGATTCCTGCCCAATCCAGTAGCTGTTAAACCGTGAGTCACATTTCTTGATGCTTTTTGAGAAAGGCAACATGATAGGTGAAAAAAACTAATCAGGAGGATAGGGCCCTGCTTTGTCATCTTTCTAGAGAGAGAGAGAGAGAGAGAGAGAGAGAGAGAGAGAGAGAGAGAGAGAGAGAGAGTGTGTGTGTGTGTGTGTGTGTGTGTGTGTGTGTCTCAGTTTTGCTCTGTTTCCCCGGTGTGTGTGTGTGTGTTTTTGAGTCTCAGTTTTGCTCTGTTTCCCAGGCTGGGGTGCGGTGGCACGATCTCAGCTTGCTGCAACCTCTGCCTCTCAGTCTGAGGCTCTTCTCCTGCCTCAGCCTCCTGATAAGCTGGGATTACATGCACACGCCACCACACCCAGCTAATGTTTCCTGAGCTCAAGTGATTGTCCTACCTTGGCCTCCCAAAGTGCTGGGATTACAGTCATGAGCCACCTTGCCCAGCCTATCCTTCATTTTTAAAGTTGACTTTGAAAAAATAAAAAACAACCTGTAATCCCAGCACTTTGGGAGGCCAAGATGGGCGGATCACGAGGTCAGGAGATTGAGACCATCCTGGCTAACACGGTGAAACTCTGTCTCTACTAAAAATACAAAAAAAATTAGCTGGGCGTTGTGGCAGGCGCCTGTAGACCCAGCTAGTCAGGAGGCTGAGGCAGGAGAATGGTGTGAACCCGGGAGGCGGAGCTTGCAGTGAGCTGAGATCGCGCCATTGCACTCTAGCCTGGGCAACTGAATGAGACTCAGTCTCAAAAAAAAAAAAGAGAGAAAAGAAAAAGAAAAAACAACAATGTCTCTTGAACCTCACAATTAAGAATACTGATCCTAAACTTAGTTATTCTAGGTTAAGCATTATCTTGTGAATTTTGAAGGTTATTAATATCAATCTTAAAAATTAGATCAAGGGGCCGGGTACGGTGGCTCACACCTGTCATCCCAGCACTTTGGGAGGATCACTTGAGGTCAGGAGTTCGAGACCAGCCTGGCCAACATGGTAAAACCCTGTCTCTACTAAAATTACAAAAATTAGCCCAGGGTGGTGGTGCATGTTTGTAATCCCAGCTACTCAGGAGACTGAGGCAGGAGAATCGCCCTTGAACCCAGGAGGCAGAGGTTGCAGTAAGCCAAGATCACGCTACTGCATTCCAACCTCAGCGACAGTGTGAAACTCCATCTCAAAAAAAAAAAAAAAAAAAAAATTGGAACAAGCCTAGCTTAGCTATATGCTCATTGTAATTTAGAATCAGTTCTTTAGTATCTAGAAGCTTAGCCTCATGACTTTTGATACCCAAGTATAATTTGAGAAACAGGTATCCCACAATAGCTTTTGGCCCTTGAGTTTTAGCCAGTTCTAAATCTGTTAGGATTCTCATGCTTGTTATAACCTGGCCTAAGAAGCCTTTGTGTTCTGAATGCACTGATCAGATGATTTTTTTTCCCCAGTATATAGCAGATAAGTTCAGTATAGTTTAAGAAACAAAATTTCTTTAAAACTACAGTGAAATGTTTGCATTCCGTTTGTAATCATAAAAAGAAACAGTGGTTTGGTTGAAGTAAAAATCCTAGCTTCTGTCTTAGGTTCATTTTCTATTCTATTCCTCATTTGCTCTTGTAGCCTAACTGAGTCCCCATTCAAAGTTCACTTAGAAAAACTCAGTTTGAGACAAAGAAAGCCAGATGAAGACATGAAATTATATCAGACACCTCTGGAGCTCAAATTAAAACACAGCACTGTCCATGTGGATGAACTGTGTCCTCTCATTGTCCCCAATCTGGGAGTTGCTGTCATTCATGACTATGCAGATTGGGTTAAAGAAGCATCAGGAGACTTACCAGAAGCACAAAGTGAGTACACACTATGTTTCTAATGTTTGATGTCCCAATAATAGTGGTGGTAGCGTATGTTCACGGGAGGATGAATTTCCTGGCACCAGTCTAGTAGGTAAATGCCTGTGCTTGTCATTTTCTGAGGTTGAGTTTAACTAAGCAGATTCCCAAGCAAGAAGAAATTGTCACTATGTTCTTGTCACTTTGTTCTTTTACCCATTAATGTACAAATTCTTCCACAAAGAACTGTAGCAAGTCAAATCCTTGGATTTATAAAATTGAATTTCTTACCTAATCCAGAGAACATAGGGAGAGAAATACATTCCTTCTTGCTTTACTTTTTTTTTTTTTTTTTTTTTGAGACGGAGTCTCACTCTGTCACTGTAGCTGGGAGTATAGGCGCGCGCCACCACACCCAGCTAATTTTTGTATTCTTAGTAGAGACAGGGTTTCACCATATTGGCCAGGATTGTCTCGATCTCTTGACCTCGTGATCTGCCTGCCTCGACTTTCCAAAGTGCTGGGATTACAGGCGTGAGCCATCGAGCCCGGCCCCTTCTTGCTTTTCTAAATCCTATCCATTCTTCCATATCCAGCTCAAGTACTGTTGGTCTTCTCAACAGCTTTGTTGTAATTCCTCTTCCTGGCTTCTTTCAAGATTACCTTTCTCATCTATCATGACCATGTTTTTCTGAATCAATACTTTGATAAAGGGGTTATCTAATTTATTAATATTTCAAACAGTAGAAAAATCATTTTGTTTAGCAAATCACGTTTATTGAAAAATGGGCTGTTTTAGAATGTCCTATGCCACACGTTTTGAGATTTGTTTATGTTCCTTCAGTTCTTTGTATTTACTTAATCGTCTCATTGTCTTTTCAAATGTGTAAGTTATTTTACCAGTGCATACTTGTAAGTGGCTTAAATGATAAACAGTACTTTTGTAGATTGATTTTTATAGACAGAATTTGATCAAAGTAGATATCATCTGAGATGACACTAGCCATAATTAGGCTTGGGGAACCTGTTTAACGGTTACATTTGTTATGTAAGTACCACAGAAACATGATATGAGCAAGCATTTATTTATACTATGTACTTCTGGAAATTGTAAGACGAAGTTGAGTGAGGTAGAGACAGATTCAGGGTAATCAGCTTGAGTGGTTGTTTGAGATGTCTATTAATTTATGTATTTTTAACATCACAGTTAGAAGGATGCCCTCTGTGAAGTTGTTGTAAGACTTTGTCTCGTAACATTGTTTTTCTCTTCCTGCCTTAGTTGTGAAGCACTGGAGCCTGACATGGACACTATGTGAAGCCCTATGGGGCCACCTGAAGGAGCTTGACAGCCAGCTAAATGAACCCCGTGAATACATTCAAATTCTGGAGCGAAGAAGAGCTTTCTCCCGCTGGCTATCCTGTACTGCCACACCTCAGATTGAAGAGGAAGTCTCCTTAACCCAAAAAAACAGCCCTGTGGAGGCTGTATTCAGCTACCTCACAGGCAAAAGGATCAGTGAGGCCTGCTCTCTGGCCCAGCAGTCAGGTGGGGAAGGCATATGGTCCTTCTCTGCGCCTCTGTCGCCTTCCTACTCACTGCCTCCTACCGCTCCCCGCTAATTGTGCATTTCCCTTTGGCTTCTAGCCTATGAGTATTAATTGCGGACTTCCCAGAAAGATTGCTGGTTCCCGTGGAATATGTAATATAACATAAAATTTAACTTTTAATCAAGTAAACAATGTTTAAGGTCCTAAACAGAGAATTAGAAGACATAGTGCGGCTGGGCTCAGTGGCTCATGCCTGTAATTCCAGCACTGTGGGAGGCCAAGGTGGGTAGATCACACCCACCTATTCCTATAGAATAGGAACCATGACTTTTTTTTTTTTTTTTTTTTTTTTTTGAGACAGTTTCACTCTTGTTGCCCAGGCTGGAGTACAATGGTGCGATCTCGGCTCACTGCAACCTCCTCCTCCTGGGTTCAAGCGATTCTCTTGCCTCAGCCTCCCAAGTAGCTGAGATTACAGGTGCCTGCTACCACACCTGGCTAATTTTTGTATTTTAGTAGAGACAGGGTTTCACCATGTTGGTCAGGCTGGTCTCGAACTCCTGACCTCAGGTGATCCACCCACCTTGGCCTCCCAAAGTGCTGGAATTACAGGTGTGAGCCACTGCACCCAGCCGAACTATGTCTTCTAATTCTTTTTTTAGGACCTTAAACATTGTTTACTTGATTAAAATTTAAATTTTATATTACATTTGTAATAAAACTAGAAAGCATAGATAAGCTATCAATCAAAATCACCCAAATCCTGTGACTACTACTCACTGCAAACATTTTAATGTGCAATTTGTACTTAATTCTTTACTTTGTAATACATACAAATATGTCCAGACACTGTGACATATGCTTGTGAACTTTTCAAAGGTGATATCCTGCTGTGTATTATATTCTGTTCTTTTCATGTGGCACATTACAAATGCCCTGTAATACAGATAATTATCAAATACTTCTTAGCATTCTTTTATGTATAAATGTACCATAGTAGTAAATTTCTTCCTTCACATTGAGACTTTTTTTAAAACTATAAACAGTACTCTGAATTGCTATAAAATATGTTCTATATCAATTCATTCAAATAAATATATAGAAGTTGAATTTCTGGGTTGAGGTACTCACTGGCTTTTTAAAAGGAATTTATATGCATATATTTACTTCTTTAAGTTCCCTTTCACTAATGAGGCAATTCAGCAAGTACTTAATGACTGCCTAGATATAAATCTTTTTTTTTTTTTTTTTTTTTTTTTAAGACAGAGTCTGTCTGTGTGTTTACCAGACTGCTGGAGTGCAGTGGAACGATCTCAGCTCACTGCAACCTTTACTTCCTGGGTTCAAGCGATTCTCCTGCCTCAGCCTCCTGAGTAGCTGGGATTACAGGTGCCTGCCACCATGCCCAGCTAGTTGTCTTTTTTTTTATTTTTAGTAGAGACAGGGTTTCGCCATGTTGGCCAGGGTGGTCTCAAACTCGTGACTTCCAGTGATCCACCCACTTTGGCCTCCCAAGTGCTGGGATTACAGGCATGAGCCACCGTGCCTGGCCATAAAGTCTTGATAAGAATACAGGATGGCATAGTTCAGCTTAATCTAATATGATCAGATCCTTATTCAAACCTTGATTGTTGGAACCTAATTTATCCAAAGCCAACTAATTGGAGCCATCGACTGGATTTATTTTGAAGAGTTTTGCCACTTTTGGGATTATAAGGAACAAATCACAGGAAAAGCCAGAATCAGTAAGCTATATAAAGGGCTTGTTGCATTCCACTGTCACTACACATTTAGCCTGGTAGCTTCCTGTTTTCTTTTCTTTTTATTTTTTAAATAGAGATGGGGTCTGTATGTTGACCAGGCTGGTCTCAAACTCCTGGCGTCAAGCAGCCCTCCTGCCTCAGCCTCCCAAAGTGCTGGGATTAGAGGCGTGAGCCACCACATCCAGCCTCCGTCTGGTACTATTTATGGTCTTTGTGCATTTGTACAGTGAGAATTTATCTTTGGGATTGATCTTGTATGAACTTATTATGAATCATTAAAAAAAGGTTATGCTCACCAGGACACCAACATGTAGTAGGAGAGGATCTTAAGGCATGCCAGAGTCAGATTCTTAGGGCTGTTGATTCATAAACTCCACTTTCTTCCTGTTTATTTTGACTGTAAGGCTAAACCTCTGGTAAAGGTACTGCCTTTTAGGTTACTAAAAGCTTTTGCTTTACTACTCCCCCCCTTTTTTTTTGTTTTTTGTTTTGTTTTTGTTTTTGTTTTCGAGACAGTCTCGCTCTGTACCCCAGGATGGAGTGCAGTGGCATAATCTTGGCTCACTACAACGTTTGCCTCCTGGGTTCAAGCGATTCTCCTGCCTCAGCCTCCTGAGTAGCTGGGATTACAGGTAACGTGCCACCACACTCGGCTAACTTTTGTATATTTAGTAGAGATGCCGTTTCGTCATGTTGGCCAGGCTGGTCTCGAACTCCTGACCTCAGGTGATCCGCCTGCCTCAGCCTTCCAAAGTGCTGGGATTACAGGCGTGAACCACTGCCTCCGGCCTTTTTTTTTCCCTCCCCCCTGCACCAAGACAGAGTCTTGGTCTGTCACCCAGGCTGGAGTGCAGTAGTGCAATCTCTGTTTACTGCAACTTCTGCCTTCTGGGTTCAAGTGGTTCTCGTGTCTCAGCCTCTTGAGTAGCTGGGACTCCAGTCACGTGCCACCA